>NC_000002.12:152035072-152338102 GCF_000001405.40 Homo sapiens
CAAAATCCCAAACCTCCGGGCAGGAGAAGGAAAGTGACGTTCAGTGAGAGACATAATGTCTGACATCAACTCCACCATGTTACAAGCAATAGCCAGATGCTTCACAGAAAGCAAGCACTTTCTTAAACGGATGATTTTCTTTTGTATATTTATTCACTGTCTTGCTCCAAAAATGATTCAAGGCAACTTTAAAAAATATATTCGCAGGCCGGGAGCAGTGGCTCATGCCTGTAATCCCAGCACTTTGGGAGGCCAAGGCAGGCAGTACACCTGAGGTCGGGAGTTCAAGACCAACTTGGCCAACATGGAGAAACCCCATCTCTACTAAAAATACAAAATTAGCCAGACATGGTGGCACATGCCTGTAATCCCAACTACTCAGGAGACTGAGGCAGGAGAATCGCTTGAACCCGGGAGGCGGAGGTTGCGGTGAGCTGAGATCGTGCCATTGCACTCCAGCCTGGGCAACAGAGCGAAACTCCGTCTCTCTCTCTCTTTCTCTCTCTCTCTCTCTCCCTCTCTCTCTCTCTTTCTCTCTCTCTCTCTCCCTCCCTCTCCCTCTCTCTCTCTCTCTCTCTCTATATATATATATATATGTATGTATGTATTAAGATGCACCTGATATGGATTAAGATTGTCCTTGTTAGACAAACCGCAAGAATAGCTCAGATTAACCAACAGACACTTCTCAAGCTTTTACCCCTCAAGCATTTGAGTTTAAAACTTCAAGAATAAATTAAATTCTCCATAAGATTTTTAAACTCCATCATATCATTGAGAATAAAACTGTTAAATGTGCACACTGTGTTCACCGCAGCATTATTCACAATAGCCAAGATGTGGAAGCAACCTAAATGTCCATCTATGCATGAATGGATAAACAAAATGTGGCGTATGCAGACAATATTATTCAGCCTTAAAAAAGGAGGAAATCCTGCCATATGTAACGTGGATGAAACTTGAAGACGTTAAGTGAAATAAGCCAGTCACAAAAAAGATACTGCATGATTCCACTTATATGGGGTATCCAAAGCAGTAAAACTCTTAGAAGTAGAAAATATAATGTGGTTGCCAAGCACCGGGAGGAGGTGGTAACAGGTAGTTGTTGTTCAATGGATATAGAATTTCAGTTTTGCAAGATGAAAAAGTTCTAGGGATCTGTTGCATAATGGACTGCATATAGTTAACACTGCTGTACTGTACACTTAAAAATGGTTAAAATGCTAAATTTTATGTTTTGTTTTGTTTTGAGAGTCTTGCTCTGTCTCCCAGGCAGGAGGGCAGTGGCAGAATCTTGGCTCACTGCAACCTCTGCTTTCCAGGTTCAAGCAATGCTCTTGCCTCCGCCTCCCAAGTAGCTGGGATTACAGGCGCGCGCCACCATGCCTGGCTAATTTTTGTACTTTAAGTAGAGACAGGATTTCACCATGTTGGCCAGGCTGGTCTCGAACTCCTGACCTTAGGTGATCTGCTCTCCTAGACTTCCAAAGTGCTGGAATTATAGGCATGAACCACTGTGCCTGGCCAGTAAATTTTATGTTACATGTTTTTTACCACATTAATTTTTTTTAAAGTGTTAAGTGTGGTGAAAGGCAGATTTCAGTGAGGATGTCGACCTCTAGAAGCAGACTTTCCAGAGTCTTGGAAGTAATATTTCTGGGTTACTTTAGGCTACTCAGACCATGTTTAGAGTATTCTGTCTTATTTTGGACACAACGGCCTTGGACCATGGCTGGAGGACATGTCAGTCTTGGCTATGCCTTCTAGTGTAACATAGAACAAGTATACTCTGCCATGACATGAGATTCCTTCGAAGAGTTTCACCTGACAAATATTAATTGAGAATCCCAGGAAGTGCACTAGATGCTAGAAAGCAGCTATCATGAACTTCAGCTTCAAAAAGGCAGTGAACCTGAGCAGAACTCTTATTTGGGTGTTTCTATCTCCAAACGTTCTTGATGGCCTTAGCCACAAGATGGCGCATGTAGACCATTTCCACACTTGCGGCTCAGGCCAGTTGATTCTTGCGGGGGCATAGGTTCCCAAGCACTTATGTAGGGTATTCTTCCCTGGGCTTCTGTTTTGTTACCTTCTCAATGAGTGATGTCTGAGAAGCTTGGTTTGGTTAGAAATAATATAATATCCTGCTTATCTCCTTTGAACAAGTACTCAAAGGTGGATATTAACAATAACACACTTGCTATACCTAATAATATAACAAGACTCTCCTTTGAATATGAATCAGGGAAGTGCTTCTGTGGCAATCTATATCCCGTCAATTTACAAACTGAGTGATTGCAAGAATAAATAAATCCTGCTTTGGCCCAAATGTCAATCTTTGCTAAAGAAATATGTCTGTGGACATTACAGAGGAATCGTGCCGTTCTTAAATCTACTTACACCCTGCTTCTGCAAATGCTTACGTATCTGACTTGTTTTAAGGTATTTCAAAGCCAAAAGAGAGGCAAGAAATAAATGCTCACACATTTTGAAGTATTCCATGAACAACTGAATAATGTGACCTTCTGACTCCCAGTGAGCCTAAATTTTTCTCATTCTTCTTGCTTAGACCAAAAGCACATATCCCCTCTCAGGTGAAGGCACAGCATTTAGGATGACACTCTTCTTTTCCTAAGGATGGGAGGGAGAGAAAGAAATGCTCTAGGGAGACATGGCCTCCCTCTGAGACCTAAAGGGAGGAGGGAAGATTTTTCTTCTCCCATTTGGTCAAAAGTCAGCCAGGGGAGCCACCGTGAGCCAAGACCTCAGCAGGCCTGCAGCACTGCTGCTCCCCCCTCATCCTTGGAGCTGCTCACCAACTGCTACAGCAGGGAGCTGGCCGGGCCCCAGCCTGCAGTGAACACAGAGCCAGGCTGCAACAGCTGGATGCAGAAGGGAACCACCCCCAAGGAGGCCGTGACAAAACGCAGGGCCCAGGGAATCTTCAGCATTCATCTGGCCAGGAAAACTGGGGAGGATCAGAGGGCCCCCAAAGAAATGCATGTCAGGAACCTACTGGGATCTACCATGCTGTATTTGGAGGCAGGAGGTGGGGGTAGCTTTCATAAATCCTGCCAATGGCAAAGTTCCTAAATTCTTCAAAGCATCAAGGATGCTGGCCTGCAATGGGAATGCAGAACAAAAAGTCTTGTAAAGTAAGGGGTTGGTGAGCTTGTAATTCTGGGGTTTGGTAACTCTCACACCAGAGTGTGCACAAGTTGCTGAGAACCACGCAACAGCCCTCCCCGGCCTTTTCCAAGTTCTGCTGCTTGCCTTTGGCCTAATGAGCCAAATTCAGACTGTATATCCCCAATGCAGCTTCTACTGACAGACAAGGGTTTGGCAAGAAGCTGGAATGCAGCTTGATTGCAGATAATGAATGTGTTCAGCAGAGATGATGAGCACCTGGGACACAGGCTTCTACCTCAGCACCGAGTCTGGCTGGGAGATGGAAGAGGATAGGTGTGCGTGAGCAGCTGGAGGCACAGAAGAGGAAAGGCCCACTACTCTGCTGCAGCCTGCTGGCTCGTATAACAGCTCATTAACAGCAGAGGCTGAGACTTCCTTTTCCTCTTTCCACAAAAGACATGGCAATAAAAGCAGGACAGGCTGCAAACTCAGCCATTTTCAAAGACTCATGGCATGTGAGATTGGGAGGAGGGTGACCAGCTGTGGCCACACAGATGGGGACAGAGGCCCTGACTGGTGCTAGGACACGTTAGTGGTGGAGAGGGACAGTTCCCTCAGGCCTTCCACCTCCCAGCCCAGGACACTCTGGACAGGAAATCTCCCCCTCTCTTCCCAGCCCTGTATGTCCCCACCCCAAGAGGGTGTGACACTTCCTCATGTTCCCTGCTGGCCCATTGGCTAGAGCTCTGGACGGATATAGAGGAAAGATAATACAGTAATTCAGAACTGAGGTCATTGCTTGCTTAGTTAATATAGGGATAATTAAACAGCATTTAAAGAAAATGGTTTAGCTGTATAAGCAAACATTTCCTTGTATTTAAAAAAAAGCAAGAAACATAGTTTTCTGAGGTCTCTACTTAAGAATCTTATTATTGGGCCGAGCGCGGTGGCTCACACCTGTAATCCCAGCACTCTGGGAGGCCGAGGCCGATGGATCACGAGGTCAGGAGTTCAAGACCAGACTGGCCAAGATGGTGAAACCCCATCTCTACTAAAAATACAAAAATTAGCCAGGTGTGGTGGTGGGTGCCTGTAATCCTAGCTACTCGGGAGGCTGAGGCAGAGAACTGCTTGAACCCGGGAGGCGGAGGTTGCAGTGAGCTGAGATCTCGACACTGCACTCCAGCCTGGGCGACAGAGCAAGACTCTGTCTCAAAAAAAAAAAAAAGAATCTTACTATTCCCTCAATGCTGAACCCAAACCTTCCCCTGACCAGTCTTTTGGAGGAAGCCTACACTTCTCCTACTCTGTTCACTTGCCAAGCAGCATATGGAGCCCTAGAATATTCTTGTTTTCATATAGGTTTTATCTTACATTTCCAACTACATTATTTGTTCTATGAGGATAAGAGCCTTGTTATATGCTCTATGTCTTAATGAAAACATCTGATAAAACATGAGTGATCACTCTGTGCATGGCAGGCAGGCAAGGCAAGGGAGTAGGGTGGGACCAAGCACTGATCACAGAAATGCAGGTATTCCTTCCAACCCTGGAAAAGTAGAGCGAAGCTCAGGGAAAACTACGTAAGTCCTCAGAAACATAGTCGAAGGCATGAAGTAAGCACTGAAGCAGACCATATGGAAAATAACATCTATTTTTCAAAAGAATTTAAAATAGAGAATGCAGAAAAAAAGAAGAAGTTTATGGCAATATGATTCTTGTGTACACCGAAGACATAATTTGTTGACAAAGATTAAAGTCACTTAATGGTCTTAAGGCAATGAGTATACTTTATATCCAAAAAGAATAAGAATTTTAATTCCACCTTCTATTTCTACAAAAATTGTACTGGCTGATAAGTGATGGCCCCCAGTTTTCATTGCGGCTAAATGGGAATGTCTCATTTATGGGCTATTCTGAATAAATTAGCTGGGAGTTTTTTTAAGTATCAAAAATACCAAGAGGTCTAACCCATATACTAGTTAAAAAGTAGAATTTTATACATCTGCTGAATCTGAAGGCTCATGATTCTCCTATCTCACAGTATTTAACTCCTACATTTTATAAAGAATTCAATGACATCTAGAATCTTTAAATTTATAAATATCTATCATTAAATCTGGCTCAGATAATAATTGAACCAAAGCATATAATGCCATGTCTATTCATGCCCTCACATTTCACTGATACTTTCTTCAGCTAATTAATTTTATTTATCTATTTGTATTATTTTATTTTATTTATTCATTTATTTTTTTGAGACACAGTCTTGCTCTGTCACCCAGGCTGGAGTGCAGTGGCACATTCTCGGCTCACTGCAACCTCCGCCCCCTGGGTTCAAGTGATTCTACTGCCTCAGCTTCCTGAGTAACTGGAATTACAGGCGCACACCACCATGCCCAGCTAATTTTTGTATTTTTAGTAGAGACGAGGTTTCACCATGTTGACCAGGCTGGTTTGAACTCCTGACCTCAGGTGATACACTCGCCTCGGCCTCCCAAAGTGCTAGGATTACAGGCGTGAGCCACCGTTTCCAGCCAGCTAATTAAATTTAAAAAGAAGTTTTCAAGATTAGCAAAACCTTTACAACTCATCTAACAATGTAGTCCTTTGTTCACATCTAAATGCATATGCTGCCGGTGCCAAATGATGGTGATTAACCCCTGGCTGATATTTTCTGTGAAACAAATTGGTATTTTCAAGACAATTTCCTAGTGAGAAAATGTCCACATAAACAAAATTGCATTTTGATCAAATCCCCATGTTGGTCATCTTGGCAAAGCCCTCAAAGACCATGGCAAAACAGCCACGACTGCATCGCCTGACCTCAGCCTTTTGGGCCCTTTGGGAGCAGACTCCCCACACTCCATGGGAGAAACACCATTAGGCCATTAGGATTTCAACCTCGGATAAAGCTCTTCCTCCTGTTTCTCCCCACAAACTTTTGGCACTCAGTATAATGATTGTGAGACACTAAGAAAGACAAATGATTTTTCTCTCTCTCATTTGCTAATCCCAAAGTATTACTTTATTCCCCTTTGGAACTTTTCACTGCAGAATCCTTTGTGTATAGAGAGATCTGTGTTCTTAAGCTCAAGAATCTGTTTAATAAACTATGAATTTAGAAGTCATCATCATGTTTTAGTTGCATAAGCTCAGTACTTATGGGAAACATTTCTGGAAGAAGGTAAAGGGCAATCTGTAATGGGGGCTATAAATTTCTGTTTAAATTTGCCACGAGTTATTAAATCCAGTTAAAATCATAATATGACAGTGGGAAGAAACATGAAGGTAGGCAGTTGGCCAGGCCAGGGGCTGAAGGGATATTATTGCTGGTTATGAGAGTTTACTAAAATCATTACCATGAAAGTTCTGAGTTTTGATAGGAGACTGGGGCACAGAAACTGCAGGAAGAAAGAAGCATCTGGACAAATCAGTCCATCACCAAAAGACATGGAGATTATATTGTCGGAGACATCTTCAGAAGTCCTCTGATTTTCTAAGGAAAACTGAATTAAAAAAACGGCTTTGGGTATGACTTCTCTTTCTTCTTCCAAAACCATCAAAAAGGGAGATATCTTGCAAGTGATTAAAAGATAGTGTTCTGTCTAGCACTATTGCAAGTAACATCCACATAGAAGTCAGAAGACCCTGCGTGAGCACTAATTCCCCTGTTACTTCCACCAGAACACAAACCCAAACAGGGCAGAGCCTCTGTCCTGCTCACGCCATCATTCCCAGCACTTGGAATAATGCCCAGCACATAGGAGGTGTTCAATAAATAGTTGAAGGAGTGAAAGAAAGAGCAAACTATGTGATCTGTTCAGTCTGCCACACTTCTAGCCAAACCTCACCCTAAATGCAGAGCCAGAATGGGCCATGCTGGGAAACAATACTCTATCTCCCCAGTGCCTAGGGCCAGGTAAATGACTCTGTAAGGGACTAAGTCCCAGAAGCTTCCAAACTAATTGCTACTAAGCATGGAGAGAAAGCCATAATGCCATTTTTTAGGTTCCCCTACTAACTAATCTAGGGTCACCAGCAAGGCCTCAAACAGCATCTTGCTCCTCTTCCCGCATAACCCTAGGAACGCTTTCCAATTCCATTTCCTTTCATCCGTCTGCTCCCTCCCCAGGTCTGGTTCTTATATGTCGTAGCTTGCCAGGGGGTTGGACCATATTTCTTGGAGCCTCTACTTCTTCAGGCTCCTGCTTAACAAAGGTCTGGACCTTTCGGGCCTCTGAGGATCCCTGAGTGAGTCCTACAGACCTGGCAAGCTACTCTTGGAAGTCAGGTTGAAGTCAAAACAGCTAGACTAGCAGTACCATTGACCCAAATCACCGGCTAAATGTACTACATTATTTACTGCTCATATTGTGTGGCCATCTGCTGATAGCAGATAATCATTTTAAAAAAAGATCAAAAAAAGAAAAATGGCACTTTATATCTTATGTTCCCCCTTCTGGCTGAAAGTGTTGTTAATTTTATTTATTTTATTTTTTTAGAGATGTTTTCAGACGCGTTTGAACCAGAGCAACTCCATCTTGAATAGGAGCTGCGTAAAATAAGGCCGAGACCTACTGGGCTGCATTCCCAGGAGATTAAGGCATTCTTAGTTACAGGGTAAGACAGGAGGTCGGCACAAGATACAGGTCACAAAGACCTTGCTGATAAAACAGCATGCAGTAACGAAGCCGGCTAAAACCCACCAAAACCAAGATGGAGAGGAGCGTGACCTCTGCTCGGTCTCACAGCTCATTATATGCTAATTACAATGCATTAGCGTGCTAAAAGACACACCCACCAGCACCACAACAGTTTACAGATGCCATGGCAACGTCAGGAAGTTACCCTGTATGGTCTAAAAAAAGGAGGAACCTTCAGTTCAAGGGAATTGCCCACTCCTTTCCCAGAAAACTCATGAATAATCCACCCCTTGTTCAGCATGTAATCAAGAAGTAACAATAAGTATAAGCAGCTGAGCAGCCCGTGCCACTGCTCGCCTATGGAGCAGACACTCTTTTATTCCTTTACTTTCTTAATACACTTGCTTTCACTTTATGGATTTGCTTCTAATTATTTCTTGTGCAAGATCCAAGAACGTTCTCTTGGGGTCTGCATTGTGACCCCTTTCCAATAACAATGAGGTCTCACTTTGTTATCTAGGCTGGAATGCAGTGGCATGATCATAGCTCACTGCCACCTCAAATTCCTGGGCTCAGGGATCCTCCCACCTTAGCCTCCAGAATGGCTGGGACTACAGGCACACACCACCATACCTGCATAATTTTTAAAATTTTTTGTAGAGATGAGGTCTTGCCATCTCCAGGCTGGTCTCAAACTCCTGGTCTCAAATGATCCTCCTGCCTCAACCTCCCAAAGTGCTGGGATTACACGTGTGAGCCACCGTGCTTGTCCCAGTTTTTTTTACCTTCACACTTAAAGTGAGAGGGACTATGTGCGTGTATACACGTATACATACATACATACACATATGTACACCTACTGGGGTTCTGTAACATATTTGTGGCAAGATGTCTCAAATTCACTTATTTCTTTTGTTAAATAAATTGACTGATAGAAACCACTTTTCAAGTATTAAATTGCTCAACTGAGCAACATCATTCTTCAAATGTTAAACTGTTAAATTGAGAGGGCTTCTTTTCCAGGCTTCACAAACATTTGATTCTATCAGATTTCAGTTAATTAAAAAAACCAAAAGAGCCGGGCTTGATGGCACATTCCTATAGTCCCAGTTACTCAGGAGACTAAGGTGAGAGGATCACTTGGGGCAAGGAGTTCAAGGCTGGCCTGGGCAACTCAGCAAGACCCTGTCTCTTAAAAATTTTTTTCAAAATCTTTCAAAAACCAATAGAATTACAAGAAAAAAATCCAACTAAATTACTGATGTAAAATATACTAAAAACAAAACGTGCTTCTTTCTCTGAAGCATGGAGAATATCTAAGATTACATCAAACACAAATGCACTTCTTTTAAAACAGATTTTATTTATTTTTATTTTTATTTTATTTTTCTGAGACGGAGTCTTGCTCTGTCGCCCAGGTTGGAGTGCAGTGGAGCAATCTTGGCTCACTGCAAGCTCCGCCTCCCAGGTTCAAGCAATTCTCCTGCCTCAGTCTCCTGAGTAGCTGGGATTACAGGTGCGCATCACCATGCATGGCTGATTTTTGTATTTTAGTAGAGATGGGGTTTCACCATGTTGGTCAGGCTGGTCTGGAACTCCTGACCTTGTGATCCGCCTGCCTCAGCCTCCCAAAGTGCTGGGATTACAGGCGTGAGCCACCGCACCCGGCCTTAAAGCAAATTATTAAAGGGAAATTTTCTATATAAAATCTACAACACAGGGTGGAGAAATCACTATTACTCCCAGGTAGGGAATTTATCAAGCACATCCTAATAATTAAAAACATTTAAAGGCCACATACAAATAAAAACTACTTAAAATGAAATATGTCCAATATTTTCCATCCCACACCCTTTGTTTGGGTCATTTTCTTTGGCTGGAATGAGTTTTCCCTCATCTTTGCCATCCTTTCATGAGCCTGGCCACCATGGCAGGTCCACAGCCTGACTCACTCAACTGCTACCGTGGGTCTCGTCTCCAATAAGAGACCATGAAAAACCCAAGGCCAGTTTCATTCTTCAAAATTTCCAGAGCACTTTGCACCCAAAAAGTTAACAATAATAAAAGTGTGCTAAACTGAATTGAAGCAGGGGAAAGAGAAGATGGGGAAGAGACGGTGGGGGGTTGGTGGGGCGGAGGAGAGAGATTTAGTGGAGAGAAAGGAGGATGTGAAGCAAGGGCATGAGATGATATTGGTCTGGCTTACAATTTCAAGCCAGAAAAAAAATGATTGCCACCACATAACTATGCCTAGCACATACAACTACATAAATACATGTACATATGTATGGATATGGAGAGGCATCATTGGCCAATTTTTTTTCAGTGCTTTCACATGCAGATATGCTTTTAAAGATAAGGACTGGGAATATACCAGTGTTTACAGCAGCGTTAGTCACAGTAGCCAAAAGGTAGAAACAGTCCAAGTGTCCATCAACAGAGGAGTAGCTAAAGACAATGTGGTATATACATACAACAGAATATTATCTAGCCTTAAAAAGGAAGGAAATCCTGTCTCATGCTATGACATGGATGAACCTTGAGGATATCATGCTACGTGAAATAAGCAGTCACAAAAGGACAAATATTGTGTGATTCCATTTATATGAGCTACCTACAGTAGTCAAATTTATGGAGACAGAAAGTAGAAGAGTGGTCACCAGGAGCTGGGAGGAGGAGCAAAAATTCTGCATCTAATGTACTTAGTGCCATTGAATGTATACTTAAAAATGGTGAAAATGGTAAATGTTATGGATATTTTACCACATTTTAAAAAAAAAAAGACAAGGAATGAAAAGGTGGATCAAAGTACACCCTCAAAGTCTTATAAGTAGCCTCTTCTCCCTCTCCCTCACGCAACCTCCAAGAGCACAGACTGGAATTCCCAGTCCTACAGTTCCAAGAGAGTTCAGACGGTACCTTAGGCATAGCTGTGCATCCCGCAGCTCTAAATACAGTGACTCGCAGCTAGCAGGGATTCATTAAACATTTGCAGATTCAATGAAAAGGAAAAAAACACAAGTAATGAACAGTTGGAAAGATTTTTTTAGAACATAGCTTGAAATAGAGGGGATGAAAAGTTCTGATAAATGAGCTAGAATGTAGGCAGATTGGAAATCAACAAGTCTTGGTCCTTAGAGTAACTGAGAATCAATGGAAGGATGGAAAACTTTTTCTTTAATAACAACCTCTATTATAATAAGAGAAAAATAAATTGATCATATAGAAATAAAATCAACATTAGTTAGCTTTTTAGATAAACAAGAACAAAAATGAGTTATTAAGAAGGAAGTGGCAATTATTTTACCTGGAAACTCTGATTATATAACAGTATATTTTTATATCATATGGATTGTCCATTCAGGGGAGGCTAGAATGGCCCAGAACACGTAGCACCCCTTTTCTATATGTGAGCACAGGCAGAAACATCACCAAAATTCCTTCCTGGAAAAAGACAGCTTATTAGAAACACAAATGCACACTGTGGCTCAGGAAGGTAAAAAGAGGTTAAATTACAAAAATGTGAAAGCAGCACCTTTGGCCTAGAGCAATTTTACAGAACAATCACTAAGATGATAATCTCTCTATAATTTCTTGCCTACAGCTATGGCTGGTTTCAACTTGACTGCTGCAAACAGGAGAATCTATTTTGCCTTTTATAAAATCTGTCTCTCCTCCTTCCATCTCACCCTCATTTCCTTTCTGGTTTAATTCTCCACCGTGACTACTCACAGAGTTCTATCTATTCAGCACTACACTTTGACCACTGGAAGTCCACACCTAAGACAGTCCTTATTTCTGCCCTTTTAAGATGTCGCCCTAAGCAGAGGAGAAGCAGGTAAGCTCTGCCTGTTGAGCTGTAGCCAGGGGAAAGGAGATGAGAATTCTGCCTGGTTTTCAGCAAACCTTGACTTTTTAAATTAATTAACCCTGAAATTCATCACAGGGTTATCATCACAGGCAGCTTGTCCAAGCTCAAGTATCTGCACTGAACTGTCTCCAGGCGCTACCACCCAGTTAGGAAAAAGGGTCTCTGACTATCCTGGGCTATGAGCACTGAACTTCTGCTAAAAAAAGATTCAGGCAAAGTGAAATTTCTTCACCTCAACATTATTGAGATGGAGTAGGGATCCCTCTTAGGGGCCTCCCCAGCTTCCTCTCAGCCTGAAAATAAAGAAAAATTTGAGTCCCTTCAAGGGAAATTCTGGGTACCTAGCTAGCCATGCAGCCAGCAACTAAGGAAATGAATAAATAACCTGCTAAGCAAGAAGGTAAAAATAGCGTAACAATAGTCACCCAAGTACATTAGACTCACGAGATGCTTGGTTCCCTATAGAAACTAAAAATAACATCTTGACATATGTCCCTGAGTCGTTTTTCAGAAACCCAAACCCTTACCAGATGGAAAATGTCAACCGCTGTCACACAGACCTCAAATAAGGGGGAAATGAAGACTGAACCCTGAGGACAGTTCTTTGTTGTCAATTTCTTCCTGAGGGGCCTAGAGAGAGTTATGCCCACAGGCCAAACCCTGACATTCCTTCCTGCTGACCCCAAGTTTTCAGATGAATTCTTACTTCCTTAACCAATTGCAAATCAAAAAATCTTTGAATCCACATACGACCTGTAACCTTCACTTCAAGATATCCCATCTTTTTGGGCCAAACCAGTGTATAATACCCATGTATTGATTTACGATTATGCTTGTAACTTCTGCTTTCTTGAAATGAACCCCTGCCTTTAAAACTAAAACCCCTCAGTTGTAGCCAGGCACGGTGGCTCACGCCTGTAATCCCAGCACTTTGAGAGGCCAAGGAAGTCTGATCACTTGAGGTCAGGAGTTTGAGACCAGTGTGACCAACACAGTAAATTAAAACCCTATCTCTACTAAAAATACAAAAATTAGCTGGGCATGGTGGCAGGCACCTGTAATCTCAGCTACTCAGGAGTCTGAGGCAGGTGAATTGCTTGAACCTGGGAAGTGGAGGTTGCAGTGAGCTGAGATTGAGCCACTCCACTCCAGCCTGGGTGACAAGGCAAGACCCTGTTTCAAAAACAAAACAAAACAAAACAAAACATCTCTTGCTTGTAAGCTATTGGAGAGTTCAGGTCTTAAGCATTCGCTGCTCAATTCTCTGTTTGGCACCCTGCCACAAACGCCTAACTTTCTCTCCCTGCAAATCCTAGTATCAGTGTTTGGATTTTTGTGCATGCTGGGTGAGAGGACTCAAGTTCAGTTGGGTAACACTGCTGACATCGTGGACCAGATGACTCTTTGTTATGGTGGGCTGTCTGTGCATTGGAGAATGTCTGACAGCATCCCTGGTCTCTACTCACTAGATGTACTACTCACTAGCACCCCCTAGATGTAACAACAAAAAATGCCTCTAGACATTACCAAAAGTTCCCTGGGGGGCAAAATCACCCCAGCTGAGAACCCGTGGGTTAAAGTGAGATTCCACCCTGCTGCCCACTACCATCAGAAACTTCTATCTGAATGCTCTTCACCCATCCCCACCTGCGCTATTCCAGATAACATGTGTTACATCCAGAAGGGGCCATCAGCAGACGGCCAGGCAGAATCCAAGGGAGAAAGAGAATCTGTCCAATAGGAAACCAACTGGCCTCCACTTCATCCCCACACTAAAAGGGAGAGAATAAAAAGTACCTGCAACACTTGTCTCCTGACGATGAGAGAAGTTGGCAGAGCTAGCACTTTGTTGGCCACCTTCTCTCCCACCTTATTCTTTGCCAATAAGGATTTACCCAGGATGTGAGCAGGAGAGACAGCTCTCTACAGAGAGAAGCGTGTCCCTCAGGACCTGGCCTGCACCCATGGGATGGAAACTCTGCCCTCTAGTCCAGCCTTGCAGTCCACTGGTTATAGGACCTTGGGCAAATCATTTAATTTTGCTGGATTTCTTTTTCTTCAGCTGTAAAGTGAAAGAGCCAAATCTTAGCCCTTCTCTGAGGTTGCTTCTAGATCTAAAGTACTACTATTTTAGGGACCAACTGTTGGGGAGGGTAAAAGAAAGAAGAGAGCAGATGGAGGCAGAAGAACCAAAGAAAGCACTGGAATACTCTCAGGTGACTGTATGGTGTGCACAAGAGAGGGCATGAGCTAGGTTTTTAAGAGAAATATGCAAGCTCCAGGCCATTGGTAACAATCAATTGCAATTTCTAGGATAAAGAAGGAAGAATTCATAAGCGGTAGCCTTGTATGTTTTTCAGCACTCCCTATATCTTTACCCATCATAACTTGTTTTCCTGTTCATACCTTGATACCATTCTCTCCCCCATTTGCATTCTCTCTTTTTTTTTTTTAAACTTTTTTTTGTTTTGAGTCTCACTCTGTTGCCCAGGCTGGAGTACAGTGGCACAATCTCGGCTCACTGCAACCTCCACCTCCCAGGTTCAAGCAATTCTCTTGCCCCAGCCACCCAGGTAGCTGGGATTACAGGTGCATGCCACCAGTACTGGCTAATTTTTTTATTTTCAGTAGAGATGGGGTTTTGCCATGTTGGAACTCCTGACCTCAAGTGATGTGCCCGCCTCAGCCTCCCAAAGAGCTGGGATTACAGGCGTGAGCCACTGCACCCGGCCTGCATTCTCTTTCCCTCTCGTTTCACAACCGTATTTCTCCTTCTCATTCTTTTTTCAGATCCCTTTATTTCTTCTCATTCATTATAATGATTATTTTTCTGTGGCTCTCTTGCTCACTCTCTCTCTTTCCTTCTTTCCTTTTTTTCTTCTCCCTTCCTCATTTTCTCTCTCTCCCTGACCTTCTTCACCATAAGAAGGAAGTAGGTCACCAGCCACAGCCCTAGATTCTGTCTCCCTATAATATCCGAATCTACAGAAAGAAAGAAAGGCTGTGTTCTAAAGCATGAATCTTCCACATGGAGCAGCAAGGGCTTACACAGGTGCCCAGGCGACAAGCTAACTTCCTCTTTTAGGCTATGAATTGATAAACCAATAAAAGAAACCATTTTATTCCTTTTAGAGCGTTCAAGTTAAGACCATGTTGGTTTGACTGGTGACTGTCATTAACCTACAGTGAGGAACTTCTACTGAGGGCCAAATGTGTCGACTTGTCTGCAAGGCAACTGCATCTCAACCAACCAGACCACAGTATGGAGATGGGACACCCAAATGTTTTAATCTGGTCTGCAGAATCCCAGCATGGGTCAGTCTGCTGAGTGGATGTATCTTGGCCAAGCTGGCATTTGGCATGTTGGGTGAAAGCCCCAGGTTTTTTGTGAAATACCATTATCACAGCTGCCCTGGACAGATGACTTTCCAAAGTGACATAGTGTGCTGGGCCCGCTGCCTGTCACGTAAAGACGAGGAAAGAAAGTTTCCGGGTTCTCCCACACACAATTCAGCCCTCACTTTGCCTTCCATCCTTTTGGCACACTGGCTGGTCAGAAATGTGATCATCTGCTATTGATGAAGCGGACACAACCTCTAAAAGAGAGCTCTTTGGAATGCTGGACATAAGAGGAGAGAAAATCACCCACTAGATTTACTCTAAATGAGCCACATCAAATGCAACATGAACAAGAACCTCTAATCAGTTGCAATCAAATGAAAAGAGACTTCCTGGAGAGTAACAGCCAGATGGAAAGTTAAAGTCGTTCAGACCATTAACATTCCACTAATGCTCACTGCTTTTTTAACAAGCAAATGGAGCCAGGTTTGGTAGAGGAAAGGAAAATGCAAGACCAGTGCAGCGGCTCACACCTGCAATCCCAGCTCTTTGGGAAGCTGAGGTAGGAGGATCACTTAACCCCTGAAGCTTGAGGCTGCAGTGAGCCATGATTGTGCCATTGCACTCCGGCCTGTGTGACAGAGCAAGACTCTGTCTCTAAAAAAAATTTTTTTTTAATGCAGGCATATCCACTTGTGGGGTTTTTCTGCTTGTTTGTTTGTTTGTTTTGAGACAGGGTCTCACTTTGTCACCCAGGCTGGAGTGCAGTGGCACAATCTTGGCTCACTGCAGCCTCGATCTCGATCTACCGGGTTCAAGTGATCCTTCTGCCTCAGGTCCCCAGGTAGCTGGGACTACAGGTGCACGTCACCACATCCAGCTAATTTTTTTTATTGACACAAGGTTTCACCATGTTGCCCAGGCTGGTCTTGAACCCCTGAGCTTAAGTGATCTGCGCACCTCGGCCTCCCAAGTGCTGGGATTACAGATGTGAGCCGCTGGGCCCAGCCCACATCCACTTTTTCTAAAACACCACCACCAACCACAGAAAAAAACCCTCAAAAACCACATACAATGACCTAATGGAGAGACAGGTGACTGGTGAAGAAATTTACCCAGGGAGGTCCTTTTCCTTGACCGCCCCCCATCCCTACCCAGCGGCCCAGCTTTCCCTTTGGCTTTTTACTATCAACTTTTTTTTTGAACAGTATTATTGAAATATAATTCACATACCATTCAATTCACCCATTTAAAGTGCATAATCAACAGTTTAGTATATTCAGAGTTGTGCTGCAACTATCACCACAACCAGTTTTAGATTATTTTAATTACCCCAAAGAGAAATACTTGGTATGGACTGAATATGTCCCCACAAAATACATATGTTAAGCCCTAATCTCCAGTGTGATGGCATTTGGAGATGGAGCGCTCAGGAGGTGATCAGATCATGAGGGTGAAGCCCTCCTGATGGGGTTAGCGTCCTTCTAAGAAGAGACAGGAGAGGGCTTGCTTCCTCTCTCTCTGCTCTCAGCCATGTGAGGATGTGAAAGTACAAGAAGAAGACAGTTGTCTGCAAACTGAAAGAGGGCTTTCAACAAGAACCCAAACATGCTGGTACCAGTATCATGGACTTTCAGCCTCCAGAACTTTGAAAAGTAACTTTCTGTTGTTTAAGCCACCCATCTATGGTAATTTGTCATGGCAGCCACAGCAAACTAAACAACTCTGTTCCCTTTACCAGTCACTCCCCAATCCCTCCACTCCCCCGACCTTGGCAATCACTAACCGTTCTGTCTCTCTAAATGTGCCTATACTGGACTTTTCCTATAAATGGTAACATAAAATATGTAGTTTTTGTAGTTTATGTAGCATTAAAGTACATATAATATGTAGTTTTTCATAATATGAAGCCCTCTTGTATCTGGCTTCTTTCAGACATAGTGTTAGCATAATATTTTCAAGGTTCACACATATTGTAGCACATCATCAGTACAGCTGCTCCTCCGCTTATGGCGGGGTTACATCCCATTGAAAATACCATAAATTGAAATTGCATTTAACACATCCAGCCTACTGAACATCATAGCTTAGTCTAGCCTACCTTAAGTGTGCTCAGAATACATATGTTAGCCTACAGGTGGGCAAAATCATTTTAACACGAAGCCTATTTTATAATAAAGTATTGAATGTCTCATGTAATTCATTGAATACTGTACTAAAAGTGAAAATCAGATTATTCACATTATCTCTTTTTGTTTTTTGAGACAGAGTCTCACTCTGTCGCCTAGGCTGGAGTACAGTGGCGTGATCTCGGCTCACTGTAACCTCCACCTCCCGGGTTCAAAGCAATTCTCATGCCACAGCCTAAGTAGCTGGGACTACAGGCACACCATTCCTGACTAATTTTCGTATTCTAAGTAGAGACAGGGTTTTGCCACGTTGGCCAGGCTGGTCTTGAACTCCTGACCTCAGGTGATCCGCCCGCCTCGGCCTTCCACAGTGCTGGGATTACATGCATGAGCCACCACACCTGGCTGTTCACATCATCTTAAAGTTAAACCATCTTAAGTCAAGGACCCTCTGTACTTCATTCCTTGTTATTGCCAAATAATATTCTATTGTATAGAAATACCATATGTGGGCCAGGAGCGGTGGCTCACGCCTGTAATTCCAGCACTTTGGGGGGCTGAGGCAGGTGGATCCCAAGGTCTGGAATTCAAGACTACCCTGGCCAACATAGTAAAACCCCATCTCTACTAAAAATACAAAAAAAAATTGGCTGGGCGTGGTGGCAGGCACCTGTAGTCTCAGCTACTTGGGAGGCTGAGGCAGGAGAATCGCTTGAACCCGGGAGATGGAGGTTGCAGTGAGCCGAGATCACGCCACTGCACTCCAGCCTCGGTGACATAGCAAGACTCTGTCTAAAAAAAAAAGAAATATCATATATGATAGTGAGATATAATAAGAGACATATATTTTGTCTCTGCCTCTAATTCCTGGCACATAGTTCCTAAAGCCCTTGGAATCTCTAGAACTCTGGAACTATAGTTTTGAATATAAAAAAGATATTCAAAAGTGAATATCTGATGGCTGAGAACCCCTAGGTAGCTTCAAGAAGGGGGCTGGTCAGGAAAGACCAGGACATGTCTAGAGGCCTGTAACTTTCAACCTCACCCTCAACCTCTGGGAAGGGAGCGGGAGCTGTAAGTTGAGTTGATCACTAATGGACAGTGATGTAGTCAATCATACCTACTTAATGAAGCTCCATAAAAAACCAAAGGGCAGGGTTTGGAGAGCTTGTGGATTGCTGAGTTTGTGCCTAGAGGGTGACACGCCTGGAGAGGGCATGGAAGCCCCATGTTCCCCACCCATCCAACTAGCTGTTCGATTGTATCCTTAAAATATTCTTTATAATTAACCAGTAAATGTAAGTGTTTCCCTGGGTTCTGTGATCTGCTCTAGGAATTTTTTTTTTTTTTTTTTTGAAACAAGGTCTTGCTCTGCCACCCAGGCTAGAGTGCAGTGGTGTGATCACAGCTCACTGCAGCCTCGACCTCCTGAGCTCAAGAGATCCTCCCACCTGAACCTCCAGACTAGGTGGCACTACAGGCACATGCTACCATGCTCAGCTAATTTTTCAATTTTTTGTAGAGATAGAGTCTCACTATGTTGCCCAGGCCTGTCTCCAACTCCTGGGCTCAAGCAATCCTCCTGCCTCACCCTCCCAAAAGTGCTGGGATTACAGGCATGAGCCATCACACCTGGCCCTGCTCCAGCAAATTAACTGAACCCAAAATGAGGGTCATGGGAATCCCTCAGTTAGAAGTATAGGTAACAATCTATTACTTGCGATTGGCATCTGAAACTGGGGGAGAGGTGCTGACTGAGCCCTCAACATGTGGGATCTGATCCTGTCTTCAAGTAGCTAGTGTCAGAATTGAGTAAAATTATAGGATACCCAGTTTGCACCTGCTGGAGGATTGTTTGGTGTGTGGAAAAAACCCTCTACACTTAAGAAGTATTGTGTTGGCCGGGCGCGGTGGCTCACGCCTGTAATCCCAGCACTTTGGGAGGCCGAGACGGGCAGATCACGAGGTCAGGAGATCGAGACCATCCTGGCTAACGCGGTGAAACCCCGTCTCTACTAAAAATACAAAAATTAGCCGGGCGTGGTGGCGCGCGCCTGTAGTCCCAGCTACACGGGAGGCTGAGGCAGGAGAATGGCGTGAACCCGGGAGGCGGAGCTTGCAGTGAGCCGAGATCGCGCCACTGCACTCCAGCCTGGGCGACAAAGCAAAACTCCGTCTCAAAAAAAAAAAAAAAAAAAAAAAATAGTATTGTGTTGAGTGACTGTATGACAGTAGAGGAGAAAAATTGTTTATTTTTTCTTCAGACCATATTTTACTTATCCACTCATCAACTGATGACCATTTGGGTTGTTTCCTTTTTTGTCTATTACGAATAATGCTGCAAAAAACATTCTTGTATAGGCTTTTGTGTGGACACATGCCTTCATTTATCCTGCATATGTACCTAGTAGTGGACTTGCTGGGTCATAAGATAACTCTATACTTAACCTTTTCAGAAACTGCCAAACTTTTCCATGGTAGTTGCACCATTTTACATTCCTACCAGCAGTGTATGAGGATTCCAATTTCCCCATATTCTTGCCAAAAATTATCTGTCTTTTTTATTATAGCCATCCTAGTGGGTGTAAAGTGGCATGTCATTGTGGTTTTGAATTGCATTTCCTCCTGGTGACTAATGATACGGAGCACTTTTTTTTATGTGATTATTGGCCACTGGTATGTCTTCTTTGGACAAATGTCTATTCCTATCCATTGCCTATTTTTGAAACGTCTTTTCTACTGAGTCTAAAAGTTCTTTATATATCCTAGACACAAGTCCCTTATCAGATATAAGATTTGCAAATATTTCCTCCCAGTCTGTGGGTTGTCTTCTTTTTTGTTTTAAGACAGAGCCTTGCTCTGTCACCCAAGCTGCAATGCAGTGGCACAATCTCAGCTCACCGTAACCGCTGCCTCCCAGGTTCAAGGGATTCTCATGTCTCAGCCTCCCGAGTAGCTGGGACTATAGGCACATGCCACCACACTTGGCTAATTTTTGTATTTTTAGTAGAGACAGGGTTTCACCATGTTGGCCAGGCTGGTCTGGAACTCCTGACCTCAAGTGATCGGCCTGCCTTGGCCTCCCAAAATGCTGGGATTACAGGTGTGAGCCACCATGCCTGGTCTTCTTCTTACTTTCTTGATAGTAACCTTTGAAGCACAGAAGTTTTTAATTTTGATGAGCTCCAAATTATTCATTTTTTTCTTTGGTTACTTGTGCTTCAGTGCCATATCTTAAGATCAACTTTAAACAAGCTTTTTTCAGCTTGTATTGTCAGTTGTAGGCATTGATTCTTTTCCACTTTAGCAGCAGGGCCTCTCCTTACCCTGACTCACTCACTTATGGAGACATGGCAGACCACACAGCCCACAGGCAATGCAAGACATGAATGGATTTGCACACCCCACTGAGTCCTGCTGTGCTCTGATTATCACTTTGATTATTACTGAACACTGCAAAGTCTAGATAAGGCTTTTAAGCTTCTGGAGCCTTTCAGAATTGTTAATTAATCCTTAAAATAGCTTTGAAGGCTGATTTCCCCCCTGATTCTAAGAAGATAATTAAGAAGCTATTGCCAAGACAAATAACTTTTTTCGGAGGAACTCTAACCTCTGAAATTTTCAAACTTTGACTACTAAGGAGGAAGGAGACAGAAACTGGGCAAAGTGTGACAAAGAGCAGTCAAGGCACAGCAAGTGAGTGGCGACCGAAGCTCAGTATGTTTATATCCTCACTCGCCTGTTACTATCATCACCTCCTCACATGGTTTCTACTCACCACCACGCCCCTGTGACTACCCACCACACTGAAGCCAGAAGGACCATATTTAAAAATCTGGTTATACCAATTGGTTCATCAATACCCGCAAGATTTTTTAGAAATTAGATATTTTCGGCTGGGCACGGTGGCTCACCCCTGTAATCCCAGCACTTTAGGAGGCCAAGGCAGATGGATCACGAAGTCAGGAGATCAAGACCATCCTGGCTAACACGGTGAAACCCCGTCTCTACTAAAAATACAAAAAATTAGCCAGGCATGGTGGCAGGGCCTGTAGTCCCAGCTACTTGGGAGGCTGAGGCAGGAGAATGGCATGAACCCAGGAGGCAGAGCTTGCAGTGAGCCAAGATCACGCCACTGCACTCCAGCCTGGGTGACAGAGTGAGACTCTGTCTCAAAAAAAAAAAAAAAGAAATTAGAAATTTTCAGAAATATCGTGTCCCCAAATGCTTTGTCAGTTTATCCGCTACAATTATCTCCCATGTTTCACACACTCAAGCCTCATCAACTTTCTCCAGGTTTACTAAAACCACTGCACTACTAGAAACTCCTTTGCTCTGGAAGGTACCTTCCTTCTGCTGCTCACACGGGAAGACCTAGACATGCCACCCCCTAGTGACGTCTTCCCAGCTTTGCTAGGCAATTAATAGACTCTACCTGTGTGTGATGCCCTTGGCATTTTCTTCATAGTTCTATTATTATTATAACCCAGATGGCAACTGGAATCATGCTGCTCTTTATGCTCCAGTTACCACTGCTTGCACCACAACTCCACATCCTGTGGAAAATTTAGTACCCATTCAGGATGTCTGAAATCCCTAGACAATAAGGCGAGAATGGTGATTATCCTATGGATACTGTTACCTCCAACTTTCTGCCCTCATTGACTTCTTGTTCTCTGCTATGTGTCTTGTGACTATCCCTTACTTTTACAAACATAGACCTCAACTCCTTATGCTGATTTCCACTGAAAGCTCTGATAGCAAGCCTCTAAGATGGCCCCCAAAGATCTCCACCTCCCAGTATTCCTAGTCATGTACAATCCTCTTCTCATGAGTAACCAACAGAATACGGCAACATTGAGGGATGTCACTCCCCTAATCAATACAAAAGATAGTGATTGTCATCTTGTTATTAATAGCAGACTCTCTCTCACTGGCTGGAGGTCCATGTATTAATAGTAAGGAACTTAGGGTGGTCTCCTGTCAACAGCCAGCAAGGAACCGAGACCCTCAGTCCAACACACCTTAAGGAACTGAATGCTGTCAAAATCCATGCAAATGAGCTGAGAAGCAGATCCTTCCCACAAATCCTCAGATGAGACCCCAGGTCTAGCTGACACCCTCATTGCAGCCTTGTGACTACAGGTGATACAGAAGACACAGCTGAGCCATGCTTAGATTCCTAAGCCACAAAAATTAGGAGAAAACAAATGTGTGTTATTCATGCAACAATAATTAAGGAATACAAAAACCTAAAAATAAACAAACTGCCCCTTCACTTGTGACTTCTGTGTATACAGAAGACTTTATTCATGGGCTAGGGAGACAGGGAGGCTTTACATTACAAAAATCCTAAAAGCACAAAACTGAATACCGGACATTTAGTCTGTAAGAATCCTTTGGCCACTAGATTGTATTACTCAGTCTCTCCCTCTCACTCCCCTTCTATTCCATGACACCCATTTCAGGTTTTAAAATATGTATATACATACACACATGCACACACAGAGGCATATGCACACGCACAGATCTTCAGCAGAGACTTTGAATTGAACTGACCCCTGAAAAGTCCTAATGAGGTACACTGACAAAGTCCCATTCTTCTCTCTAGTCTCTGCCTATGGCAGGCAGAGGGAAGGAAACTTTTATTTTTCCAAGGACATACTATAATACAACTTACCATGATGTTTGATATGGTTTGGCTGTGTCCCCACCCAAATCTCATCTTGAATCGTAATCTGCATAATCCCCATGTGTCATGGGAGGGAGCTGGTAGGAGGTGATTAGATCATGGAGGCAGTTTCCTTCATGCTATTCTCATGATAATAAGTGAGTTCTCACAAGGTCTGATGGTTTTATAAAGGGCTCTTCCCACTTTGCTCCTCACTCTTCTCTCTCCTGCCACCATGTAAAAAAGGTCCTCACTTTCCCTTTGCCTTCCTCCATGACTGTAAAGTTTCCTGAGGCCTCCTCAGCCATGCAGAACTGTGAGTCAATTAAACCTCTATCCTTTATAAATTACCCAGTCTCAAGTATTTCTTCACAGCAGTATGAAAACAGACTAATACAGTAAATTGGTACCGCAAAGAGGGGGGTACTGCTATAAAGACACCCAAAAATGTGGAAACAACTTTGGAACTGGGTAATGGGCAGAGGTTGGAATAGTTTGGAGGGCTCCGAAGAAGACAGGAAGATGTGGAAAGATTTGAAACTTCCTAGAAACTTGTTGAATGGTTTTGACAAAATGCTGATAGTGATATGGGCAGTGAAGTATAGGCTGAGGTGGTCTCACATGAAGATGAAGAATTTATTGGGAGCTAGAGCAAAGGTAACTCTTGCTGTGCTTTAGCAAAGAGACTGGCAGCATTTTGCCCCTGTCCTAGAGATCTGTGGAACTTTGAACTTGAGAGAGATAATCTGAAATTGGAACTTATGTTTAAAAGGGAAGCAGAGCATAAAAGTTTGGAAAATTTGCAGCCTGATGATGTGGTAGAGAAGAAAAACCCATTTTCTGGGGAGAAATTCAAGCTGGATGCAGAAATTGGCATAAGTAACCAGGAGTCCAGTGTTAATATCAACAGAATGTGGAAAATGTCTCCAGGGTATGTCAGAGACCTTCACAGTGGCCCCTCCCATCACAGGCCCAGAGGCCTAGGAGGGAAAAATGGTTTCATGGGCTGTGCCCAGGATCCCCCCTGCTGTATGTAGCCTCTTGGTGCCTTTTGTCCCAGTCACTCTAGCTGTGGCTAAAAGGGGCGAAGGTACAGCTTGGGCCATTGCTTCAGAGGGTGCAAGTCCCAAGCCTTGGCAGCTTCCATGTGGTGTTTGTCCTGTGGCTGTGCAGAAGACAGGAACTGAGGTTTGGAAACTTCTGCCTGGATTTCAGAGGATGTGTGGAAATGCCTGGATGTCCAGGCACTTGTGTGCTGCAGGAGTGGAGCCCTCATGGAGAACCTCTGCTAGGACAGTGCAGAAGGGAAATGTGGGGTTGGAGTCCCCACACAGAGTCCCCCACTGGGGCACTGCATAGTGGAGCTGTGAGAAGAGGACCACCATTCTCCAGACCCCAGAATGACAGATCCACTGACAGCCTGCACTGTGTGTGTGCCTGGAAAAGCTGCAGACCCTCAACGGCAGCCGTGAAAGCAGCCAGGGTGGGAGCAGGGGCTGTACCCTGCAAAGCCACAGGGGTAGAGCTGCCCAAGACTGTGGGAGCCCACCTCTTGCAATAATATCACCTGGATGTGAAACATGAAGTCAAAGGAGATCATTTTGGAGCTTCAAGATTTAATGACTGCCCTGTGGGATTTTGGATTTGCATGGGGCTTGTAGCCCCTGTTTTGGCCAATTTCTCCCATTTGAAATGGCAACATTTATCCAACGCCTGTATCCACATTGTATCTTGGAAGGAACTAACTTGCTTTTGATTTTACAGGCTCATAGGCAGAAGGGACTTGCATTGTCTCAGATGAGACTGGACTTTGGACTTTTGGGTTAATACTGAAATGAATTAAGGCTTTGGGGGACTGTTGGAAAGGCATGATTTGTGTTTTGCAATGTGAGGACATGAAATTTGGGAGAGGCCAGGGGCAGAATGATATGGTTTGGCTCTGTGTCTCTACCCAAATCTCATTTTGAATTGCAATCCACACATGTCTAGGGAGTGACAAGGAGGGAGGTGATTGGATCTTGGGGGTGGTTCCCCCATGCTGTTCTCATGATAGTGAGTGAGTTCTCACCAGATCTGATGGTTTTATAAGGGGCTCTTCCCTCTTCACTCCTCACTCTTTTCTCTCCTGCCACCATGTGAAGAAGGTCCTCACTTCCCCTTCACCTTCTGCCATGTTTGTAAGTTTCCTGAGGCCTCCCAAGACATGTGGAACTGTGAGTCAATTAAACCTCTTTCCTTTATAAATTACCCAGTCTTGGGTGTTTCTTTATAGCAGTGTGAAAATGGACTAATACAATGTTATATAATTAATTGCTTACACATCTATCTCCCACACTAGACTGTTTTTCAAGGAAAATGACTTGAGTTTTATTCATCTTTATAGCCTTTGGTGTGTAGTAAAAAGTTAATCAACAGTTGGGATTCAGTAAATGTTTGCTGAATGTTGATTCATTTCATACCATTACATTAAAAGATTTAAAATTATTAATGCATTATTAATTCACAGGAGAACCACTGCTGAGCTACAAGTAAAACTATGCTATAATGAGGTCTTCAGATTTTTTAAATTAAGCATACCTCCTTTGAATAGGTTCAAGGAAAACTACTGCTCTGATAAATCCAATGTTATAGCATGCTATGAGGCTCAAAATGTATCAAGGACTGTAAAAAAGCATACAATCTACATTATTAGCTATTCCACAACTCATGTCAAGGGGTGAGGGAGCAGTGTACATTAGATTTTCAACTTAGAAAACAACTGCCCAGGAACTCCAACTCTATACATTTATCATAAGAAAATAAAACATCAGCATCAAGAAAATATAAGATATTGGAAAACCAAATCTCCAGCAACAGGGGCAAGTTAAATACATCACGGTACATCTACACATCAGATTAACAGTGATGAACTAGATCTTATTAACTGGAAAAGATGTCTACAATACAGTCTTATATGAAAATATCAAATAACAAAACAATACATAAATTTTTGTAAAAAAAAGCATTGTCTATATCTATGTGTGCATATACACAGAAAATATGAAAAGATGTAACAAAATGTTAATATATAGCAGTTGCCATATTATAGGTGATCTTTATACTTTTCTGTGTTTCACAGATGTTTTGCAATGAACATATATTTCTTTTTAATCAAAAATATTTAAAACTGGCTGGGCAAGATAGTTCATGCCTATAATCCCAACGTTTTGGGAGGCTCAGGTGGGAGGATCTCTTGAGGCCAGGAGTTTGAGACCAGCCTGGTCAACATAAGGAGATCCCGTCTCCACAAAAAATTTTTGTCAATTAGCTAGGCATGGTGGCACATGCCTGTAGCCTCCCAGCTACTCGGGAGGCTAGGGTAGAAGGATTGCTTGAGCCCAGGGGTTGGAGGTTGCTGTGAGCTATGATCGTGCCACTGAACTCCAGCTTGGGTGACAGAGCAAGATCCTGTCTCTAAAAAAAAATTAATTTAGTTTTTAAAAATATCTGAAATTTTTAAAATAGAGAAAAGAGGTAATTAGTATTGTCCAAATTTAGCAAATGATTACTAATTGAATATTTACTATAGTAACATCTAGACTGCAAAAATAACTCATGTAATCTATCACATTTTACTTTTAAAAACAGCTTTAAGTAAGTAGGCTTATTTGAGCCTCCCAAAACTTTGTGAAGTAAAAAGAGCATATTACATCAATTTCATAGATCTTAAATGACTTGCTCAAGTCATAAACCATGTAAATTCAAAAATCCAAATCTAGCCACTGTGATTTCTGCTTCTCAAAGCAAAAAAAAAAAAAAGTTATGAATGTTTCCAGATATGACTGTCATCTCAAACAGTAGAATAAAGAATGATCATGTAAATAATGATTAGGGGCCAGGTGCAGTGGCTCACACCTGTAATCCCAGCACTCTGGGAGGCCGAGGCAGGCGGATCACCAGAGATCAGGAGTCCAAGACCAGTCTGGCCAACATGGTGAAACCCTGTCGCTACTAAAAATACAAAAATTAGCTGGGTGTGGTGGCACACACCTGTAATCCCAGCTACTCGGGAGGCTGAGAGAGGAGAATCACATGAACCCAGGAGGCAGAGGTTGCAGTGAGCGGAGATCGCGCCACTGTACTCCAGCCTGGGTGACAGAGTGAGATTCCATCTCAAAATAATAATAATAATAATAATAATAATAATAATAATGATTAGGAATGCTTTCTGGATTTCCTGATACCCTGAGTAATTCTTTTTCAGCAAATACTTAAGATTACTAGATAAATTCACTTTCTATGTACCTTATTGTGAAAATTTCCCCTAATTTTTGGTTAACTACTCATTAATTCAGTGAATAAACACATGCTAATACATGGAATTCCTAATGCATTACAACAGATAGAAAAAAAAACTAGCTAGAGAGTTTAGGAAAAACAGTATTCAGGCAGCAAAGACTGTGAACATCCCCTCAGCCAGAGGCCAGTCCAGTCACACCACTGAGTTGACACCGCCATTGAGTTGAGACCAACACTTCACTGACCACTCTTCTAAATCATTTTATTTCATTTTTGATCCAGTCTCTCTATGTACTGTGTCAGTTGCATAAGGATAGTTGCTTTAAACCACCAGAACAAAGAAATTTCCAGAAAAACAGCACTTCTGACAGATACATGCATTCCTAAAGCAAGCCAAGGGGGTACATACACAGAATGGGCAAGATCTCTGTGGCTAAGCCAAACTGGAAACCACCTAGACCTAATCACCTCCCCATCTCAATAGTGGAAGCAGCTCTTCACGGAGCACTGAACGTGGAACGGCTCTCTTTCCACCAGCTTTGGAGCAGCTCCTGGCCTCTCCCATCATGGCAAGACAGAGCCTTTGCCAATGACAGACGGGAAGCATTTGGCAGAGGACACGGGAGGAGAGGGAACTTCCTTAAAGTCTGGCTTTGCACAGACCTGTGTAATGCCAAATTAGGAAGGAAACAGAGCAGAAGACAAGACATGAGGTGTGAACTGTGAGCAATTTTAGACAGAAAGGCTAGCACTTCTCTGAAATTAGCATATCAACTTTTGGACAAGAAAATGCCCCTTGGGACTCAGATTAGCTTTAGGGTGTGGGCCAGACATCCACGCAGAGGAGGATCAGCAGATGAGTCAGAAGCATCCAGATGGACTTGGACAGAGACAATTCCCTCAGCTGCTCCATACTAAGGAATTCACTAACCTCTTAGGGAGAAGGGATTAGATTCCATTCCAGACATATCGCAATGTCACTGGGAGTTTATTGCACATATATTGGTAATCAGTTAACTGTTCAGTGAACTGTACATAGATGATTCTACAGTGTAAATTTAGTTATTCTCAACCAGTTTAGATAGCCTCTAACAGTTCCAAATCTGTTCAAAATCATTACAAAATACCCAATTATAGGAATTGGTAAATTAAAGATAACAGCCAACACATACTAAATGCTTACTATGTGCCAAGCAATGTTATTAGCCTGTTATTTTACATCTATTCATTTATTAGCTCCATTATGCAGATAAAGAAACTGAGGCAGAGAGTGATTAATGTGCCCAGGGTCCCACAGTTAGAAAACAGCAGAGTCAGAACCTGAACCCAGGCAATCTTGCTCTAGAGGCTGTTTGGAAAATCACACTGCACCAAGCCAGCTCCAGCCTGTGCATGCAATCAAGCTCCTGGGGTTCTCAGCAAATAAACCAGGTAAACAGCACTCCTCACAGATTGAGGTTTGAAGAGTTTTCTGCATATTACATAATTTCAAGAAGCCTGTGTTAATATTAACACTTGCAAAATTTAGACCAAAGCAAACAACTTAAATTCTACAGAAGACACATAAGTAATATAAGTGAGTGAAGCACACTGGCTGTGAGGCGGGGGGCAGGGTTAATGAGGACCAAGAGGGCAGATGCCTACCTAAAAGAGGCAGCCACCCATCAGCTCCGAATGTCTTCCTAGAAGAATGAAAAGCCAGTTTTGCCATTCCTCACAATTTTTCCAGAAAAGTTGAAAATTCAGACTCGTGTACAAAATCCCCCAACTTTCAAATCTTGGCAGTCATTCAAAATTATTTTTTTCTGAATGATGAGCCAAACAAAACCTATCTGCCAACACAGGCTGACACCCCTGTTCTAAATTCATTGTAATTCTCAGCAGACAATGTAATAACAGTCTTGTGAATGATAGAGTACTGGAAATTAACAGAAGTTCTGAAATGTTAGGAAGACAGTCTTCAATATATAACTACACACAGAGGTTAGTTTAGGTCTAGCTATGTCTAACGGTGAGTACATGGGTCCAAACATCTCTTAAAATTCACATTGTTGAAGTGCATGAAGGGAGCCATGGACATCTGAATCGGATGTCTCCCACGTGGACTTTGGCAGCCCAGGGAGAAGGCAAAAACATTTGCTGGAGTGCAGGAAGAAAATATTCAAGTCTCTATTTCCATATTCAAATCTATATTTTATTCTTTAATATTTCATTTTTGTATATGCACCAGAATGTTTATAATGTACTTTATTTACTTATTTTTGAGACGGAGTCTCGCTCTGTCACACAGGCTGGAGTGCAGTGTTGCGATCTCAGCTCACTGCAACCTCTGCCTCCCAGGTTCAAGCGATTCTCCTGCCTCAGCCTCCCAAGTAGCTGGGATTACAGGCACGCCACACCATGCCCAGCTAATTTTTGTATTTTTTTAGTAGAGACAGGGTTTCACCATGTTGGCCAGGCTAGTCTCAAACTCCTGACCTCAAGTGATCCGCCCACCTTGGCCTCCCAAAGTGCTGGGATTACAGGCATGAGCCACCACGCCCGGCCCTATAATGTACTTTAAAGTAGTACATACATATGTTCTTCAAATAATAAATACAGGTAAGAAAGAAAACAGACTTTTTCATAATTATCACCTAAGACAGTTACCCAAAAACTGGTATCAAAATATATCCGGGCAAAGAAACTAGACCATAAAATCTAAGAAATTCTGTCTAGATTGTCATAAAATCCAAGAAATCCTCTCCACCTGTCATAGAGAGAAACTAGACCCCCAATATTAAATCCAGAGAAGCTTGACCCTTGAGTTCACAATCAGCTGCTACACAGCAGCGCTCCTATGAAACTTCAAGACCAGCAGAAGGAATGGCTCTTTAGGGCAAGGACTGATTCTTATTCACCTTTCCATGCATACTCTTGCTTGTGTGGTAAATGTGATTTACTTGCATGTCTGTCCCCCAACCCAAACCCAGAATAGTTCCAACTTTAAGAGAAGTTAGCACTTTGGGAGACCGAGGTGGGCAGATCATTTGAGGTCAGGAGTTCGATACCAGCCTAGCTAACATGGTGAAACCCTGTCTCTACTAACAATACCAAAAATTAGCTGGGTGTGGTGATGCACGCCTATAATCCCAACTACTCGGGAGGCTGAGGCAGGAGAATCACTTGAACCCGGAGCCAGAGGTTGCAGTGAGCCAAGATTGTGCCACTGCACTCCAACCTGGGTGGCAGAGCAAGACTCCATCTCAAAAGAAAAAAAAAAAAAAGAGAGAGAGAGAAGTTACATGCTTTTTCCCCAGGGAACTTCACTTAGGGCTTGGTTAGATCTGCTAAAGTCACATGGATCACCCCCGCCCACTGAAGTATGAGGGAAAGAAAGAGTGCTGGGAAGAAAAGGTTTTAGCAATGTGCTACTTTGACTAGGTCTTGAAGGACTTCACACAGGACAAATTCAGGCTCTTGGCTATAGTGTTTAACTTTCCTACATTCTACTTGGAAAGTAACAGCAAGCAGAAATTTACTTACATCATTGATTCTCTCTCTTCTACACTCTCCACTTGTCCTTTCCTCAGGTTGTCCTATATGTCCTCACATTAAGCCTAAAATCTTTATGTAAGGGGGTAATTTTTTTAAGATGGGTTGTCACTCTGTTGCTCAGGCTGGAATGCACTGGTGCAATCACTGCAACCTCCAATTCCTGGGCTTAAACGATCCTCCTGTCTCAGACTCCCAAGTAGCTGGGACTACAGATGTTTGCTACCACATCTGGCCTAAGGGGGTATAATATTTTTAAAGTAACACTATTCTTGGTTACAAAAGTTAAATATATTTATATCAGAAATAATAGAAAACAAAGAAGAAAAGTGGATACATTTAGTGAGCACAATAAATGAATGCATCTTAAATCAATCAAGTGGAATAAAGCCTATACAGGAAGCCCTTCAAGTACTTCGCAACCTCTCAGCCCCACATCTTACTCCAGCCTCTGCTGACGTGGCCACGTACATGCAGGCTCAACCAGATTCAAACAGGTATAATCAGACAGCACCTTGCCTCTGCCTCCCTCTCCCCCTTCCACATACCTTTCACCTCCTGCTCCAGAGCTTTCAAATGCCAACTAAGGCTTAGGAGCAGCTCCACACTCATGCATTTGCAACCCAGAAGAAAAACAAACAACCCCATCAAAAAGTGGGCAAAGGACATGAACAGACACTTCTCAAAAGAAGACATTTATGCAGCCAAAAAACACATGAAAAAATGCTCACTATCACTGGCCATCAGAGAAATGCAAATCAAAACCACAATGAGATACCATTTCACACCAGTTAGAATGGCAATCATTAAAAAGTCAGGAAACAACAGGTGCTGGAGAGGATGTGGAGAAATAGGAACACTTTTACACTGTTGGTGGGACTGTAAACTAGTTCAACCATTGTGGAAGTCAGTGTGGCGATTCCTCAGGGATCTAGAACTAGAAATACCATTTGACCTAGCCATCCCATTACTGGGTATATACCCAAAGGACTATAAATCATGCTGCTATAAAGACACATGCACACGTATGTTTATTGTGGCATTATTCGCAATAGCAAAGACTTGGAACCAACCCAAATGTCCAACAATGATAGACTGGATTAAGAAAATGTGGCACATATACACCACGGAATACTATGCAGCCATAAAAAATGATGAGTTCATGTCCTTTGTAGGGACATGGATGAAATTGGAAATCATCATTCTCAGTAAACTACCGCAAGAACAAAAAACCAAACACCGCATATTCTCACTCATAGGTGGGAATTGAACAATGAGAACACATGGACACAGGAAGGGGAACATCACACTCTGGGGACTGTTTTGGGGTGGGGGGAGGGGGGAGGGATAGCACTGGGAGATATACCTAATGCTAGATGACGAGTTAGTGGGTGCAGCGCACCAGCATGGCACATGTATACATATGTAACTAACCTGCACATTGTGCACATGTACCCTAAAACTTAAAGTATAATAATAAATAAATTAATTAATTAAAAAAAAGAAGTGCAGGGGAGTAAATGCCTGTGGGCCACTCTTGGCCAATGGGGACAGAAGCAAATGGACACATGCTTCTGCATGTCAGCCCCAAGGCAGACAGTTCTGAGATATATTTTATATGGCTCCTCAAAAGTGCCTGAGATCAAGTACCCAGTATTCTCAGCAGTGGTCAGTTTGATAATGTATTCTTTTTTGTTTTTTATAGAGATGTGTGTGTGTGGGGGGGGGGGTGCCTCTCACTGTGTTGCCCAGGCTGGTCTTGAACTCCTGGACTCAAGCAATCCTCCCACCTCAGCTTCCCAAAGTGCTGAGATTACAGGTATGAGCCAATGTGCCCAGCCTGATAATGTATTCTTGTACTGGCTTTTTCTCCTTCCCTTTTCTCTTCCTAGGTCCTTTACTCCAATTGGGATCTCATCCCAAATAAACTACCTGAATGCAAGCAATTATCTCAGGATCTGTTTTTGCAGGGACTTGAGCTATAAAGGCAAGTGGCCTTAGAAAGCAGCCCCTCTGGATCATGGAGCTAGATCACCCGCCCTATTGCTGGTGGTAAGTAGGATAGCAATCATCGCAGGCATACAGTAGCATCACATCTACTAAAACTCTTACCTGTGGTGAACTGGGATGAGGTACATATGGAAAGGGAAATAATGAATTAAGTGGTAGTTGTGGTACTTGAATGACATAGGGTCAATGGTAATTATAAGAATCATGGAGTTGTATGGCTTTTATTAACTGCTTTGGAAGCCTTGAAGAGGTAATATTAAAATTATATGTTTAGGTGCATTAACTATTAACTCAAAGAGGATTGTGAAAGGCCTCCTTGACAGTGTTTAGGTTGACTCATTGCCTGCAGCCATGGGGCTGAAAATCAGGCTCAGGAACTAACTATAAAGCTGAAAGACCTGCAAAGGAAAATGAAGGCACAGTCTCAGTACGTCTCTCATGTCAAAGTCAGAGCCCTCATAGGAAAAGAGAGGATTCCAAGACCTGGAATCAGGGCATCTGGGCAGACATCTGAGAATCTTTAATCCTCAGGTTCCTTTGAATTCTCCAAACCATTAGCAACTCTCCCTTCCTCTTGCTAGAGGAGAGCAATATCCCCTTGCCTAGAGACCCTGCAAAGTCTTCACATGAGGTAGCTGCCTAACAAGGAAATTTTTGTCCTTTTTAAGATCTGCTGCCAGTTAATCTCTTTGCCTCTGAGCCAGTAACTACAGTCAGGTCCCGGCACAGCCCAAGCAGGGAAATATAGTTCCTGCTGCAGAAGTAAACTGCTTATTCATCAAAGGAATATGTATCAGTGGGAACCAGAGGAAGATCATCGGGAGTGGTTTTAGACCAGGGGCTACAAAATGCTAAGTTGGATAAAGAATAATTTATTGATATGGGGGTACTCTTCCATGACTCTGGGTTCAAACTCCTGACAAGGACACCTGAAACCAGTCCTAACACCCAGATGGAATGGCTCCAAGAAGCCTGGATAGGAAGATGGTTTCCTGTTAATGAGGTGGAGATGCTGGATCTGAGGAGGTGATTAGAAGGGTCAGGGTGGTAAGATCATTAGTATAGATTTATTATATGAGACCGAAGAATCCACACCTATGTTTTCTGGAAGGATAGAAAGGAGAATTCTCCTTTCACAGAGGCTATAAAAAAGTGAACTGATGAAAGAGATGTTGATATCTTTGAGATGCACAGTTGGTCCCTTTGGGAACCATGTCATGTCCTCTAGGCCCTACCCCTCTAGCCACTGGCAATAATCAGGCCCACATAGGCTTTGACCAGCTTCACACTGAGGCGGTGACCTTTGGCTTTCTGGCCACAAAGAGGTGCCGGATGCTTGGCACTCACGCATGTGCAACTAGGTAGTATGAGGGAGCTAACCCCTGTGAGGCTACTCTCAGTCAATGGGGAACAGATGCCGGTGAATAAATGCTTCCCCCTACCGCTGTCCAGGGTGGACATTTCTGATCCACATTTCATGGGGCTTCACAGAGAGGCATGGTATCACCAATCACTAATTGCTCCCAGCACTGGCCAACTTGTTAATATATTCTGATATTAGTTCTTCACCCGCTCCAATCCCACTCCATGGAATCAATTCCCAAATAAATACCTGCATACATGCTATCACAGAAACATGGGATAAAACAAAGCCCAATAGTTTGGAGGGCAGGGGAGGAGTATTTTTATGTGGGTCAAGACCTCAAAGCCTCCTAGGAAATTGATCTTGCAGCAGAAGTGGCAGTGATAAGAGCATCATCACCAGATACTCACCCCCAACCAACCTCCCACTGAATCTCATCACAAGCACATAAAGAACACGCCTTTTTTTTTTTTTTTTTTCAGTAGAATCAAATTCTTCCTTCACACATACCCTCCACACTGGGTCTTTTATAGCTCAGCCTGATCAGCTGACAGCAAAGTAAATAAATATAGAGACACAACAGTGGAAAAATGAGGTGAAAAAGTTTTAACAGATATATAAATGAAACTCTCAGGTGATCTTGTCATAGGATTTCAGCTCCAATCACATATTAAAAAGAGCCCATTGCAGGGCCAGGCACTCCAGGTCTGCTTAATTTTCTTAATTTTCTGCTATTGGACAGAAAATATTCTCCTTTATTCTAGATCTTTTGATAGAACAACGACTTCATCAATCTTTTTTTTTTTTTTTTTTTTTTGGAGATGGAGTCTCGCTCAGTCGCCCAGGCTGGAGGGCAGTGGCACGATCTCGGCTCACTGCAAGCTCTGCCTCCCGGGTTCACACCATTCTCCTGCCTCAGCCTCCTGAGTAGCTGCGACTACAGGCACCCGCCACTACGCCTGGCTAATTTTTTTGTATTTTTATTAGAGACAGGGTTTCACCGTGTTAGCCAGGATGGTCTCGATCTCCTGACCTCGTGATCCGCCCGTCTTGGCCTCCCAAAGTGCTGGGATTACAGGCGTGAGCCACCACGCCTGGCCAACTTCATCAATATTTACAGCTAAACAAGCAAGAATATGTCATGACTTCACAAAAATAAACATTTAAAAGTCAATCCAAAAATAAGAATTGATTTTTCTGTGGGAGGTACAAACCACACTGTATCAAGAACAGGGCACTTCTTAGGAAAATGCAAGAATTTTAGCAAACCAAATATACCCGTCTCTTTAAAATATCTTTTCATGCTTTATTAGTGTACTTGCCTTAGAGAATCATTTATGTATTAGCTGGTTTGGGGTTGTAATTCTTTATGCATATCAAAGATACTAGAACCCAATCAAGTCAACATGGGCTGTGGCCCCATGAAGTCATACATGCTTTTTTTATAGTTGGCAAAAACACTACACTTAACACAAAAATGGGTGTTCACGGAAACCACACAAGAAGAAGACAGGCTTGGTTTTGTCTTTCACATCGATAATGAAATAATGCAATGCACTATTACTATGCTGTTGACCCCTAAGTGAAGTGTAGTACATAATCTGATTTGGCTAGCAAAAAGGAAGTTGGGAAAGAGAGGCTAATTTAAACAGGTATCCAATAGTTAATCATTTCAGCAAACCAATTGGCACATCCTAATCTGCATGAATATTAAAATTATATTCATATATGCTTTTTTATTTTGAGGCAGAGTCTCACTCTATTGCCCAGGCTGGAGTGCAGTGGCACACTCTTGGCTCACTGCAACCTCTGCCTCCCGAGTTCAAGCGAGTCTCCTGCCTCAGCCTCCTGAGTAGCTGGGACTACAGGCACACACCATCACACCCGGCTAATTTTTGTATTTTTGTAGAAACAGGGTTTCGCCATGTTGGCCTGGCTGGTCTCAAACTCCTGACCTCAAGCATCTGCCTGCCTCGGCTTCCCAGAGTGCTGAGATTACAGGCGTGAGCCACTGCACTCAGCCAACTTATATTCATACATGCTTAATCACAGTTGCTATATATCACAAATGATGCTGGATGAAGAAACAAGTAATCAAAGGCTGTATACTTAATAACTGTTGTTCACACTGAAATTTCTTAGGCTATTAATATCTAAGTTCTCTTCTGTGACTTTAGGCTATTTTAAAAAGGGGGAAAAATACAGAAACCTTGTTACCATGGAGACTGTAAGCCGGTCAGCCCATCTGCTGAAGAGGATATATAATTTTGTAAGTAGAATTTTTAAAACCTTACTATGAGAAACACTTCCTCAAACATAGCAGGGGTGAGAGAGTTACAGAAGATCTGGCAAACAGCCATTTGCAAAATTTGGGGCTATCATTATTTTGATACTAAACATGAATTTGCAGTAATTCTTATTAAGGGGAAGCTTTTAATATCTACACATTAGGCTGCTAAAGACATGAAACCTCTCGGCATGTTCTATGTTAATGATGGTTATGCCAATTTTTAGGGAAAAAAATTAAGAATTTACATTAAAAACTAGTCAAGGGAAACCTAAGATTTGGTTGGTTTGGTTTTTAAAAACTGCTCCAGATGTTTATTGCAGGTTTTTATAAAAATAGCAATTGGGCCTATAGTAACCCGAAAACAAAATTAGAATTATGCAATGTAAGCAATTATAGTGTGGAAGTACAATGGTATCTTTAGTACCTTATAATATTTAGCCTTTTCCTTCTATTTTCTAAAGGCATCTAATATTTCCTAATCCAGAAATTTATTCATTCAACAAACATAGTGCAAATATACCAGAGCCAGGCCTTGACCAAGATGAATGTGTAAGAAACATCAATGTAAACCACTCCTGCCATTTAGGAACTGGTAGAGGTGATTTAATTTCATTCATTCATCCATTCATTCATTTATTCCATAAGGGTTTACACTGAGCACCCACTATGTGCCAGACACAGTTCTAGGCATTGGGAATTGCAGTGATGAAATGCAACAAAAATTCTTGCCTTCCTGAAGCTTGCAATCAGGTTTAATTTACAGTTAGATGACAATAATTGAGAGGGGCAGTTTAGAGATAAGAACAAGGAGCTGTAAGATGTCAGAATGACTCCTTTTGCCTGGAGCAGTTAGTTCAAGATTCCAGAGAAGTGACTTTTGAGCTAGGGCTTGAGAGATGAGCAGTAGGACACCAGCCAAGAATGGGGACCATCATTCCAGACCAAGGGAGCACAGTCTGGAGGCACAGATCTGGGGGAATGTCCATCACGGAGCTGGCTCCAAGACAACTTGAGAGATCCAACGTGGCTAGGGGAGCTTAATGAATATTAAATTTTAAGGAAATGTGTGTATGAAAAGCAATTTAAGAGTATAATTATTTTCACAAAGATCTGTAATACTTACTTTTCCTAAACAACAAAATTCCTAGTTAAAGAGCATTCATGCCTCAAGATAATATCGTAAGTCAAATTTAGTAACAGTTATAGTAATCTTTTAACATTATAAACCTTTTTCACTGGTAATATCTCAAACAAGGCTTATGAAAACCTTATGATGAGGCACAGAAGTTGATTACCTCCATTTCTTTTTCTTTTCTTTTTTTTTTTGAGCCAGAGTCTTGTTCTGTCGTCCAGGTTGGAGTGCAGTGGCATGGTCTCGGCTCACTGCAAGCTCCGCCTCCCGGTTTCACACCATTCTCCTGTCTCAGTCTCCCAAGTAGCTGGGACTACAGGCGCCCACCACCAGGCCCAGCTGATTTTTTTTTTTTTTTGTATTTTTAGTAGAGATGGGGTTTCACCGTGTTAGCCAGGATGGTCTCGATCTCCTGACCTCAGGATCCGCCCGCCTCGGCCTCCCAAAGTGCTGGGATTACAGGCGTGAGCCACCATGCCTGGCCAATTACCTCTGTTTTATAGGGTTGGAAACTAAAATTCAAGTTCAGTGGCTTGGTCTAGTATATGGTTAAGCTAGACCTTGAACTTACGCTTTTGCTGAAAATATCATGCTCTTTCTACTACCAGAATTTAGGGCCAATTCAAGGATTTTCATAAAATATCAGGAAAATGCTTTCAGGGAGCAATATATCACAAATGGCATCAGGAAGAAATCTATATAGATTTACTTGTGCAGTTGGCAGAGAGAATAAGGTCCAGGAGAGCAGACGGAAGTCAGCTATCAGCAAACTGAAACATCTCAAATCCAGCATAATGATTTCCTTATTGAAGGGAGCCAGTCGAGAAGGAAAGACCATCTTCCTTGTCATCCAAGGTCCAAACACATCTCCCTCTCCAACCCTCACCCATCACCCCATGCCAAATTCAATATACCTAGAAGCATCCTCCTCTTTGAAGTGAATGCTTTAGCTCAATGCCATTCGCCTGTGTAGTAAACTGGCAATCGTGCTTTGCTATGTTTACATGAGAATTTAGCCACCACCCCCAGATTCTAGTGCCATCCCCAAGGCTGGCATAAGTTAGCATAAGAATGGGATGATTATGAATTGGAACAAGCAGAGATTGCTAAGTATTTAAATAAACAGGTTAAGTAATGTTAAGGGATTGGAAAACAGTGCAGGATAATGAAAACAATCTACAAAAATAATTAAAAATACATTTTAAAAATGGAACAAAAGAGATAATGGTGGGCAGATTTGTCAATCTGCTTTCACTCTTAAAAGAAAGTCCATTCTCCACTGCCAGCTGTGTTCTCCAAGAGCAGGGCTCTCAGAACTTGGAGCATTCCCTTCAATAACAAATGCAATCCTCTAGCATTAAACGCTCTTATTTGACAACAATGCAACGGCCTCATCTAATGAGGAAATGTCCCTAGCTTCTAGGTGAAAAGCAGTGATGTAGGACCAGAAGAGGCAGGACTGTAAGAGGCAGGGGATAGGGGCAGGCAGGATAGGATGCTGTGCTGGATCCAAAGCTATTGTCCAGGGTCAAAGGCTGAGAATCAGCTGAAGAGTCCTAGGTAAGCCCATGTGAAGGGGACTGAGTTCAGAATAAGGCAGGCAGGCAGGGGAGGAATGGCAAAACAAAAGAAAACAATGTTATGCAGTCATCACTCCAGGAGGCTATGAATCCCAACAGGCAGGCTGAGCAACAGAGGTGAGGAACCCAGGGTAAGAACCACCAACACTACCACCATCACCACCACCATCGTTGCCATCTCCACCACAGCTACCATCAGCACCCCCCCATTTATACCAATACCACCATCACCATTACCAACATCACCACCATCACCGCTTTACCACCATCGCCGCCACCAGCACCCTCACCACTACCATCATGGCATAATCACTACTACCATTCCCACCCTCCTCTCCGCCATCACCAACATCACCATCATCACCACCAGCAGCACCACCACCATAACCATCACCAAGCCATCGTGGCATAATCACTACTATCACTACTACTGTCCCCACCCTCCTCTCCGCCATCACCACCATTACCGCTACTGCCACCACCATCACCACCAGCAGCACCACCACAACCGTCACCACTGTCACCACAGCATAATCACTACTACCGTCCCCACCCTCCTCTCCACCATCACCATCACCCCCTCACCATTACCACCTCTATCATCACCATCACCCCCTCACCATTACCACCTCTATCATCACCATCACCCCCTCACCATTACCACCTCTATCATCACCATCACCCCCTCACCATTACCACCTCTATCATCACCATCACCTTCACCTCCACCCAACCCTTACCAAGCACCATCACCATCCTACAGTCACCACTATTGCCCCATCTTCATCATCACCACCCCTGCCCTGACACCCAGGACCATCAACAGCACCATCATAACCACTAATATCACCGTGATCACCACAACCACCCTCACTGCCATCACCAGTATTACCATCATCACTCTAGGATGTTCCCCCAACAAACAGAGAAACAGGCAGAGGCTTTAAAATGTCAGACTTCCCACCAGTCTCTGAAAGTGGAAGGCAAATACCGATACATATTATGGCCACCACCCTGCTTGAAAAGAAGAGCTACAGTGAGATGTGCTTTTAAATAGAATAATTTGCATCCAATATCTACATATATTATTTCATTTTTCAAAATTCTGACACCATCCTACAAGGCAGGCATTATCATCCTTATTTCACATTATTACTTGCCTAAGGTCACACAAACAGAAAGTGATAGAACATGGACTCAGTCCATTCACCTGATGCCACAACTGATTCCATCAACAGCTCTGCTGGTGTTGCTTCTGAAGAAAATTAAGTCACAACCAAGTCCTTGGGAGGTTCACTGTCAATGGGAGAGAGACCTGTAAACATATCACTGCAAAACAATGTGAGAGTTACTCTGAGCGTATTAAGGGAGGAAGAAACAAATCCTGCCCAGGAGTGTCAGATGAGGCTGTACAGAGGCTGTGACATATATGCAATCATGAAGAAAAGGAGTTAAGAGTCACCAGAAAAAGCAACAGAAGGGAGAGCATTCCAGGTGGAGACCAGCCAACCTGAAGGACACGGGCAGTGTGGACTCACTGTTGCTGGCTCTGCTGACTTTCCCACGTTTGACTTGGCCTGAGAGCCTCAGGTCTGGTCAGCTGAGCCATACACCCCTCAGCCACACACACAGACTCCTGCTAAGCCTAGCCTTGCCCTGCCTCCAGCTCAAATTCCAGAGCCCAATAAGTCTTTGCCTCCTGAGGAGGTCTGGGACTAAAAGATCTCAACTACAGGAACTCAGGCATCGAATACTGGGCCCCAGACCAAAGCATCAGCCACCAGAAGATTAAGAGCTGAGGCCAAAGTCAGTGCTGCCCACAGTCTCCCTGGATGCTCTCTATTAGGGTGGAAACTGTCCTGAAGCAGGTCAAGGATGAGGCATCCAAACAAAACGAGAGTAAAATATTTGCTCACCTGCATTTCACCAAACTGTAGCTAATATCCCTGAAATCCTGTCACCTAATTCAGTGTGTGGGGTATGCATTTTGTCATAAGGTCTTTTTGCAAAGTAGATTAGGAAGGAACTTGCTGAAAGCTAGTAGGCCTTGGCAGGAGCTAATAAGGAGGACATGTGATTACCACCTCTTTTCTTTTTTTTTTTTTTTTTTTTTTTTGAGACAGAGTCTAGCTCTGTCACCCAGGCTGGAGTGCAGTGGTGCAATCTCGGCTCACTGCAACCTCTGCCTCCCAGGTACAAGCAATTCTCTGCCTCAGCCTCCCGAGTAGCTGAGATTACAGGCTCCTGACACCACACCTGGCTAATTTTTTGGGTTTTTTTTTTTTTTTTTGTATTTTTTTGTAGAGATGGGGTTTCACCATGTTGGTCAGGCTGGTCTTGAACTCCTGACCTTGTGATCCACCCGCCTCGGCCTCCCAAAGTGCTGGGATTATAGGCATGAGCTACTGCGCCTGGCCGCTTTTCATTTTTGTCCATGCAAGAAGTCACTGTAGTTTGTGTTTGGGCTCGAAACTATGGGTCCATGGACATCTCTTTACATAGTTTCAGGTAAACTCCAAATTACTTTCTGAGAAGACCCTCAGCCCTTGAATCATCTCTAAGCCTTCTTTTCAGGCACACGTATTAAAAGATATCTTAATTCTTAAAGGAAGACATCCTGTCTATCCTTGTGTAATACCTCACTCAGCTGATAATAAAGACTAGGACCTACCCAGATACTGATCTCAAAAGTCACTGTCATTCTGTTCAATTTTCAGTTAATATTTACTAAACTTATATGGCGTTCCTGATGCCTATTCTGTCAACCTGGAAAGTGCAATGACAAGGATGTACCAGTTCTTTGCCTCTTTGGAGCTTACATTCCAGTGAGAATTGACAGAAATGAGTAAGTGAAAAGAAAACTACAGAAGGTAAATTCTGATAGTAATGGAATGTGACAGAGAGTAAGCAGGGAGGGGGGCTGGCCGCCATGGACTGAGCAGCCAGGGGAGGTCTCTCTAAAAAGGTAATGTTTGGGTTGGGGAATGAAAGAGCCAGCCATCTAGAGAGCTCAGGAAGGAGCATTCCAGAAGGAGAGCAGAAGTGCTAAGGCCTGGAGGCAGGACTAATCTTGGCTTATTAAAAGAACATAAAGAGCCGAGCACAGTGGCTCATGCCTGTAATCCCAGCACTTTGGGAGGCCGAGGTGGGTGGATCACCTGAGATTAGGAGTTCAAGACCGGCCTGGCCAAAATGGCGAAACCTTGTCTCTACTAAAATATAAAAATTGGCCAGGCACGGTGGCTCATGCCCGTAATCACAACACTTTGGGAGGCCGAGGCACATGGATCATGAGGTCAAGAGTTCGAGACCAGCCTGACCAACATGGTGAAATCCCGTCTCTACTAAAAATACAAAAATTAGCTGGGTGTGGTGGCACGTGCCTGTAATCCCAGCTACTCAGGAGGCTGAGGCAGGAGAATCACTTGAACCCGGGAGGCAGAGGTTGCAGTAAGCCAAGATCGCGCCACTGCACTCCAGCCTGGGCGACAGAGCAAGACTCTGTTTTTAAACAAACAAACAAAAAAATACAAAAATGAGTCACACGTGGTGGTGCACACCTGTAGTCCCAGCTACTCGGGAGGCTGGAGGCAGGAGAAACGCCTGAACCTGAGAGGCGGAGATTGCAGTGAGCCAAGATTGTGCCATTGCATTCTAGCCTGGGCGACAGAGGGACACTCCCTCTCAAAAAAAGAACATAAAGAAAACCCGAGACTGAGAGGAGAAGGGTTAGTAAGCTGAAACACGAAGATGAAGTAAGAGAGTCTGACAGGAGTTATATCACTGCAGAGCCTTGGAGGCCACAATAATGAATCTAGATTATATTTTAAACCCAACTGAAATCCATTAGAGGGTTTTAAAACAGAAAAATGGCCTGATCTGATTTCCTTTTTAAAAAGATAACTCTGGCAGCTGCGTAGAGAATGGACCTGCTGGCATATGGACAGAGGGAGATTCTTTCAGTAGGTCAGAAGAGAGACGGCGGTGGCGCAAGCTGAGAACTAGGGCAGCAGGAGGAGCGATGGAGGGAGGTGGCTGGGCTTGGGATGGCTTTTTGCGATAGAACTGACTAGAAGGATGCAGTTCCATTTTCAATATCAATCCAAAGTCCTTCTGCGAGGAACAATATTCTGGGAGGATGTTCTGCTGCATATGTAAATCATCACTTCATCTGCATCCATGATTTTCATAGAGCCCTCAGGGTCCCTGGAGATGCCTCTAGAACTGCTGCAGAGAGTATGAGGAGGAAACTGGGAGGGCGGTCCACACAGATCCCCTCACCTCATCAAAGCATCTCCAAATATGTCGACTACCAAAGACAACATCCACAATTTCATTTGAAGGAAATGCTTCTACGTGAAAACCAAACTTTGAAACTATTATCATCATGAGGCATAGTCTGCATAACTGGCTCCAACATCCATTCTCTCCTTCCTTCCAGAAATAGAGCTGTCCCAATTTTTAGCCTTCACATGGCAACTCAGCTAGAGACTGCATTTCTCAGCCTCCTTTGAAGCTAGATGTCGCCTCATGACAAAGTTCAGGCCAATGGATTATGAGCTGAAGAAATCTGTTTAACTTCTGGGTCATCCCTTTAAAAAGGAAGCTGCTTATCCTCCTTTTCCCCTTTTGAGCTACCTAGAAAATGGTAATGACTGTAGGGGTCACACTGGATCCAAAGATGGAATCTAAATGTTGAAAATGGCAAAGCCACCCAACAGCCTACGTCCTTGGACCACTGATCTCTTGGAATACAGCCAACCACCCACGCTGAACTGCCCACCTTCTTGTAGACTGTTAAGTGACAAAGAAATATATATTGATCTTTTGGTTTCAGTATTACAGCAGCTTAGCATAGACCCAGGCAGAGTTTCACAAGCCAGTGTGTGGTCCACCATGTCTCTCACACCCTCTTCTGCAGCAAACAGTAATGTTCTACATGGTGCCTGCTCTACTGGAGAAAGAACAGTGAGTTAACCCCAGCTAACCCACCAAGAGGCATGCAGAGTGAGTGCAAAATAAACCTGTGTTGTGTTGTTGTTGTTATTTTTGTTGTTGTTTTGAGACACAGTCTCACTCTGTCGCCCAGGCTGGAGTGCAGTGGCTCGATCTAAGCTCACTGTAAGCTCCGCCTCCCAGGTTCACGCCATTCTCCTGCCTCAGCCTCCCGAGTAGCTGAGACTACAGGTACCCGCCACCACGCCCAGCTGATTTTTTGTATTTTTAGTAGAGATGGGGTTTCACCGTGTTAGCCAGGATGGTCTCGATCTCCTGACCTCGTGATCCGCCTGCCTCAGCCTCCCAAAGTGCTGGGATTACAGGCGTGAGCCACCACGCCCGGCCGTGTTGTTGTTGTTGTTGTTATTGTTTTAGAGAAGTATTTATTATTGCAACATCACCTAATGTATCCTGACTGATAAATCCTGGCTGAAAAGAGCTGCTCTAAAATCTCCCTGCTTGGCTGGGCATGGTGGCACACACCTGTAATCCCAGCACTTTAAGAGGCCAAGGCAGCGGGATCACTTGAGTCTAGGAGTTTGAGACCAGCCTGGGCAACATAGTGAAACCCTGTCTCTACAAAATATTGTAAAATTAGCTGGGCGCAGTGGTGTGTGCCTATAGTCCCAGGTACCTTGGAAACCAAAGTGGAAGGATCGCTTGAGCCCAGGAGGTTAAGGCCGCAATGGGCGGTGATGGCGCCACTGTGCTCCAGCCTGGGTAACAGAGCGATATCCTGTCTCAAAAAAATAAAAAAATAAAAGTAAAATCTCCCCCTGAATTACATCAGACCAGAAAAGTACATCCATCACCTAGAGTTCTGAAAAAGGCTGATGTCTGAGTCCCACCCCTAAGAAATCCAGATATCATTAGGCTGGGATGTGGCTTGGACATGGGAATTCTAATGTACAGCCAAGGTTGAGAATCACAGGCATTTCTGAACCATACAGCAATAGCTCCTACATAATTGCTTTTATTGAATTGTACTCCAGCATGATGAGAAGTATAATCTATATATTGAAGTATATGATAAGAAACAACTCTAGAATTATAAGGTTTAATTATTCAGGGTTTAATTTACTGTCTTTTTTTTTTTTGAGGCGGAGTCTCGCTCTGTCGCCCAGGCTGGAGTGCAGTGGCATAATCTTGGTTCACTACAACCTCTGCCTCCTGGGTTCAAGCGATTCTCCTGCCTCAGCCTCCTGACTAGCTGGGATTACAGGCGCACACCACCACACCCGGCTAATTTTTTGCATTTTTAGTAGAGACAGGGTTTCACTATGTTAGTCAGGATGGTCTTGAACTCCTGACCTCGTGATCCCCCTGCCTCGACCTCCCAAAGTGCTGGGATTACAGGTATGAGCCACTGCGCCTGGCCAATTTACTGTCTTATACAGTGTCAACTCTATGAGAACATGGGAGAAGTTTCTCTCTAGTTTCAGGGTGGGAAATTTGTGTAGTTTTCTTAAACAAGTTTACTTTTACCCTTGGACATTGAAAAATCTCATAAATGACCTTGCTTTCCTCTCTAGGTAGTTTCTAGAAAGTTCAGACTCAAATCAGTGAATAAGATTAGTGGCATATATTTTGTGTACTCTGTCTCATCTGTATTTTTTCCATCAGTTCATTGTATTCACCTACTGGTTTGGATGTTTTGTCCCCTCCAAATCTCATGTTGAAATGTGATCCCCAATGTTAGAGGCAGGGCTTACCTAGTAGGAGGTGCTTGGGTCATGAGGCATATCCCTCATGAATGTCTTGGTGCCCTGCTCAGGGTAATGAGTGATTTCATGCTTTGAGTTCATGCGAGATCTGGTTTTTTAAAAGAGTGTGGCACCTTCCCCCTCTTGCTCCCAATCTCGCCATGTGATATGTCTGCTCCCCCTTCACCTTCCACCATGACTGGAAGCTTGCTGAGGCCCTCACCAGGAGCAGATGTGGGCACCATGCTTCCTGGACAGCTTGCAGACTGCAAGCCAAAATATGTGAGCCAAAATAAACCTATTTTCTTTATAAGTTACCCAGTCTCAGGTATTCTTTTATAGCAATGCCAACAGTCTAACACTCTTGTGATATCATACACAAGCTAACTTAAGTCATTTCCAGAATAAAGCAGGATATAAATATAATGTTTACATAATGAATAAGGAGCATGTGCTACTGACTAGAAGGATGAGAAGGAAAATAGTCAAGTGCACCAGCTTACCAAGTGAATTAGTCAACTTGAGCTGCTGTAACAAAATACCACAGAATGGGTAACTTAAACAATGTGAGTTTATTTCTCACAGTCCCAGAGGCTAGGAAGTCCAAGATCAAGATACTGACAGAGAGCTGGGCTCAGCGTGCATGCCTGTAATCCTAGCTACTTTGGAGGCTGAGGTGGGAGGATTACTTGAGCCAGGAGTTCAAGTTCAGCCTGGGTAACACAGCAAGACCCTGTCAATAAAAAAGAAAAAGAAAAAAAAAAGATCCTGACAGATTTGGTTCTTAGTAAGGGCCCTTTTCCTGGCTTGCAGACAGCCACCCTCTAGCTATATTCTCACATTGTGGAGACAGAGAGAGCTCTGGTCCCCCTTCTTCTTCTTACAAGAGCACTAATTCCCTCATAGGGGCCCTACCCTCAAAATCTCATCTAAACCTAATTACCTCCCAAAGGCCGCACCTCCAAATACTATCACATTAGTTAGTGCTTCGACATATGATTTAAAAAAATATATCCACCAGAATCTACTTATTAAATAGTTAATGTTACTTAAAAACAGAAATTCCTACCTCATCTTTGCAATAAAGGCAACTTTGCTGAACTGTATGTGCAAATATCAGGCCCGTGGCAAACACGGAGTAAGCAGGAAAGTCAGTATTAAAAGTCCCTAATGCAGTGTTTTCAAATGATGAGAATCAACCTTGTGGTTCCACTCACCTTCAGCAAAGTTCCAATATGGCAACTTGTGTTATTCTTTATTATAGATTTAAAGCCCCATTAGCTACTTGTTCTTCCTGGTGGCTATAATAATTATAATAGCAGGAGCTATACTATTCCTCAGCAGACTTCCTCTTAATAACTTCCAGGATGCTTATCTGAGAACCATCTCACCACATTTCACAAATACTTCATCCTTGACAGCCCACTCTATTCTTTGCACATCCTTTCATGCTGCATGCATATACTTGAAAGAGTTATAAATTCCAGCTCTATCCCAAATTATCTTTCCTCCTGTAAACTCCACATCATCTCTTTGCTACATTATAAAAGAATGTCCTTATCTGAAGTTTCCAATATTTGATACTGAATGGCCGTATGTTGTATGAGTTCATCTCAGCACTTAAGTGACAAAGGCTTTCTGCCAAAGCTGCAAAATACAGTCATTCCTCAGAATCAGTAGGGAATTGGATCCAGGACCCTCCATGGATACCAAAGTCCTTGATGCTTGAGTCCCGCAGTCAGCCTGCAGAACCCTCAGACCTGAGAGCTAACTGTACAGTATATTCTACCAAAATGAATGAGTTGACCACATACATCTGTGGACACAGCCATAAAGTCCTATAATATTAGAACGTGATGGAATCTTAGAGGTTACCTAGTCCTCCCCATTCTCACCCCCGTTTTGCAACAAGGAAAACAGAGGCCTTAAGAAGTATTCATTCAGGCAGTCTCCCCTGTATCAATAGTTATGTGGTGTCCCAGAACTTCACTGTTTAGTCAGTTATTTGAAACTTGCTACATATTTTCCCATTAAAATAAATTGTTACAACAGAAAGCTAGGCTCCCAGATTAGTCCACAAAATCCTATTTAGGATAGATGGTGGTGATGTTGGTAGGCACGACCATGTGAATGTACTTAAATGTCACTGAACTGTACACTAAAAAATGGTAAAGATGGTAAATTTTCTGTTATATTTATTTTACCACACTTAAAACAATATCTAACTCATGAAGTGACTGAAAGTTGTGGTACCAGAGGAAGGAGGAGCAGAAGGAAGAAGTTCCCACGATCCTGCCTGGGTCCAAAATTCCCTTAGGAAACTGCCCTCCCCAATCTCAGCCACTGTGGGGCTGACCTCAATCTCATCTCTAGGTAGCCAACTGCTGCCTTAAGACAGTCCCCCTGGCCATAGTGTTGGTTTATGAGCCATTTCAGTTCAATGAGATTCAAGAAATGTGTATATGTATGTGTGTGTATGCATATGTGTGTACACATGCACACAAGCACGTGTACACATGTGTGTGTGTGCTGCCAGGGACAGTATTTAAAGCCCCATTAGCTGCAAAAAGAAAGCAAGCAAGGAAAGCAAGGAAGGAAGGAAGGAAGGGAGGAAGGAAGGAAGGGAGGGAGGGAAGGAGGGAAGGAGGGAGGAAAGAAGGCACCTCTCCTTTTTTATTCTGCTGGAACTATTGTAAGGAAGCCTAACTGGACAGGATCGTGGATAAATGGGAGATCCTGAATCACTGTGGCCACTGCTACCACAATAACGGGTGCTAAACTGAGGCCTAGACCAGCACACAGAAGAACACACAGTGTTAAATGAACCGCACAGAAAGAGTAAAGCTGCTGATGAAGCCACGAACTTTGGAACATACAATATCTGAAGTATAAAGTTTGCCTCTGAGCTTTCACTTGCATGAGTCAATAATTCCATATTTTGCGGTAGCCAATTTGTGCTGGCTTTCTGTTTGCTTGCAATGAAAAGATTCTTATCAGATACACTTCAAGAATAAAGTTTGAAATAGACCAAGTTTGATCCTCATCCACTTCCCTTTCTGAAAGCATCTTCCACAAGTCACTCTCTTTCTGCCCAGGCACCAGTGCCCTCCTCTGTCCCAAGGATCCCATTCCGATATCCTACTCAGGCCTGCACTAACTTTGAAAACGCTTCAGGCCCTGACATCACCTTCTCCTTTCCTCCTCCTCCTTTTACTCCCTGCTCCACCTCCACCACAAGTACAAATGCATAAAACAAAAATATTTTAAATATATAAATTACTGTGAGTATGGCGTAACTGAGCCTAAAAGAGGACGAAGAGTTTGTGTCTACATCAGTTCGTGTGGGTCGACATGAATGAGTACAAAAGTCACTGCTAGAAGCAGGTTTTAGGTGCAGTTCGGGGCAGAGGCTGAATGATGTCTGTTCCCCACAGAGAGATGCAGGTCATGCTGCAGAAGCTGGCTTTACAAAAGAATCTGGGAGACACTGGGCACAAGAAGAGTCACTCGAGGACCCAGGGGACACAGAGTGACCCAGAGTTGCGAAAGTCTGGAACACAGGTTGTCCAGGGAGGCTGAAGAGTACAGTGCTGAAAAACAGCACCTTAGAAGGAAGAAGCTGTGTTCTCACTGAGGAAGGCACAGCTCCTGCAGCAGAAGCCTCTTCAAAGGCTGGTGGCAGTAGACATCAATGAGCAGGGGAGCTGTGAGCACACGTTAAGACACTTACTGGACTCAGAAAAAATGGGCAACAGGTTAGGGGGAAGGTGTTAAGGTCCTATGTCTCTAGGTGAGAAATGTGAGCCAGCAATATATGGACTATTAATGTGGATACATGACAACTTCTGCTGCTGCTTCTGCTTCCTTTGTTTTTTGTTCTTTGAGGCAGGGTCTCACTGTGTCAACCAGGCTGGAGTGCAGTGGCACAATCATAGCTCACTGCAGCCTCAACCTCCTAGGCTCAAGCAATCCGCCTGCCTCAGCCTCCAGAGTATCTGGGACCACAGGTGCATGCCACCATGCCTGGCTAATGTTTTTTTTTTTTAATTTGTTTTGTTTTGTAGAGACAGGATCTTGATATGTTGCCCAGGCTGGTCTCAAACTCCTGGGCACAAACAATCCTCCCACCTCAGCTTCCCAAAGTGCTGGGATTACAGGCGTGATTACGGGCATAATGTCAATGTATACCCACAGGCTAGTGGGACATAGGGACATTTAGATTATACAAAGGAGAATTTAATAAGTGAACAGCCAAAACACAGTATAAGGGCCATGACAGAGAAGGAGACCTAGTGCCACATTAAAGAGATTCACAGAGAATATTGAAGACGGATTTTGACAAGTGGGAAGATTATCAAGTGGAAATGGGGAAAGCACTTTAAGGTGAAGGAATGGCATGATCAAGGGAGTGGAGGGATGAAAGCAGGGGTTACGTCCAAGTCTAGGTACCTGCGGCCGCCATGCAAGTACAGGCAGAGGGGAGGGAAGGGGAACACACTGGCATGAAAGGGCAAACAGATCCGGGGAGATGGGAGCACGGCTGCTTTGTTGGGGTGCGCTTTGTTAAGATGGTAAAATGAGCATACTTGCAAGCAATAAGTCAAATTCCCATAATGTATGAATGAATAGAGCCTCCAAAGACTGCTGGGAACATTTATCTTTTTAAAATAGGCTGCTTGTTAACCCAAATCATCTTGGAACTGTCTGAACTTCAGACAGTGGAGGAAAAAGAAAAGCAGTCAGGCAGTGTGAAAACAAGTATCTGGGGGCAGAACTACCCCTGGGCAGCCTCATCCTCCCACTCCTACCTTCCCATACCCACCATGAGGGTCCCGGCTGGTCTCCACAGCTCTTGCGGCTTCCTTTCAGCTTGTTCCCTTCTCAGCTCCCAAACCCACACTTGGGTGTGGCACTCCAAGGTCTGGCTTTGTGTTGCTGTTGTTGCTTTAAATAAGACCACAGTTGTGGAGGGAGGCCACAATAATGGCGGATGTTTTTAACATACGTGTATGTTGGACATACGTTTTGCCTGCCTGCACTGTCTTTTTGATAACCTGCTGCAGCCATTAAAAAAAAAAAAAAACAAACAAACAAAAAGCAGTGAATGTACTGAATGCTACTGCACCTATACTTTAAAATAAAATAGCAAATTTTATATTACATTTATTATACCACAATAAAAAATAAATAAATAAAACAATTGTTAGAAAACATACCAAGGTCCTTGTTTTTTATTCAACAATTAGCACTCTTTGGTGTCTTCTTACTAAAGAGGGGAAATAAATAAATAAATAAAATACTTGTAAATATGACATTTGCCTTTGATTGGGTTGGTTTACACCCTTGGTGTCTCTACTAATGGACAAACAGTCATAACAGTAATATCCATGGTACACATTTCTCTTACAATATCGATTTGACAGAGTTTTTAAAAAGATATTAGATATAGTTTAATTTTCATTTTGCATGAGCAAGAGAAATATGTATATTGTAATAAAGTAAATGAATACGACAATCAATACTACATGAAAAACAGAGCCTTCCCTATCAGAGTCCTCAACAAAGAAACAGAAAGAATAAAACACATCCTCAAACTAAATCACCCCTCAAGCTTTCTGAAATTAGCAAAGAATGTTTGCAGCTGACCTATTTCTCTCCCACACAACTGTGTTGATAATTGACTTTTGTCCCCCAGGGAAGTACTCAAATATAATTGAGAAGCACCTGCCACATAGAGAGTACAGTTTTATATACCTAATAATTCCCTTAAATATTGTATTTAGCTTGGAACTCAAGCACTCCGCTTTCTCCTTAATTGTATTTCTCAAGAAGGAAATGTTATAATTACCAAAGCAGAGTTACTATGAACATCTAGACAAACTAAAGGAAGCATTTTGAATTGTAAGTACCCAAGATATTTCTATTACTAGAAATTATTGAAAACGATGACAATAACCATTTCTATTGTTCATATACTTTTCTTTAATCCTGTCGATCACATCCTATTATAAAAACCACCCCCCTCTATAGATGGGAGCCACTCCAGGAAGACAAGAAGTCCAGGGTCAGGGGTTTGATTTCCATGCAGGTTAAAGAGTTTTGTGGCCGGGCGCGGTGGCTCACGCCTATAATCCCAACACTTTAGGAGGCTGAGGTGGGCGGATCACCTGAGATTGGGAGTTCGAGACCAGCCTGACCAACATGGAGAAACCCACATCTCTACTAAAAAATACAAAATTAGCCGGGCATGCTGGCACATGCCTGTAATCCCAGCTACTCGGGAGGCTGAGGCAGGAGAATTGCTTGAACTGGGGAAATGGAGGTTGCGGTGAGCCAAGATTGCACCGTTGCACTTCAGCCTGGGCAACAAGAGCAAGACTCTAACTGAAAAAATAAAAAAAAAAAGGCTAGGCACGGTGGCTCATGCCTATAATCCCAGCACTTCGGGAGGCCAAGGCCTGATCACCTAGGAATTCAAGACCAGCCTGGTGGTTTCATCAACATGGTGAAACCCCTTCTCTACTAAAAATACAAAAATTAGCCAGGCATGGTGGCACGTACCTGTAATCCCAGCTACTTGGCAGGCTGAGGCAGGAGAATCGCTTGAACCTGGGAGGCGGAGGTTGCGGTGAGCTGAGATTGTGCAACTGCACTCCAGCCTCGGCAACAGAACGGGACCCCATCTCAAAAAAAAAAAAAAAAAAGAATTTTGCCAAAAAAACACATTCAGCTTTATGAGCTGAGACTGAAGCTCCAAAATAAATAAGAATATGATCCATCCTATTCAATACTGTGACTGGAAAAGCCATCTCTGACACTGACTTAAGGAAAGGCAAGTCCATTTCTATCCTCACGCCAGCATCTACACATTTAGACCAGGGGCTATAACTGAAACTTCTCGGGCTGGTGTGAACAATATGTTAATGAAAAGATTTGAGCCTTGGCAACATAGCAAGACCCCATCTCTACCAAAAAATAAGAAAAATAGCCAGGCATGATGGTGCACGCCTGCAGTCCCAGCTACTTGGGAGACTGAGGCAGCTTGGGCCCAGCTTCTTGGGCCCAGGAGTTCGAGGCTGCAGTGAGTTGTGATTGTGCCACTGCACTCCAGCCTGGGTGACAGAGCGAGACCCTGTCTAAAAAAAGAAAGAGACAGAGAAAAAGAAAAAATCTGAAGCCAGTCACAAAAGACCACATGTTAATTTATGGTTCCATTTATATAAAATGTCCAGAGTGAGCAAATCCAAAAAGATAGAGAATAGATTAGTGGATGCCTAGGGCTGGGAGGTGGGGAAGAGGATGCAGAATGACTGCTAACAGGGATAGGTTTCTTCTCCAGGCCATGAAAATATTAGATTATGACATGCCTGAAAAAAAGAATGCCTTCCCCACTTAACACACACACACACACACACACACACACATACACACACACACACGGCAAATTAAAAAGCAGTGACTAAGGAACATTCTACTGGTAACAATGATCATTTTACCCACCTGTTCGATTCTAAACAACAATCAGCATTAAATTGTTAGCAATAGCATTGGGCCATTTAAGAAGAAAAAAAAGGAAGACGATATATTTATCTGCACAAGTTACTATGCATTTCCATTACTGCTAGATTTTCCATATGTTATCAATGAAACTGCTAAAAAAATTTTCCATAAGGAATTTTAAAATCTCATCATAATATATGGACACAGTAAGCACTATAAAAGTTAACCACCTCTAGTGATCCTACAACCCAGAAATGCATATTCTTTTCAAGTTTATGTTTACAAAATATTTACTCCCAAAACAAATACTACAACAGCAATTAAACTGCAACCTTGGAGAAAGATACATCCATCAACATAGAACAGAAAATGAGAAATGAAATAGACACGATTTGTCATCCAAATGATTACAGTGAGATGATCAGAAAAATTCAGTAGCCGTCGAATAAGTTTTACAGCCCTTACCTAACTAATGCTTTCAGATCGTGAATGCCATCCCTTCAGATTCAAGTAATTACCTCTGCTCTATTTATGTGTATAATAAGAAAAGACACGTTAAAGAAAATAGGGAAGTTTACAAAGGCGCATGTTTACTCTACTAGAAATGAGAACTATCTTTAAGGAATTCCAAAGCACTGTTTATATTCAAGCTAGATGATAATATATCAGCCTCATCTATTTCTGAAGGCAGGGTGCCCTAGCACACAGCTTGTCATTATTGTTACTTGAAAGCAGTAAAGCTACAGTATACCCTTAAAATTGAATCTATAATTCAGCTTTTTCATGAATTTCGGCTTCTACTTACAGTCCTACCTCCCTGAGTGCCCTCCTGTCTCCTCACAGTACACATGGTTAAATCCATGTGAAATTCCTGATGTGTCCATGTAGTCAAGTTCAGAACTGACACTCTTATAGAATGAAGAGCACTGGATTCACCTCATTGTTTTCCTGGTTCATGAAGTACAAGGGCAACTGTGCAAAAGCAGGACAATACTGACTGCTTCAACCAGAGTGTGTTTGGATTGGGGTTCGTTGGGGATAACAGCCCAGCTCTTCTTGAGACTTACCCATTGATGTATTCTAAGATGCAGAGGTATAGCAGAGTGTGTTCCCAGGGGTGGTCAAAGAGTGCTTTGCAAGCTTTGTCTTGCCATAGCCCACAAAGGAAATAATTGTGCAACACACCGGATTCAGTGGAAGTGAAAAACAGTCCAGAAGCTCAGCCTACACCAGGCTCACCCCACTGAAGGATCATCTCAGAGGATACATGTTTTGAGGCCTGTCACCCATTCTCTGCTCACACACTCTGCAGGGAAGAAAGCTCCAGCAAAGGGACAGAAAATAGAGAGATGGCACTGTTCTAGGAAGCTCTCTCTTCCAAAATATGGCTTAAAAAGCATGCAAAGCCAAGCGCAGTGGCTCATGCCTGTAATCCCAACACTTTGGGAGGCTGAGGTGAAAGGACTGCTTGAGCCCAGCAGTTTGAGACCAGCCTGGGCAATATGGTGAGACCCCATTTCTACTAAAAGTAAAAAAAAAGAAAAAAAAAAGCCAGGCTTGGTAGTGCACACCTGTAGTCCCAGCTACTTGTAGGCTGAGGTGGGAGGATCCCGTGAGCACAGGAGGTTGAGGCTGCAGGGAACACGACCCTGTCTCAAAAAGAAAAAAAGAAAGACAGAAAGCAGAGGCCAAACACAGAGGGTCACTGAGCAGAATGGGACCTGCATGCCCCACTCTCCACATGTCTGTAGAGTCTTCATGAATGTGAGTGAGTTGCAAGCTGTTCACCCTGGTTAGGATTTATGCTTTATTCTGAGTCAGAGCTTCAGAAATGAGACCAAAAATGGGCCAAGCTTTGAGGAAGATGAGTATGGACAATGCCAAGACCACACCCAGAAAAGATGGGTCAGACCCAGATTTGAGTGGCCAAAGGAAGGCCATTAAATAGCATTGCCTTTTGTTTAAACCTTGTTTGAAAGGGCAGTCTCTGCTTCCTTAATATCCAGGGTTGACCCTGTCTGGGGCAGCAGGTGGAGCAATTAAGGGGAGAGGGCCAAAGCCAAAGTCATTTTCAGCTTACATTTCCACACAGCTTCCTATAATTTTCTAGAAAAATTAAAACTTGAAGATGGGCGCAGTGGCTCATGCCTATAATCCCAGCACTTTGGGAGGCCGAGGCGGGCGGATCACCTGAGCTCAGGAGTTCGAGACCAGCCTGACCAACATGGTCTTGTCTAAAAATACAAAATTAGCCAGGCGTGGTGACACATGCCTGTAATCCCAGCTACTTGGGAGGCTGAGGCAGGAGAATTGCTTGAACCTGGGAGGCAGAGGTTGCAGTGAGCCAAGATCGCGCCACTGCACTCCAGCCTGGGCAACAACAGCAAAACTCCATCTCAAAAAAAAAAAAGAAAAAAAGAAAGATAAAAACTTGAATCAGAACTTACCTAAGTTTCAATAAAATTGTACCATTCTAAAACTAAAGGATAAATATTTATTCTACAGAAATGAAATTTAGGGTTGGGCATGATGGCTCACACCTGTAATCCTAGCACTTTGGGTGGCTGAGGCAGGTGGATCACTTGAAGTCAGGCATTCAAGACCAGCCTGGCCAACATGGTGAAGCCCAATCTCTACTAAAAATAGAAAAGTTAGCCAGGCATGTTGGCAGTCCCGTTATCCCAGATACTCGGGAGGCTGACGCAGGAGAATTGCTTGAACCTGGGAGGGAGAGATTTCAGTGAGCTGAGATTGGGCCACTGCACTCCAGCCTGAGCAACAGAGTGTGACTCCATCTCAAAAAAAAAAAAAAGTGAAATTTAGGCAATTCTATCCATCAGGAACAGAGACTCAGACATAAGTAAAAATGACTGGTTAACGGGTTAGCTACCCAGTAATTAGATTTCTTTCTTCATAAGCTCAGTTCAATTTATTTAAGCCCCAAAACAAGAAGAAGCACAGTTTGCCAAGAGCGACAGAGTTCTTTCTTGCTCTATCAGAGCAAGAGAAGATTCATTGCACAAAAAACTCACAAAGGAAATAAGCGCGAACTTTTTAAAGTTCATTGTAACTGGATTACACCATTTAGCAAGGAAGGTCTACTTACAGAGCAAGTAAAAACTTCCAACTTTGCAGATGAAAATGATTCAATACTGTCTACCATGCAGCTAAAATATAAAAATGGTTGTGCCCCAGCTTAGCCAACATGGTGAAACCTGGTCTCTACTAAAAATACAAAAATTAGCCAGATGCGGTGGCATGCACCTGTAGTCCCAGCTACTTGGGAGGCTGAGGCAGGACCAGCCTCCCAAGAACCCAGGAGGCAGAGCTTGCAGTGAGCCGAGATTGTACCACTGCACTCCAGCCTGGGCAAGAGTGAGACTCCTTCTCAAACAAAAATAAACATAAACGTAACTGGTTGTGCCCCTCCTTGGCTGTTTCCCTCAGATCCACTCCTCCCACTCCGCTGCTCTACTTTCCATCTCAGAGGGCCACTGCCTGCAGCTTGTTTCCCAGAATCCCAGGTCAGTGGGCTTCCAGAGAGGCTCAGCCAATGGGAGGAACTGGTAGAAGACTGGAGGGTGGAAGGAATAATCCTACAAGAAGCTAACCAAGCAAACAAAAATTCCATCCATGATAGAATTGGGAAGAAACCACAGTCTCTAAATTCTTCAACTGATGCTATGGTTCTTCACAGCAACCACGCAGATTCAGAACGTTTCCAGGATCTGAGAGGAATAAGCTCCATATGTCCTTGCATGTATCCACACCTGTGTGAGTTTGTGTGTTTGGCTTGTTTATTCAGGGATAAAGTGGATTGTGGTGAAAAAAACAGTAGAGTCTGAGCCAGGATCCCTTGTGTCTGTTCTACCATTATCTATTGGTATGACCTTTATGTCCTTGGGCCTATGTTTTATTCATCTGAAAAAAGAGACTGAAGTATTTTCTTTCTGCAATCTCTTCCTGTTCTAAAATTCTGTGATTCTAAGTTTATGGATAAATTTTGCATATATACATGCCTGTAGGCATATGATTATTCTTAGAGCTATGCGCAAAGCATATACCTTCTGTTGATGAATTTGCATTTCATCAGAGAAACATATCTATAACTGGTGCTCAAATTATAACCCCAAGAATTTGTTTGCCAACTTGTTTTATTCTAGTATCAACCTAAAAATCTGAATGTTTTAGATCTCTAAATACAGTGTGGTTCATTGAATTATTGTAACGATCATCTGATTAGCATACCTTAAAAAATACGAGGTTCCTTGTTCCAAGGTAGATGGTTCCAACAATGGCTGCAACCATATCTTCCATTCCATATGCTCTTTTTTTTTAATGAAATATTATTATACATTATTCTGTAACTTACTTTTTTCACTTGAATGCATTTCAAATGAATGTCTTAAATGCATTTCCATATCATTACACGCAGGGTGGCTTTATTTTTTTCTTTAATGGCTGAATAGTACTCTGTAGTATAATATATAGTAGTCCACCCTTAACCGTGGGGGATACATTCCAAGACCCCAGTGGATGCCTGGAACTACAGATAGTAACAAACCATATATACATTTACATATATATACATATATATATATAATGTTTTTTCCTATACATATATACCTAAGATGAAGTCTAATTTGTAAATTAGGCACAGTAAGAGATTAATAACAACTAATAATAAAACAGAACAATGTTAACAATATGTCATAATAAAAGTTATATGAAATGTAGTCTCTTTCTCATTCTCAAAATAGCTACTGTACTGTACTCACCTACATTCAGACCTCAGTTGACCGCAGGTAACTGAAACCAGGGAATGCAAAAATATGGATGAGGGCCCCAATGTACATTATTTGCTCATTTACTGACTGCTGCATACATATATTGTTTCTAGTTTCTCTGCTCAGTGTGATGTTTGCTGTGGATTTTAGTAGATAATTTTTATTAGATTTAGGGAGCTGCCTTCTCTTCTTTTTTTAAAATCACGTGCCTCTAGATATGCTCTATTCTTAACTTACAAAATTTATCAAATACTTTTTTGGCACCTACTGAAATCAACATATATTTTTCTTTAATTTGTTATATAAATTGAATAATCTTTACATTCCTGTTTATACTATTGGCACTGAATTTGACTTGCTGTTTTTTGGTGTGTGTGTGTGTGTGTGTGTGTGTGTGTATTTTTACCCATATGCTCTTTTATAACGTGACCTTGTTGCACCCCATCAAAAGATAGTCTGTTTTCTCTTTTGTTGCAACTGAGCAGGCTCTTGGACCTGTTTTGACTTGAGTTTGCAAGACAAGTGATACAGTGTAGCTTTCAAAACTGGGTCTTAGGAGAGCTGTGGCTTCAGCCTTCACTTCTTGGAACCTAGCCACCATATTATCCGGGAGCTCAAGCAACCATGTTGAGAGGCCCAGGTGGAGAAAAACTGAGCCGCTGCCAAAAGCTCTAGTTGAGTTCTCAGCCAGCAGCCAGCACCAACTGCCAACCACATGTGTGAGGCCACTCTGGACCTTCCAGCCATCCCAGTGCCCATATAACATCATACAATGCAGAACTGTCTGGTTAGTACACAGAAATAAAAAATTGTTGTTGTTTCAAGCCACAGAGTTTTGGGGGAGGTTAGGAGGCAATTTCTCCCCACTAAACAAAGCATTTAATGTTGGAGCAGAACCTCATGCCTAAAATATATCAAGTTAGTTCTCCATCCATCCACTGCTTCATTCATTCAAGTGTGTGTTTATTGAACATATACTATGCTAGATGCTGAGGACACAAAGATCAAATGCAGACATGTCCCTGTCCTTGTGGAACTCATACGGATGGGGAGACAGAATGTAACAGAGAAATCTAAGTACATGTTAAATAAAAGCGGTGGTGCTACTGAAAACTGGCACAAGGCCCTCTGGGAGCCCCTTGTTGGGGAACTGACTTTATCAGGAAGGTTAGAAGAGGAAGTGAAGACTAAACCCCCAGATCTCAGGGAAGATTAAAAGTTAACTAGGCAGAAGGAAGGACAACAACCTGCCACACAGAGGGCTCAGCATATGCAAAGGACCAGTGGCAAGAGGGAAGACAGTGTGTTCAAACTCTGTGTCCAGAGCTAAGAGATCATGGCTCAAGATGAGGCTGGAAGCAGGCAGGGGCCAGGCCAGGTATGACTTTGCTGGCCTCATAAGAGCAGACTTAACAAGGAAAAGTCAACAAACTATTCCCACTCTGATCAGATTTTCTCTTCAAACCCCAGTGGGAAGAGGACTAACTTGGAGTACTCAGCCGTATAAACTGTATGTGTAGTGACACCCATGGGTAGATATACTTATGGATATATAATAGATACTCGGGGTACATGGTCATTGAGCCCGCCCTCTCGTTCCTTGTTACATGTCACCGTACTGTTTGTAGACATCTCTGTCTCCATTGCTAGATTATAAAAATCTTTGAGTACAGGGGCTGTGTCTCATCCATCTTTTCATTCCTCCCCTACAATATCTAACATAGTGCTAGGCACATAGCAAATACTTAAGTGTTTCCTAAAACTTTAAAATATGACTAGATAATCCATTCATAAATAGCCTGTAAGAAGGGCTCTCCTGAAAGAAAATTCTATGGCCTCATTTGGAAAGCCACTCCAATGATGGCAACACTCTTAGGAAGGTCTTGCTGTAAAACATCATTCCTTTCTAATTTGGGCCAGTTCTTGAGTTTCATCCCCAATGAAGAGTGAGAACACTTCATCACATTTCCAAAGAAAGCCTTTGTGTGTACTTTGAAGATCATTTCTGGGTCACTCCTAGCTTTCTTTCCTTTCAGCGGCAAAGTACTTCATCTTCTCACCTTTCCTCAAAGAAGCCATTTATTTGCTCCCTGGATTCATTCCAAAACCTCCATCCCTCCTAAATGGTGGAAGCCAGAAATCTTGTAGACCAGAAACAAGGTCAAAGATTCCTGAGGGGCTTCATGAGCAGTCCTCAGAGTGGAAGCAGGCTCTCTTTCTCAGTCTGCTTGTTTTCCAGCCAATTCAAATGTTCATGTGTGTGCATGCACACATATGTGCATATATAGTCTCAGAAACACTGAAACTTTTTAACAAGCTCAAAGAACAAATATTGTCTTATTGGGTGAGTTGCCAACTGCCTTCTCTGCTTCACCAACAGCCCAGTCTTCCCCATCCAATGTAACACATCGATTTTTTTTTTAATGAAAGCTTTTCTCCATATTTTTGTAAATAATATGATAAAGAAACTAGCAATATATATATTTTTTGGTATTCCACTATCTTCTTCAAAGGCATCACAAAGACTGTGAAACAGCACCAAGAAATTTCATCACTCCAATGTATCAAGAATTCAAATATCAATAAATCACTGGTCATTCTACAAATAATGAGACTCTGTTTTTGTTTGTTTGTTTGTTTGATGGAGTCCTGCTCTGTCGCCCGGCTGGAATGCTGTGGAGCAATACTGGCTCACTGCAACCTCCACCGCCTAGGTTCAAAAAATTCTCCTGCCTCAGCCTCCCGAGTAGCTGGGATTACAAGCACACACCACCACGCTTGGCAAATTTCTTTGTATTTTTAGTACAGTCGGGGTTTCACCATGCTACCAGGCTGGTTTGAAACTCCTGACCTCAAGTGATCCGCCCACCTCAGCCTCCCAAAGTGCTGGGATTACAGGCGTGAGCCACTGTGACCAGCCCAAGGCTCTGTTAACGTAAGCAGCTGTTATGCTTTCATAAAAAATATTTTTTGGCATTGGGGTGATTTCAATTTTATCCGAAAGTTATTGTTAAACTGCATTTGTAATCATTTTCCTTATCTCATCAAAGAAATGTAAATCCCTCAGTTATTTTTATTGTAGCCAATACAGAAGTCTGTATGATGTCATTTGAATGAGATCATGTGTAGTATACTCAGTGAGTTGTAAAGTGCTCATAAAAATTAAGTAGCCCGGGCATGGTGGCTCACGCCTGTAATCCCAGCACTTTGGGAGGATGAGGTGGGCAGATCACGAGGTCAGGAGATAAAGACCATCCTGGCTAACACGGTGAAACCCTGTCTCCACTAAAAATACAAAAAAGTTAGCCAGGCGTGATGGCGGGTGCCTGTAGTCTCAGCTACTCGGGAGGCTGAGGCAGGAGAATGGCGTGAACCCAGGAGGCAGAGCTTGCAGTAAGCAGAGACTGCGTCACTGCACCCCAGCCTGGGCGACAGAGCAAGACTCCGTCTGAAAAAAGAAAAAAATTAAGTACTATTTTTGTGCCGAAAAATAAGATTGTGTATATAATACAATTACAATTAACTCCTGAATTTAAATTAGACCATTTAATCAAACCAATGAATTCCCATTTCATAGATGAAATATATTTATTTAAAAAAATCTACTTTGCTTTAAATTATTCCCAAAATTATTTAGCATGCAATACTTTTAACATTTCTTAAGCCAGCACATAGCAGCACGCTTTACAAGAACTTATATATACATCATCTCAATCAGTTACGGGCATAAATTGAGAAAAGAGTAAGAATATTAGAATATTATTTTGTTTGTGCTTGGAAGGAAGAATAAAGCATTAGTGCAGTTATGTAGATGAACTCAAAAGTTTTAGTCAAACAGCTTATGGAAAGAACTGCTGTGTAATTAGTATTTCCAAGAATTTGCAACAATGAAACACCACTAAAAATAGGCACCTACAAAATAAACACCAGCAAGACCTCAAACAGTTGCATAACAGAAAAATGTTTTTAAGATAAACAATATGTTTGCCTTATCAAATACATAATCTAAATACTGCAAAGGGGATAGAATGCACTTTTAGAATGAATTCGGAATCCAAAATGCATTTATTTCCATAATGTACATGCTTAGTGCTCGCTGAATTAAATGGTAGTCAAAATTTCCGCTTCTGCAGAAAGTGAAATTCTGCATAATAAATATCATCTAAATATGCTTTATAGACCCTTTTAGGAGAGGTCTGAGTTCAATTTTGATATCAATTCCTCGTTGATATGTTTAAATTGATGATAATCACTAAAGAAACACCAGAGCTGCCATCATAGGTTAGAAAACACATTACACAATACTGAGTGACCTAGAGGGAAAAGAACTTCTCAAGGTCACTCCAGCAGCCCACAGGAAGACCTGGGATAAAAGCCTCTTGGTGCGATGACCAATGTCTTCCTAGGTCACCCGAAACCTAGGACACACCCCGACAATTTCTGTTCCAAAGAAAGATCAAGGTGACTCATTGCATGATCTCTCTAGCACCCAGCAGCCAGGGGTGGTTTCATTAACAGCACATGGACAGTTGGAAAACTGAGGACCAATTTCCTGTGCCAAGGTGAAAGGCACCTAAGCATTGAGCATTACCAGCGATCCGGAGATCCCGAGCACAGACAATTCGCACTAGAACCACGCAGGAGAAAGCAAGCACTAAGAAAACAAACACGAAGTGAAGGCGCACCCAGACCCGGAGCTGAGTGCTGGCCTTCGTTAATTCCTATTTAACCAGATACAGCTGTCTTTCCCTAACTAAGCGAATCCAAGAAGCGGTCCTAAAGTGAGAGTAAACTTTCTGCTCAGTGTCTTTCTTTTGACCGGAGCTTGACGATCTCTCCCAAGATCCAGACAGATAAGAGTATTCAAATTAGGACAAAACAGAAGAAACCACTAAATCTCAACTCGAATCAAACCAGGTCCCCGGCCCCGAGGGGTCTGGTTACTCTAGGTCGAGTTATACGAATTAAAGACATTTCTCCACGCACCAAAGATACAACCAGACATATTTCCAGCTCTTAAATTCAACGTCCCTGACTTAAGCCAGGTCCCCACCGAACTGTCCACACACATGCACAAACTAACTTCCCGGGGCGGTGCGGAGACGCCGGGACGCGAAGACGTCAAGAGCCCAGGCTAGAGGGAGAGGGACTGAGCCCGAGCACCGGCCGAGGCCGGGAAGAGACGCGCGCGGGCTTGACCCGCAGCTCCCGCACGTGTGGGCCACGGCCGGCTCCAGGACCCCCGCGCCGCGCGCTCGGCCTCCTCCCCATCCTGGTCTCCCGCCTCCTTCTCATACCTGTCTGAGGATGAAGCTGGTCGAAGTGGTGCTGCCATCGGATCTTTTCAACCTGCTCCTCCGGGTTGTGGTGCCTCGGGCCACCTGGACTCGACACACGGGGGCCAGAGAGAAGCCGGTGAGGACCGCAGCGCAGAGCGGGGCGACCACCCCCGGCTGGAGTCCGCCTCCGGACCCGCTCCCTGGGGTCCCCTAGAGCCCGCACCCAAGTCTCCTCCGCGACTCCCAAATACAGCCCCCACCCCCACCCACCCACTGCAAGCCTCGACTGCTGAAAAGATGCTCGAGAAGAGCAGCCCGCAAGCACCCACCACATCCATTAACAAAGACTCTCAGGGTGCGGGGTCCGAGTCCCCGGCATCCGCTGGGGGAGGCTGCGGGCTCCGGAGCGGGAGCGCAGAGACCCGAAGGAGGGTGAGGAGGAGGAGGAAGAGAAGGAGGAGAAAGAGGAGGAGCGGGAGGAGAAAGGGACGTGGAGGAGGGGTGGGGGGAGCGGGGCCGCCGACTCCCGGGACTGGGGCCCCGCACGCCCGGCACGAAGGCGGGGCGCGCTAGGGCGGCGGAGGAGGTGTGAGGAAGGAAGAGGAGGAAGAGGAGAAGGGGGAGGAGGGGGCGGTACCTGCGAGGTGGGGGAGTGCGGCCCGTCCGCGGTCCCGTTCTTGGCGTAGGAGGAGGAGGACATCGTTCAGAGCCGCCGCATGGCCAGCCCGTGTGCGGTGGGCGGAGGGGGCTGGCCCCCGAGGCTGGGCTGCGGACGGAGGGGGAGGGCGCAGGACTTCCCCACCCGGCTCCAGGACCCGCGCCGGCGCCCAGGCTCCCTGCCCGCACTTCGGAGAGCGCGGCACCTTAAAGGGACCGAGGCGCTTCCCCCGCGCTCGCGGCGGGGTCCCGGGGAGGGGGCTTCTCGGAAACTCGCCTACCCGAGCGGATTGGGAGAAGCGCTCTCCCACCTAGCAAGCGCTTTACATCAGAGCTTCCAGAGGATGAAGGGAGGGGGAAATCTGGGATGGGGGTGGCAAGATTAAAATAGTCTGCACAGTTTAAAATGAGACAAAGGTGGCACGGTTCATGAATCAGGACTTGGGGACGGAAGCTGGTGCAGTGTGGCGGGAATGGGAAGAACCGAGCGGGTGTGTGTGTGTGTGTTTGCTGCACTGGAATTTTAAAAGGGCAAGAGCAGAGCCACCTTCCGCGACTTCACTCATCAGCCTAATGTGTAAGGCATGGGGTTTTGTGGCTTGCTTTTCGTCCGTGTTTTTGTATTGCTTTGGCAATTCTGTCCTTAGAGCTGCGAGTCACACACATCCAGGCAGCTGTGAGAAACCCAGCCAGCCTGAGTCTGACGGGAGATGCTGCCCCGCCAAAGACCAGTATGTCCTACGGAGTTTTGAAGGTCATGTTAGACCTGCTAAGAAGCAAGAGTTGGTCACTGTGCCTCCCATTTCTATGCGAATGGATATTTTCAAGGGGGAGAAACTCATCCTTGCAACCATACACAACGTTTGCCATTGGTTTCCTCCTGTAAATACATACAAGAGATTAATTTGTGATCAAATTAAAAGAGAGGGATTGCGGAAAGGAAGAATAAGTGCGAGGTATTGACAGAGGAATAAGAAGAGGGAAGAAAAGTATATGCAAATTCAAAAATAAAGAGACTCCGTTTAAATTAAAATATACTTACTATCTCAAATCGCTAAATCAGCTTGCATTCTAGGACTTTATGTTTATGGACACAACTACCATGCTTGTTTTAATAATTGCTTGGCTTTATTGAGGTCCTGGTTATATCTTACCATCCACCAGACACTTCCTTTCCATTCCTAATCCCTTCACTTAATCCAAACCTCTGTAACAATCTTATAACTAATGTCCTTGCCTCCAGGCTTCCTGGTGCATGTGCACGTATGCACATGCACACATACACACGCAGAGATTTCATTCCATCTACACACTACAGGCAAAACCATTTTCCTAAAATATCTTGCCCAAGTCACTCTTCTCTAAGATAAAGTCCAAACTCCATGGTCCAACAACTCAGCCTCTCCTGCATTTCTGATCACTCTCCATCTCATTTCTCCATCTTGATCTCTCTATACAAACCTTCCAGCAAGCAGGCAGGTCTAGTCATCAATACCCAAGTATTCCAAATACAATCACATTTGAGCTCTTCTGCTTTGGAATGCCTCCTTGGAATATGCCCTCCCAACAACCTACACACCCGGCTGAATCCTACCTTTCTTCTAAATGGGACTCAGCTCACGCTTCCTCCACAGAAATCCTATCTGACTACTCCAGTCCCACATAATTCTTGTGCTTCTGAAAAACTGGAGCATGTATTCTCTGGGCACTTAGAATAGGCTGCCTTAGCTTATTAGTTTGTTAGTTCTGTTTTTGTGAAAATCTCCTAATTTTCAGAATTTTTAGCGGTTTATCTTCTATTCCTATACCTTCCATATAGTAGATACTCCATGAATTTATGGGGAATGGAGGTCTAACCATGCAGGACTCCCTACTTTAGTTACTGTCAACCCAATCCGTATTTAGTTCTGAGCCATTTTCATAGTTGATACGTGTGTGCATATTAAATTACTATGTGAGCACTGGACTTTGAATTGTGTGGTTTTCCACTGTCCACATTCTCACTGACTTTAAGTTATTGAAACAGAACCCACAGAGGCATAACAACATGAGAAGCCCTGTACACCCAGCTCAAAGCAAAACTGGTGAAAATTATATGTTTTATATATAAGCAACCATTTAAATTTCTAAAAATGGTCCTAAAGGTGCACAACAAATGAAGGAACATTTATTCAAGAAAACCTACTGAAACCCAGTAAGAAAAGTGAGCTTGAGGTATTTGAACCAAGACCTACTCACTCTTTTCATGCTTCCAACTCAGAGAGGGCTCCACGCTATACTGGTGCAGCCAAGAACACAGGGCTCCCTCACCCTTCAGCTCCCAGTTGGAGGGTCAGCTTCCTAGGAGGGACAAAACATCAGCATTTGTCATCCTCCCCGCAGCTACCTGTTGTTGAGACTAAGTTCTAAGCAAGTATGGCAGAGGTGGGGGCTCCCTTCTTCTGCCCAGTTGTACCTGGAGGCTGTACCTTGGCCACAGCAGCACTGAGTGTACTTGGGCCTTGATCACCTTTGCTTCTGGCTCATCGAGAAAGAAGTCAGGAAACGTGGGACTGCTTTGAGTGCTTCTGCCAGAAACATTCAGCATCTAACATGGTGATGTCACTCAGAGAGAGGTGCATCATTGTCCCTACCTCTGACACCAGAGTGGAAAAAATGATGTTGAACCCTGACCTTACATCAAGGATCCCCAACCCCCAGGCCACAGACTAGTACCAGTCTGTGGCCTGTTAGGAACTGGGCCACACAGCAGGGAGTGAGCGGTGGGGCAAGTGAGCATTATGGCCTGAGCTCCGCCTCTTGTCAGATCAGGGGTGGCATTACATTCTCATAGGAGTGCAAACTCTATTGTGAACTGCACATGCACGGGATCTAGGTTGTGGGCTTCTTATGAGAATCTAATGCCTGATTATCTGTCACTATCTCCCCTCACCCCCAGATGAGACCATCTAGTTACAGGAAAACAAGCTCAAGTCTCCCACTGATTCTACATTATGGTGAGTATGTAATAATAATAGAAATAAAGTGCACAATAAATGTAATGTGCTTGAATCATCCCCAAACCATCCTCCATCCCCGTCCCATAGAAAATTGATCTTCCATGAAACCAATCCCTAGTGCCAAAAAGGCTGGGGATTGCTGCCTTATATCATATACAAAAATTAACTCAAAATTAATCAAAGACTTAAAAGAGTTAAAAATATAAAACTATTAGAAGATAAGGGTAAATCTTCATGACCTTAGATTTGGCAATAAATTCTTAGACATGACACCAAAAGCATGAGTAGGAAAAGAAAAAAATGTTAGACAGGCATGGTGGTGCGTGTCTGTGGTCCCAGCTAACCAAGAAGCTGAGGTGGGAGGATTGCTTAAGCCCAGGAGGTCGAGGCTGCAGTGAGCTGTGACACGTCACTGTACTCCAGCCTGGGCACCACAGTGAGACTCCATCTCCGGCTCAAGCAATACCTCAGTCTTCTGAGTAGCTGAGACCACAGGTGGGCACTACCATGCCTAGCTAATTTTTTATTTTTTATAGAATTGTAGTCTCCTTGTGTTGTCCAGGCTGGTCTTGAACTCCTGGACTCAAGCCATCCTCCCACCTTGGCCACCCAAAGTGCTGGGATTACAGGTGTGAGCCACTGCACCCTGCCTAATTGTATACTTTGAGTGGGTGAATTGTATGGTATGTGAATTATATGTCAATAAAGTTATTATTTTTTTAATCTTCAGATCTTACAGAAAAATTAACTCAAAATGGATTACAGACCTAAGTGTAAATGCAAAACTACGAAACCTCTAGGGGAAAACAGAAGACAAAATCTCCATGAGTCTGAGTTTGGTGTTGAGATTTTACACCACCACCAAAAGCATGATGCAAGAAAATAAAAATTGATATTCTGGGTTTAATTAAAATTAAAAATTTCTGCTCTGTGAAAAACTCTGTTAAGATAATAAGAAGACAAAGAACTTGTAAACAAAATATACAAATAACTCTTAAAACTCAACTATAATAGGCCAGGCTCGGTGGCTCACGCTTGTAATCCCAGCACTTTGGGAGGCCGAGGCGGGTGGATCACAAGGTCAGGAGATTGAAACCATCCTGGCTAACATGGTGAAACCCTGTCTCTACTGAAAATACAAAAAATTAGCCGGGCATGGTGGCAGGCGCCTGTGGTCCCAGCTACTCGGGAGGCTGAGGCAGGAGAATGGCATGAAGCTGGAAGGCAAAGCTTGCAGTGAGCCAAGATCACGTCACTGCACTGCTGCCTGGGTGACAGAGCGAGACTCCGTCTCAAAAAAAAAAAAAAAAAAAATTCAACTATAATAAACAATTCAAATAAAAAATGGACAAAAGTAGCAGGGGGTTGTGGCTCATGCCTGTAACCCCAGCACTTTGGGAGGCTGAGGAGAGAATTGCCCAAGAAGCCGGGAGATGAAGACCATTCTGAGCAACAAAGCAGGACTACATCTCTACAAAAAAAAAAAAAAATTAGCCATGCGCAGTGGGTGGCATGCGCCTGTAATCCTAGCTATTTGAGAGGCTGAGGTGGGAGGATCCCTTGAGCCCAGGAGTTTGAGGCTGCTGGGAGCCATCATCTCACTACTCTACTCCAGCCTGAGACACAGGAGACCCATCTCTAAAATTTGAAAAAAAAAATGTATTTAAATGAACAAAATATTTTAATGGATACTTTACCAAAGAAGACACATAGATAGCAAATAGGCACATGACAAGATGTTCAACATCATTTACTTTAGGGGAAATGCAGATTAAAACAACAATGCAATGCCACTATACACCTATAAGGATGACTAAACATAAAAATGATAATAGCAATGGCTAGTAAGGATAAGGAGCAATAAGAACTCTCATTCATTGCTGATGGTAATGCTAAATGGTACAGCCACTTAGGAACATACCTGAGCAGTTTCTTAGCAGTTTCTTAACAAGCTAAACCATCTTATACAATCCAGCAATCGAGAACCTAAGTATTTATGCAACTGATCTGAAAATTTGCATCCACACAAAGACCATGCAAATGTTTAATAAGTTTATTCACAATAACCCAACACTGGAAGCAACCAAGGTGTCCATTAATGGGTAAATGAATAAACAAAGCATGGTCTAATCATATGATAAAATGATAAAATACTATTCAGCTATCAAGTCATAAAAAAAAGGGATAAACCTTAAATGCATATTGGTAAATGAAAAAAGCCAGTCTGAGTCTATATACTATTTGGGATTCTAGAAAAGGCAAAGCTATAAAGACAATAAACAGATCAGTGGTTCTGGAGGGGGTGATGAAGACGGCAGGTTGAATAGGTGGAGCATGGGGGGTTTTTAAGGGTGATGAAACTGTTCTGTATGATACTGTAATGATGGATACCTAACATGGATCTGTCAAAACTATAGAACTTCACAGCATAAAGTAAGCCTTAATGTGGGTGAATTAAAAAGAAAATCATTGAAGATGTTGAGAGATCAGGATGGAATGCAGAATGTGACAAAAGAATATAACTGTATTACAAATATATTAAACAATGTCACTGAAGAATGTGGAGAAAATGGCTGCTGGCCTAAGTAACCCTGGAAATGAGTGGCGCCTGTAAGACTAAAAGGAACTGTGCATAAGCATTGTACTACGGTTGATACATTGTTTCTGAGGAGTGTGGGTTAACTATTCTGAAATCACTATATGTATACACTGGAACTGAACAATTCATTACATAGATGGCAAATGATGGGGGCCAGGTTTCCCACTGTTGGAGTGGAAGGTTACATAGAAGCAAGGGGAGGAGACTAAAATGATCCATGTGGTAATGGACTGGAGTCAGAGAATCTGCATGAACTCGAGGGTAACTTAAAAGATACAGATGGTTATATACAGAAATATTTATAGGGCCCCATGCCAAGGGTCACGCCTGTAATCCCAGCACTTTGGGAGGCTGAGGCAGGAGGCTCAATTAAGCCGAGTAATTCAAGGCCAGACTGGGCAACATAGTGAGACCTATCCCTACAAAAAACTTTTTTCTAAATTACCAGGGCATGGTGGTGTGTGCCTGTAGTCCCAGCAAATTGGGAGGCTGAGGTGAGAGATCACTAGAGCCCGGGAGGTTGAGGCTGCAGTGAGCTGTGATTGTGCCACTGCACTCCAGCCTGGGCAAAAGAGTGAGACCCTGTCTCAAAAAAAAAAAAAAAAAAAAAAAAAATTAACTTTTTAAAAAGAAATATTTGCCGGACACGGTGGCTCATGCCTGTAATCCTAGCACTTTGGGAGGCTGAGGCGGGTGGATCACCTAAGGTCAGCAGTTGCAGACCAGTCTGGCCAACATGGCGAAACCATGTCTCTACTAAAAATACAAAAATTAGCTGGGCGTGGTGGCTCTTGCCTGTAATCACAGCTATTCGGGAGGCTGAGGCACAAGAATCACTTGAACCCAGGAGGTAGAGGTTGCAGTGAGTCAAAATCATGCCACTGCACTCAAGCCTCGGCGACAGAGTAGGACTCCGTCTCAAAAAAAAAAAAAAAAAAAAAAAGACCCGGCGCGGTGGCTCAAGCCTGTAATCCCAGCACTTTGGGAGGCCGAGGCGGGCGGATCACAAGGTCAGGAGATGGAGACCATCCTGGCTAACACAGTGAAACTCCGTCTCTACTAAAAATACAGAAAATGAGCCCGGCGTGGTGGCGGGAGCCTGTAGTCCCAGCTACTGGGGAGGCTGAGGTAGGAGAACGGCGTGAACCTGGGAGGCGGAGCTTGCAGTGAGCTGAGATTGCGCCACGGCACTCCAGCCTGGGCGACAGAGCAAGACTCCGTCTCAAAAAAAAGGAAAAGAAAATAAATATTTATAGATAGCTGTATATACATGAGTTAGCATACATATATATATTCTCTTGCTTTCAGCTGAGGGCCTAGAAGCAATGACCCCTTAGTAGCAACAAACACATCTAGTACCAAGACGTTGGTTTCTAATACTATCCTTTAATAGAAGAAATCAGGGCAACCTTGGACAAATGGCTAATTCTAGGACTGGGGCAGGAAATATACAAGAGGAGTCTGGAGCATCTTAATAGTGTCAGAAAGTAAGGTAAGTGCTTTAAAAAAGAACCCCAGAATCAAAACCACAATGATGGGTATGTCAAAGGGCAATAGGAGCAAACTGAAAGAGCTCCTAATGGCCAAAGCTCGAACAATTTGAGTAATAAAAGTAGTATTGAATTAAAACCCAAAGTATAAAAGAAATACCCATGAGTTCATAGTGATAAAAATAAATGATCAAACAAATAAATACGTGGGAGAAAAGAGACAAACCTCCCATGTGGAAAATTCCACATAATTTATGTAGAAACTCTACCCTCAAGAAAGAGAAGAATAACTTCTCACCCTGTAAAGTGTGGGCTGCATATAGTGACTTCCTTCCAAAGAGTATAGCAGGAAAGGGAGGAGTGCAGAAACTCCACAAACGCTGCCTGAGCCAGGTGATCAAGATCAACATCAACAGCAATGTCGGGGTGATAGTATGTGCCCTTGATAGAATGCGACGAGAATCGCACTTCTGGGGTGAAAATCCACAACCTCAGCCTAATCATGAGGAAAATGTCAGACAAATCCCAATTGAGAACATTCTACAAAATATATGACTAGTACTCCTCAAAATTGTCAAGGTCATCAAAAACAAGGAAAGTCTGAGAAACTGTCAGAGCCAAAAGGAGCCTAAGGGGATATGACTAAATGTGATGTATACCCTGGATGGGATCCTGGAACAGAAAAAGGACATTAGGTGAAAGCTACAGAAACCTGAATACAGTATGAAATTTAATTAATAATAATGTATAATACTGGCCCATTAATTATGACAAATTTACCAGGAGAAGTTGTTAATAATCAAGGAAACTAGGTGTAGAATTCTGTGTACCAACTTAGCGATTGTTTGTGAATAAATCTAAAACTATTCCAAAATAAAAATTTATTTTTAAAAATTCTAAAATTTTAGAGCTGGAAGAGAATTTAGTAACTGTTTAGAAGAAACGCCACATTTAGCAAATTAAGAAGCTGAGCTCAAGAGAACGAACTGTTCAAGAGCAAGTGGCTGCTATTAGACTCTGCTTCTTTCCTAAAACATTCAATACGGCTGAATCACTTTGTCAGCTACAGATTCTCTCTTCATAAACTTTATTGTCACTTAATAAATACTTTCGTTAAGTGCTTCCTAAAGTCAAAGTCTTGTCCAAAGAGCCGTTTAAAAAAAAAAATGATTTGCAGAACTCACAGAGCTCAGGAATATAAGATGACAATGTGTTTCTTAATTAAAAATTAAATCGTCCGGATGTGGTGGCTCACGCCTGTAATCCCAGCAGTTTGGGAGGCCAAGGCAGGCGGATCACCTGAGGGCGGGAATTCGAGGCCAGCCTGGCCAACATGGCGAAACCCCGTTTCTACCAAAAATACAAAAAATTAGCCGGGCGTGGTGGTGTGTGCCTGTAATCCCAGCTACTCAAGAGGCTGAGGCAGGAGAATCGCTTGAACCCAGGAGGCAGAGGTTGCAGTGAGCCAAGATGGCACCACTGCACTCCAGCCTGGGCAACAGAGGGAAACTCTGTCTCAAAAAAAAAAAAAAAAAAAAAAAAATTAAGTTAAAACACATTTTGTCTAGGGTCCATGCATATCTAGTGTGTTGTATTTTTAATCTAGGAGCATACAAAAATCACAATAGTGGCACATGTGCTTAGTTACATATTATAGATTTGTGTAATTAACCTCTTACATTTATGTCCAACTAACCATGGCATAAAGTTTCAGAGTTTTCATCTTACAGGTTCTATTTTCTCTTGTTCTAAAGAATTTCTCCAGAATTACCTCTCCCCCTTCCCCTGTGTTCTGGTCCAAACTGAAAATCTGTTCAAAAGGCACATAAGCCATGTACTTTCAGGATATTAAAGGTTAAGTTTTCAAGAATTGGATTTAAAATGTTTACTTTCCTAACCCTAAAAAATTTACATGCTATAAAACCCAGTGAATCCTTGGCATGGTGGTGTGTGCCTGTAGTCCCAGCTACTCAAGAGGCTGAGGTGGGAGGATCTCTTGAACCCAGGTGTTCAAGTCTGCAATGAGCTATGGTTGTGCCACTGCACTCCAGCCTGGGTGACAGAGTGAGACCTGGTCTTTAAAAAAAACAAAAACAAAAACACAAACATAAAACGAACAACAACAACAAAAAAGTGAAAATGCTATTCTCTTGGTACAATTTGTTGTTGTTGTTATTGTTTAGACAGAGTCCCACTCTGTCGCCCATGCAAGAGTGCAGTGGTGCAATCACGGCTCGCTGAAGCCTCAATCTCCTGGACTCAAACCATCTTCCCACCTCAGCCTTCTAAGTAGCTGGGACTACATATGTGCACCACCACACCTAGATAATTTTTAAATTTTTTGTAGAGATAGGTCTCACTGTGTTGCCCAAGCTGGTCTCAAACTCCTGGCCTCAAGTGATCCTCCTGCCTCAGCCTCCCAAAGGCTGGAGATGTGAGCCACCACAACCAGCCATACAACTTTGAAAGGTACAAATGATTCAGATTGGTAATGGAAATAAAATCCAAAATCTAAGTTGTAAGTATAGTCACTGTGAAGATGAATCATACACATCTTTTAAGTGGTGAACTATATTAAGATGCTACCTACTAGCTAATTTAAATTTAATTTACATTTTAAAACCTACATTTATTTTACCAGGCATATTTGCCATCTTTGCTATGGTAACAACTCTAAAATCTCAGTGGATTACACCACCATATAGCCTGTTGCTCTGGTCCACACTGCAGCTCTGTTCCCCTTGTCTTCCATTTCCCAGGTTGAAGAAGCAGCCACAATCTGGAACATACTGGCTCTGAAGAGACAAGAAGCTAGAGAGCTACAGGAAGTTCATGATGCCTCTTAAGCTTCTGCTTAGATGTAGGCATCTGTTGCATCTGCTCATATCCCTTTGGCCAATGTATGACATAGACATACAACCAATTCCAAAATCACTGAATGAGGACATAATACTCCAGAAGTCAAGTGCATGGGCAAATACAAACAGTCCTCTTACAGAAAAATGGGAGAGTAAAAAACTGCAAACAACAATACAATCTTCCACCCGAAGGATAACTTGCTTAAAACAGACAACTATAAAATATAATCACCTCTATCTTTCATCTTCATTCTGCCATTTTGGGTGGTTGTCATAAATTATGCAGTTTTCTATAAAGTTTAAAGGAAGTATTCCTCTAAAGGTTCAAATTAAGGTACTGAAATATGTGGGTTCCAAATATTAAAATTCTTGTCCTATTTTGCCATGATATAGTTTTCTGTCACATGTCAGAAAGAAATGTTCACTGTGCTTCTTCCTCTGCTGCAATCTCTGGACTCAGAATGCAGAAAGGAGCATTATTTGATGAGAACTAGAGACACAATATTTATTTTTATTTTTTTGAGACAGAGTCTTGTCCAGGCTGGAGTGCAGTGGCATGATCATGGTTCACTGCAGCCTTAACCTCTCAGGCTCAAGTGATCCTCCCACTTCATCCTCCCAAGTAGCTGGGACTATAGCTGTGCCACCAGACCTGGCTTTTTTTTTTTTTTTTTTTTTTTTTTAATATCCCTATGTTGCCCAGGCTGGTCTTGAACTCCTGGGCTCAAGAGATCTTCCTTGGCCTCTCAAAGTGCTGGGATTATAGTTGTGCACTACAACACCTAAGATATTTAAAAAACAAAGCAAAGCCATTGGGTTTCCTGACCCTCAGACTGGACCCTAACCTCCTTTGTTTCTTTTCTTGTTGAGACAGAGTCTCACTCTGTCACCCAGGCTGGAGGACAGTGGCATGATCTTGGCTCACTGCCTCCCAGGTTCAAGCGATTTTCACGTCTTAGCCTCCCTGCAAGTAGCTGGGATTACAGGCGTGCGCCACCATGCCCGGCTAATTTTTGTGTTTTTAGTAGATATGCAGTTTTGCCATGTTGGCCAGGCTGGTCTTGAACTCCTGACCTCAAGTGATCCGCCCACTTCAGTTCCCAAAGTGCTGGAATTTCAGGCATGAGCCACCACACCCGGGCCCCACTTTGTTTCTTGATAGTTAAAGTAATGTCATATTCCTTTGATTCTAAAAGACCATGGATTTTCAGATGTATCAGTGAAATAGCTTTAAGAGAATACAATGAAGTCCTGTAAAACATGCTTATCCACTGTAAAATAAATCTTGATTTTTCTTTTCTTTTCTTTTTTTTTTTTTTTTTGAGATGAAGTTTTGCTCTTGTTGCCCAGGCTGGAGTACAGTGGCATGATCTTGGCTCACTGCAATCTCTGCCTCCTGGGTTCAAGCGATTCTCCTGCCTCAGCCTCCTGAGTAGCTAGGATTACAGGCTCCCGCCACCATGCCCAGCTAATTTTTGTATTTTTAGTAGAGACGGGGTTTCATCATGTTGGCCAGGCTGGTCTCGAACTCCTGCCCTCAGGTGATCTGCCTGTCTCGGCCTCCCAAAGTGCTGGGTTACAGGCGTGAGCCACCACACCCAGCCAAATCTTGATTTCAGCAATGTTAAAATAGAATGATGATAAGCACAAAGATAAGGTCAAAGAAAACTCAAATTTACTAAATAGCAGGCACCGTGAGGTGCTAAATCCATTTTCATTCTTTATTCCACAAATGTTTTATGTATCTGTGCTAGGCCCAGGAACTACAACCAGTAAAAGTCTGAAGGCTTTTTTAGACCTAGCGGGGGTAGAAATGCTTTCAGATACAAATAGCAAAACTGTACCAACCATAGTTTAGACCAATAAGGGTAACAGATGATAGGGGCTTTTCTTCCCTTGTCACATATGAAGAAGTCCAGAGGAAGACAATCTAGAACGAAATAGTCACTCAAGGATGTCATCAAGGAGCCAGACACCTTCAGTGTTTCTGAGCCATCATAACTTTCTTTCTCATAGTCACATGGTTGCTATATCTCCTGGGATTACACCTGCTTTCTAATCCAGAAGTGGAAAGAGCCTTTTCTTTAAAAGTTTTTTCTTTCATCCTAGGGAGTCCTCCCCAGGAACTCTGAGCTAAATCTCATTGGCCATAACCATGTTATGTGGCCACCCTTGGCTGCAAGAGTCTGGGAAGGCAAGTACTATTATCTTGCATACTGACTTCCTTGCAGTGAAATCTAAGTAAGGGGATGGTTGGAAATGCATGCTGAGTGAGCCAAACTACATTCCAATGCCACAGGGCAACCACTATAACACTATTACAAGATACTTCAGAATCACAGCACGGTTTTGGGATCAGTGAAATTTGGGCTGACACTTGAAAGGATAATTTATTAGGTGGACAAAAGTATTCCAGGCAGAAAAAAAATAACAGGGCCAAACAGGCACAAAAAAAGCCAAATTGTCACCTGTGGTATTTTGGGTTTGGTGGCTAGAGTCTGGAGAGTATGTGAGAGTGAAGAAGAGGTTAGAAAAGCTGCCAACGGAAGCTCATGAAGACCCGAACATGTGATTCTAGAGTTTAGCCATCATCCAGAATATAACAGAACCCTGGCGAAGGCTAGAATTGTTTTCTCAGCAATCTTGGTTCTTGGTTCTTGGAGAAACCAGGCTATGTGTGTGGGCTTCAACTTAGAACTACTGTCCTCACAACCAAATTAGCCTCAAGTAGTCACCTGCTTTTTCCTCACAGCAACTCCTTGAATTTAGCTCTCTTCTGTTCAGAAAACAGTACTCTGAAACCTTTGCCCATTTGCCAGATGTTGGACCCATCCTGTGTGACAGAACCACATGGATTCTCAGAAAGAGTCAGTCTGTTTGCATCAAGCTTTGGTCTCATCAGCCATCTGTGACAGAGCTAACTGTACTACAATGTACACATTAAATAGATCCATCTACTCTAATGCTCTTCCTTGCATTAGCATTCTCATATCTGAAGGCATTTTATAGCTATATGAGCCCTCTGCAGCTCCATCCATCTTAGTGAGTTGTGGGAAAGGGAGCTGAAAGATTCTGACAACCTTAATAAAGAAATTATTTCTAGTTAACAGTCACATTAGTACAGTGAGGACACATTCTTAGCATCAAATAGAGCCTCGGTTGTAATTCCCGCTTTGTCGCCGCATGGGACCATGTGAAAGCTATTTAACTTCTTCACCTACTTTTCTACCTACAGGAACTATGAGAATTCAAAGGTAATGTATATGAAAGTGGTTTGAAAATCAAAGAGTAATGTCTGATGTTATGCAACTAGTTAGTGCATGGTGAAACCGCAAATATAACTTTGGCTTGGAAATGCAAATTTTTTTTTTTTTATTGAGACGGAGTCTCGCTCTGTCTCCCAGGCTGGAGTGCAGTGGCGCGATCTCGGCTCACTGCAAGCTCCGCCTCCTGGGTTCACGCCATTCTCCTGCCTCAGCCTCCCGAGTAGCTGGGACTACAGGCACCCACCCCCATGCCTGGCTAATTTTTTGTATTTTTAGTAGAGACGGGGTTTCACTGTGTTAGCCAGGATGGTCTCAATCTCCTGACCTTGTGATCCGCCCGCCTCGGCCTCCCAAAGTGCTGGGATTACAGGCATAAGCCACCGCGCCTGGCCGGAAATGCAAATTCTTAGCATCCCCAGTGTACAATAATTATGTTATTGAATAAATTAATGAATGCTAATAAAACTTTAACTTTTCCATCTGTTTCAAAATAGAGAGACAGGGGCAGTTTGAAGCTTTTATCTCCCTCTTCACTTCCAGGGCTTTCTCTGTGTCTCCCAAGAAAGTGTTTAAAACAAAAAGTCCCGGTTATATGAGGTCAGATGTAAATACGTTATTTCTAGCCTCCACTGACTAAAAACTATGGTATGGTATGCTTTTATTAGAGAATCTTAACAAGAGTTTATTTGGTCATGGAATTGCCACAACCAATGCAACTTCAAATTTATTTACCAGTCACACAAAATAGTAACACCATGGTGTAAACACATTTCAACAGGTCTGTCCCTGTGGCAGATTACTATCAACAATTGTTTCACTCTACATTTCCCCAATCATCATCTCCTTTGCCCTCTCTATATACAGGACGGACAGCAAAATTCTCACCTTCCCAAAGGCATGTGCAGCTAAGTGTCCTTTCATACAGTTCTGACTAATAACATGTAGATGAAAATCTCTGGAGACGGTTTCCCAGGACAGAAGTATGATGAAGATTATTTTTGGCTAGGGCACAAAGTCTAAGTCTCTTTTTTCTATTTAGACAATGCACTTTTCACCATACAGTACATGTCTGAAGTTGCTTGGAGAAAAAATCTATGTGACAGTTAAGAACTATCTCTACACTGACACCTAACATATCTGTTCCTAGACATCATGGAAAGCTATGTCCTAACAAGATAGCATTGTCTCCCCTTTAGGTATATGATAGAAGTAATCAGATTAGGACGAAGCTGTCCTCTCTTAGAAGTGCAAATTATACAGCTATGGGTTTGATGCATCACAGCTGGAGAACCTAGGTCCTAGAATTGACCACCACTAGGGTATGTTATAGCAGTGTCAAAAAGTAGCTGGTAAAAGAATAGTCTCTTCAACAAATGGTGCTGGGACAACTCGATACCAATATGCAAAAAATGAAGTTGGACCCTATACCTCATACCATGTACAAAAATTAACTCAAGTGGATCCACAACCTAATTATAAGAGCTAAAACCATAATAGTCTTAGAAGAAAACAAAGGAGGAAATTTTCATGGCCTTAGATTTGGCAATGGATTCTTAGATATCACACCAAAAGCAAGAGCAATAAAAAAAGAAAAAAAAAAGAACAAAAAAAAAGAGGAAATAAATTAGACCTAACCAAAATTTCAAGCTTTGGTGTGTCAAAGAACATTATCAAAACAACTCAACAACAGAGACAAAAAACTTGATTAAAAAATGAGCAAAGGCAGCTCCTGGGGAGGCTGAGGCAGAAGGATCACTTTAGTCCAGGAGATGAGGCCAGGCTGGGCAACACAGCAAGACTCCACTTCAAAACACAACAAAAGCAATGGGCAAAGGACTTAGACATTTCTCTAAAGAAGATATCAGACCAGGCGCAGTGGCTTACGCCTGTAATCCCAGCACTTTGGGAGGCCGAGGTGGGCGAATCACAAGGTCAGTAGATCGAGACCATCCTGGCTAACACAGTGAAACCCCGTCTCTACTAAAACTACAAAAAAAAAAAAAAAAAAAAAAAAAAATTAGTCGGGCGTGGTGACAGGTGTTTATAGTCCCAGCTACTCGGGAGGCTGAGGCAGGAGAATGGCGTGAACCTGGGAGATGGAATTTGCAGTGAGCCGAGATCACACCACTGCACTCCAGCCTGGGCGACAGAGCAAGACACTGTCTCAAAAAAAAGAAAAAAAAGATATCTAAGTGGCTAATAACATATGAAAAGATGCTCAACATCACTGGTCATTAGGAAAATGCAAAAAAAAACCCACAATGAGGTATCAACAACTTCACACCCAGCAGCATGGCTATAATAAAAATAAAAAAAAAAGGAAATTAACAAATGACAGTGAGGATGTGGAGAAATTGGAAGCCTTGTGCATTGCTGGTGGAAATGTAAAATGGTTCCGCTGTGGGAAAGTTTGGTAGTTCCTCAAAAAGTTAAATGTATAATTACCATATGACCCAGTACTTCTACTCTTATGTATCTAAAAGAATTGGAAACTGGTATTCATATACACGTACACACACGTTCATAGCAGCATTCACAACAGAAAGTAAAAATAGGCCAGGTATGGTGGCTTATGCCTGCAATCCTAGCACTTCAGGAGGCTGAGGCAGGCAGATCACCTGAAGTCAGGAGTTCCAGACCAGCCTGGCCAACATGGCGAAACCCCATCTCTACTAAAAATACAAAAATTAGCCAGGCGTGGTGGCACACACCTGTAATCCCAGCTTTTCGGGAGGCTGAGGCAGGGGAATCACTTGAATCCAGGAGGCAGAGGTTGCAGTGAGCTGAGATGATGCCACTGCACCCCAGCCTGGGTGAGAGAGTGAGACTCCATCTCAAAAAAAAAAAAAAAAAAAAAAAAGTAAAAATAGCACAAGTATTCACCAAAAGATGAATAAACAAATTGTGATATATATAATGGCGTATTATTCAGTCATAAAAAGAAATGAAGTATTGATATATGCTACAATAAAAATGAACTGCAAAAACACTAAATAAAAGCCACACAAAAAACTGCAAAAACATTAAAAAAAAAAAAAAGGCAGTTGTGCCTGCCCAACACTGTGAATGTATTATTAGGTTGGTGCAAAAGTAATTGCAGTTTTTGCCATTACTTTTAATGGCAAAATGCCCCTGACCTGTTCACTTTAAAATGGTTAATTTTATGTGAATTTCACCTCATTTTTTTTAAAGAAGTAGTCAGCTCCTGAGACCAAAATGTAATCAGTATGTCACTGATTTAGTGTAAGGGTACTGGAAAACTTTTTTTTTTTTTTTTTAAAGAGATGGGGTCTCGCTATGTTGACCAGGCAGACCTCGAACTCCAGACCTCAAGCAATCCTCCCATCTCGGCCTCCCAAAGTGCTGGGATTAGAAGTGTGAGCCACCATGCCCAGCCAACCGGAAAGCCTTTATTAGGATATTAAATGGTATAAAGCTAAGAACAAAACCAAACCTCCATTCTTGAGTAGCTTTTGAGGGGGAATATCCTCCAGTTTTTTTTGTTTCTTCTTCATCTCTGTTTGGCTTTGAACATTTCTCCTGTCATTCAATAACTACTGCTCAAGATGAGCAGAGGAGTAGATAAAAATGCAAATCAGTTATAATCTTGCTAACTGTAAACACCTCTGGCATAATGAAATCAATTATTGAAATGTAGATGTGCTATTTAAAAATCAAGAAATAGGATTATGGGATTAATAGAGGTCTTAGTTTCATCTATCCATGCAATATCCTTATAGTTTAGCAAAGATAAAAAGACTGTCACTGGACTACAGACATCTTTCTCAGAATTCCTCCGTCAATTTTAAGCAATCTTATCAAAGTCTTGAGTACTTGGTACTCAGATTTCACTGTACACTCTTACCCATGTCTGAGTTCCCCAGGACTGCTGTAACAAACAACAGAAATTTGTTCTCTCACATTTCTGGAGTCTGAAATCAAGATGTTAGCAAGGCCATGCTCCCTCTGCAGGATCTATGGAGGAATCCTTTGCCTCTTCCAACTTCTGGTGATCCCAGGTAGTCCTTGCCCTCTGGCAGCATAACTGCAACTTTCACTGCCATCTTCACATGGCCTCTTTTCGTCTATGTGTGTCTTCTCCTCTTCTGATAAGGACAGTAGGCATTGGATTTAGGGCCCACCCTAAATCCAGGATAAATTCGCCTCAAGATCCTTAAATAATTGTATCTGCAAAGACCCTATTTCCAAATACAGTAGTCAGCCCTTAACCATGATTCCACTTTTTTTTTTTTTTGAGATGGAGTTTCGTTCTTGTTGCCCAGGCTGGAGTGCAATGGCATGATCTTGGCTCACTGCAACCTCCGCCTCCCAGGTTCAAGCTATTCTCCTGCCTCAGCTTCCCAAGTAGCTGTGATCAGTTATGCGCCACTACGCACAGCTAATGTTGTATTTTTAGTAGAGACAGGGTTTCACTATGTTGGCCAGGCTGGTCTCAGACTCCTGACCTCAGGTGATCCACCTGCCTCGGCCTCCCAAAGTACTGGGATTACAGGCGTGAGCCACCACGCCCGGCCCATGATTTCACTTTCTGTGTTTTCAGTTACCCAGATTAAACCATGGTCCAAAAATATTAAATGCAAAATTACAGATAACAATACATACATTTTAAATAACTTTTATTAGAGTATATTGTTACAACTCTTTCATCTTATTAGTTCTGCTGTTAAGTGCCAAATTCATAAACTTTATCATAGGGATATGTATGCATAGGAAAACAAACAGTATATATAAGGTTCAGTACTATCTGCGGTTTCAGGCATCCACTGGGGATCTTGCAAATGTATCCACCACAGATAAGGGCGGGGGTGAGGGGTGGCTACTGTTAAGTCACATTGTGACATTCCAGGTGTACATGAAATTTGGAGGGACACTATTCACTATATCACACAAGCAACATAATGCCTCTTTTGACACAGTAAGATTTTAAAAAAAAGACTCTCAAACTTTAATTCAGCTTGATAAAATTAGAATTCTTCTTCTGGGGAATTTTCTTTTTGAGACAGGATCTCATTCTGTCAGGCCGGAGTGCAGTGGCGTGATCACACCTCACTGCAGCCTCAAGCAATACTCCCACCTCAGCCTACTGACTAGCTGGGACTACAGGTGCACTACCACACCTGGCTAAGTTTTAAAATTTTTGTAGAGATAGGGTCTTGCCATGTTGCCAGGTTGGTCTCAAACTCCTAGCCTCAAGCAATACTCCTATCTCAGGCTCCCAAAGTGCTGGGATTATAGGCATGAGCCACTGTATCTGGCCTCTGGGGAAAACTTTTAGAAATATACTTTTAATTTTTGAAAGAAAATTAAACCAAACAAAAATCAAATCCCTAAAACTGAGTATTCCCATTTACTAACTGGCTAAAACTGATGATGAAAGAAGAAAAAGTACCTTCCGATAGAAATAAAGCATTATAGATCAGTGCTATTTATAATTTATTACTTATCAAAGTAACTCCAGCTTTCTTATAGCAATTCAATAAGCCCTCTCCTAGAACTCAGGGGCTTTTAAATTTATGTTTTTACTAAGAAAACCTTTTTAAAAAAAATCCCTAAGCTATATGTTTTTAAAACATTTAAAATTGATTTTTTAAATTTTGAAAGTGAAATTATAACCATCTTCAAAACATACAGTAAAATGTATTACGTAGACAAGTATCAATTATTTCAAACAGCATGACAATTTAACTACAAATAATTTCAAATCCTAACAAATATAATTACCTAATGTTTAAGTAATTTTATAAATAAATTACCAAATTAGAAGACAGTATTGGTTGACTACATTTTACAAACTATAAGAATATATCCCACACTTCATATATTTTAACACCCTGGGGTATTTTTCTGCATTAATAAAATTCATTCTATTATAAATTTTCAGGAATTCTTTCTGATGTACCAAGATTTCATATGAAAAAGCAGAAGCTATTTTTTTATTTCTGATATAAAACAGTAAGTATGAACCCAATGTAGAAATCTGAAGTTAGACAATTCCCTTTGGCAGAAAACAATTATAAACAGGTCTTAATATAAATAGAATCCATAAGCCCATAAAAAGGGAAGTACACAACCCTGTGTTTCTTAACACCGAAAGAATCATCAGTACACAGATTTAAAATCATTTTTATCTCTCGACAGCCTGCAACACAAAATTACATATGGCAAAAAATAATTTTTAACTTGAGAAAGAAAAAAACTTCTGCACATATAAACTTTCACCGATGTGCCAATATATACTATATATTTATATATATATATATGTGTCATGTTTTATTATTCTAAAACTACATTATTTATAATGGCTGATCCCAATTTAGTGGGTGTGCAGTAATTATATTGGCTCAAAGACATGCTGAATTAAACTTTTATAATTGAGATCACAATTATACATGAAATACACAAACATTAAAATAAGTTTATTAAATAGAGTTTGGGAGAAAAAAAGTAAGAAATTCCATATATATGCAAATGTTGACTATTATCGAGAGCAGCTTTGGATTTTTTTTAAATGTTTTTTAAAAATTATTATTTTGTAAATAACAGAAGATTTGTTTCCAAAAAGTAAGGTGCCATTCAGAAGTATATAATTGAATTAACATAAAGGAAAATACTGAATAAAAAACAGAACATGAGATATTAAAGGTTAAAACTTTCTGTTCAGTTATTTGTATCTGAAGTTAAGACAATGACATAAACTGAGCTTTCAAATACTGCTAATTTTTCCACTTAAATGTAGATCAAGTACCATATAGACTATTTTGTTCTAGAATAAAGTTTCTTTGAAAAAGGAACATATTTATAATCAAATTTCTGTAGATAAATGGCAAAATTTTCAGAGAACTAGCTTGAAATGGATTTAGTAGAAAGAATGACTGCTTCCTTTAAAAAAACAAATATAGAAATCTTGCTTCCACGTAACTTTTTAAAAACTAATGTCCATTGTTTTTCCCAATCTGAATATGTTTCCATACATGTATGTATTTGCAATTTCTATTTTCCAATATGTAAAAAGTTGGTAGACAATGAAGTAGTGTGCAAATTTTTAGGAGAGAAAACAATCCCTACTGGTTTACTACCAAACTCTCACAGTTATATAGAATCTATTAGCACTATAAACTAACTCAAAATGCAGGCTTCAGAAAAACTGCTTCAATAGCCTCCCTATCAATCTGTCGCCTTCTATGAAGTCTTCACCTGCTATTATTCCACAGGCTGAGAATTACTTCTGAAAGAAATGGTCAATTTTTTCAACAGCTTGGTATGTTGACAGCTTAGCAACGGTACTTGAATCACCTCTTTAAAAAAACAACACACCACTAAAAACACACTTATCATCCATGCTTGGTATATCTCACAACAAATTATTAGGAATGTCTCATGGTTCAAATTCACACGCAATCCCATAAAAAGGATATGCAGCATCTCTGCACACCACATTGCAGGAAGAAAAACAAATGGACCATATCTTCATTAGAGAATAGCCAAAATCACTTGAAAAGGTTATTAGTGACAATTCTAAATACCAGAGATACATGTAGGAAAGAAAATGTTTTTCCTCAGGGAATGGAAATGTTTTGTGGGACATTCCTTCACAGTTGGCATGACTGTTTGGGGGACTGACTAAATGCTTTATCACACATCTGCATTTACAAGGTCTTCACTGTTAATCACAGAAAACATTTTTGTTCCTTCCAGATTGCTCTTGCTTCTGTAGACAATTATATGCTAATTATTATTCAACATAACAGTGAGAGCAAAAGTGACAATACTGCAAACACAACCGCAATTTAAGGAGCCAAAAAGAAATATGCTGGCAAGCTAAATGCTTACACACAAAAAAGTTAGACTTTTAAAGTGTGTGAGAAACTCTGAAAAAAATATTTCAAGTTCTTCAGTGCTCTTATGACATTTTAGGGGGAAACAGTGGTTTCTTTAAAATAATATTTTAATCCTCCTATCTCATACTGTTTATAAGTATGAGATACTTTTGACAAACTCACTCTGTCGATCATGCTACTGCACTCCAGCCTGGGTGACAGAGCGAGTTTGTCATAAGTATCTCATACTGTTTGTCATAAGGCTACTTAATGAGTATCTAGATTTATGTAGAGAAATCTGAAAGTAAGACAAAACTAACTGAAAGCATCTTTAAGCTGCCTCTGATGAAAAGATTGACTTCAAACAAACTGGACTGAAAAAAAAAAAAAAAAAAAACCTTTTATGGCCTTGTAGAATAAGAGAGGTTTTTGTGCTTTATTTATTCATGGTCCTTTTGAGTTGAGAGGGAAAAAAGTTTTAATATTTTCAGGTTGGTATCACAAGGACTGAATAATACACTTATGAAGGCTTTCAAGAAAATGCTTGATTTGTTTCTAAAGGAGAGGCTGCTGATGGTAATTTGTGTGCTGCTGTGCAACTGGATGAGCTGGAACTGTCACCGGAAAGCCTGCCAGTTGAGGCAAATTGGAAGTAGTGTTCTGATAAGATGACATATCCACAGACATCCCCATTTGCTGTGTGTAAGCAGTTGTACCAGTAGCTGACTGTAGGTTAGAGTTCTGGTTCATATAAGTAGGATTGGAAACAGTGTCTTGTCCAGTGCTACAAACAAAATTTTAAAAAGAAAACCATATTTACTTTGCAATATATAAGGTTAGAGATCAATCATCATGACAAAAATGCCTTTTCCATCTTCTTTTTAAGCTTACGTAGCTCTGCTGTTCTGATTACAATTTAATCATTCCAGCCATTGAATACTGTTAATCAAATTTTCTTCTTCTTATTTTTGAGATGGGATCTTGCTCTGTTGCCCAGGCTGGGGTGCAGATCATAGCTCACTGCATTCTCAAACTCCTGGGCTCAAGCAATCCTCCTGCCTTAAGCCTCCTGAGTAGCTGGGACTATTTAAAAAAAATTTAAATTAGTCCCAACTAATTAAAAAAAAATTTTTGTTGTAGAGACTGGGTCTTGCTATGTTGCCCAGGATGGTCTCAAACTACTGGGCTCAAGTGATCCTCTGGCCTTGGCCTCTCAAAGCGTTGGGATTACAGGCATGAGCCACCATGCCGAGCTTGTTAATGTAATTTTTATATTTGGTAAGAAGAGAGAGGTACTTGAAAACAAACAAAATGTAAGATTCTAAGGCCAATTTAACTTCCCTTCTCCAGAATCTCTAACTAAAAACATTCAGAAACCACCTGAGGAGATGCAAACTGTTCCTGACAGAAGTACCCTTGGCCATTTGCAATGAGAATGGAGCCCTGGCTCAAGATGCCACTTTCAGCCCATATTCTCCCTTCCCCATCTCCCAATCCAGCACAAAGAAGTCCACCTCTTCTCTGTAAACATCCTTCAAGCTTTCCTTCAGTAAGGACTTTCTACTTTTAAAAGGAAAACAGCATAGTCTGTATAGGGCCCAAAATCAACCCTCAGGATAGTCCGAAACTATAGTTTCTTTATTGACACTTCACAAACTAAGCTGAAAAATCACACCAAATTGCAAGACTTGTTTGTTCCTATAACTACTGTGGCATACATTTCTCTTAAAATATATATACTTTTGGCTGGAAGCGGTGGCTCACACCTGTAATCCTAGCACTTTGGGAGGCCGAGGAGGGCGGATCACGAGGTCAGGAGATCGAGACCATCCTGGCTAACACAGTGAAACTCCGTCTCTACTACAAATACAAAAACAAAATTAGCTGGGTGTGGTGGCACGCGCCTGTAGTCCCAGCTACTCAGGAGGCTGAGGCAAGAGAATGGCATGAACCCGGGAGGTGGGGCTTGCAGTGACCCAAGATCATGCTGCTGCACTCCAGCCTGGGTGACAGAGTGAGACTCCGTCCCCAAAAAAAAAATATATATATATATATATATGTGTGTGTGTGTGTGTGTGTGTGTGTGTATACACATATATATACATACTATGCCCAGCGGTTTTAGGGCTGAGCTTGGAGGCTTATGGCTTTAATCCCAGCATTTTGGGAGGCCAAGGTGAGAGGATTGCTTGAGGTCAGCCTGCTTTGAGACCAGCCCAGGCAACATGGCAATACCCATCTCTACAAAAAATTAATAACATTAGCTGGGTGTAGTATGCGCCTGTGGTCTCAGCTACTCAGGAGTCAGAGGTTGGAAGATCCCTTAAGCCCGGGAGTTGGAGGCTGCAGTGAACTATGATCACACTACTGTACTTCAGCCTGGGTGATAAAACCCCATCTATAAAAAAAGTTTCAATAAAAAAAATTATGTAATTTTAAATTCCACCAAATATACTGCTTGCAATAAAAGAGAATTAGTTTCAAAACTACACCAGTTTTTTCTCCACAGTTCCTAGTGTTACCAAACATAGCAAAATTTTATATTTTATTCTAACTGAACACTAATATAAACAGATTTATTTAATATTCATATAATATCTAAAATTCATACTCATGGAGTTTGAGGGTGAGAAGAGACCTTATAGATCATCTACATATGATTATATTGAATGAACATTTTGTATGGTTAAGCAAAATGAATAGAAAGAAAGATTTAAATACAACTCTTAGAGTAAAAGTGTTTTTATTTAAAAAAAGAACTATAGGGCTGGGTGCAGTGGTGCATGCCTGTAATCCTAGCACTTTGAGCAGCCACAGCAGGCAGATCCCTTGAGCTCAGGAGTTTGAGACCAGCCTGGGCAACATGGCGAAACCCCACCTTGACAAAAAAATACAAAAATTAGCAGAACATGGTGGTGCTTGCCTGTAGTCCCAGCTACTGGAGAGGCTGATGAGGGTGGGTGGATAGCTTGAGACCGGGAGGTCAAGACTGTAGTGAGCTGAGATCATGCCACTGCACTCTATCCTGGGCGACTGAGTGAGACCTTGTCTTAAAAAAAAAAAAACTTGGCCAGGCGTGGTGGCTCACACCTATAATCCCAGCACTTTGGGAGGCTGAGGCGGGTGGAACATCACGAGGTCAGGAGTTCGAGACCAGCCTGACCAATATGCTGAAACCCCGTCTCTACTAAAAATACAAAAAAATTAGCTGGGCATGGTGGCGCGTGCCTGTAATCCCAGCTACTCAGGGGGCTGAGGCAGGAGAATCGCTTGAACCTGGAAGACGGAGGTTGCAGTAAGCAGAGATCTAGCCACTGCACTCCAGCCTGGGTGACAGAGGGAGACTCTGTCTCAAAAAAACAAAACAAAAAAACCTGAACTACAAATTCCACAGTTCAAACGCCCTTCTTAAGGGTCAAAGTAACAACAGTTTTCTAATTTTTAGGAGTGCATGCAGATAAATAAGTCTGGGACTACTTCACAGGCTGATTATAGCACAGTGCTAAGCACATCATGGGCTTAGTCTCATAAAGGACAATTAGCTTTTGCCCCAAGGATGCAGACTGTAAGCTTAAGGGCGGGCAATAATCTCAGTATGGGTAGCAAAGCTAAGGTAACACCATTCCACTTCACAGGATTATGAATAAACAGTTCTGTAACTTCATCTTAATAAGGGTCTATATATTCTCATTCTGAAAATCTAGGAAAATTAACACATATAAAATTAACACAGCTCCCAAAACTTACCTTAAATATGAAGTTTGAGCAGGCTGTGCTGTCACTGAGGAATTCACATTTGGAGGCAGAGATCTCAGTGGACCAATTTGATCGGGTCCTAGGCTATAGCTTTGGGCAACAGTTACTTGGTGAATGCTCTGACCCATATAGTTTCCACCATGTGATTGAACTGGATATGTCTATTAATCAGAAAGAAAAAGTTGATTCACTCATCTCCCAAACATGTGCCTAATAATATATTTAAAATGTTAAAAGACTTAAAGGAAAGAAACTATACTTCTTTGGGAAGCAATCTGATTCTACCAATCTATCCATCTTAGAACTAAAAGTGGAGAGCTGTCAAATCACAGTGCCAAATCTATGGAAATTTGATTTGTTTGGCTGTTCTTTTATTTTTACAGAGAGCTGGGAGAAAGACAGGTGGTGTACTTTTAAGTAGTGGATTGCAATCTATCCAGGTTGCCTATTACTCAGTAAAGATGTCTTGCTGTAGAGCCACAGAAAACTATACACTCCCTTGAAGGGAAGCCCACCATCACTTAAAGTCACTATAAGAATGATAACCTTCTTTACCCTCATCCCTGGATGACTCATCCAACTCCTTCCTAAGAAAGAAACTTGAGAGAAAAAGCTGAAAAAGAAATGGTATAAGGGTGCCAGGGCTTCCCTGGCAATGTCTACCTTATTCTCTACCTTTAAGACAAACAGGACAAAAGTAAAGAAGAGTTATGGGCAAAAGACATGTATCCTCAGGAAACAGCAAAAATGGTTTAGGTCTCTTTGGACATTTATATGTGCCCTACTTATTTTCAGGACAACAGCTCCTTAAGGACAGGGTCTACCACCTGTCTACTAAATATAGCATCAAAACAATGCATACATTTAATATCATATCATACCATAATGATCATCAATCCAGTTTTAAATTAAGCTATTTTTAAAGTAAATACCATTCATCTGAAAATTTAGAATGCTAGAAATGCCAAATAAGCTATATTAAGTACAATCACATTACCTCCTTAGTAGACATGTAACAATCTACTGACAATAGGCTGAGACTGTGAGAATCAGCGTCTTCTGCAGTTTAGGGTTCCTGAGTAGCCTACACAATATAACTAATGTGTTACCCCAACTGCTTCTAGTAGAGATATATTTTTGTCAAATTAGAATAGAAACTTTTGAATATTTCAAATGCTCTTGAGTGAACAGTGTAGGTACAGATTACGTGAGGAATCAAACAGAAAGTTAACTTTTTAGAGACATGAGTTGTGCTTGGCAAAACGCAGTAAGTAGAATGCAACTAAACACCAAAACCTGACACAGAATGGCAAATAACCCTTTACAGACACACAAAAAAGCAAACATAAAGTTTTATCATACAATGATGCAGACACTGCTGTTTTGTTCCACTTTCACAGCAGCAGCGAACAACTCTGAAAACAGAAGCAAACTGAATAAATCCCAAAGGTCTTTTGCAGCCAGAAAAATCTTTCCTACCCTCCTAATTTTCAAAAAGATCAAGGCATGGCATATTTGATAAATGTATCTTGTCTGACGTGACAGTTACCATAGTGACTATTCTTTTTTTACTTAACAATTATGTTGTGTCAAGTCATCTAAATTATGCACCCACATTCTACCCTTTCTCCTTGGTGTCTCCTTCACATGCACCTTTACATACCAGTTTTCATAAATTAACATGAATTTTGCTCATCCAAGCTCATTCTGAATTCAATTGGCTAATTGGCTGAAATTTCAAAAAACGCTTCCGAATGGGGATACTGACAAATGTAAGTATTCGCTTCACATGGCAAGCACACAAAAAAGGTGAAAAGTACTGGAAAAAGATGGCTTATGGATGTTCATGGATGGCTTACGGAGTCTGTACCTCCTAGACATGTATCATATCTTTGCTATGCACAGATTTTTAACAATGTAAGTCATGCAGCTAAGTAAAGGAAGTATAAAGCATACTCTAGAAGTTCATTGTGCCTGTTAATAATCATGTAAGTCAAATAAATCTTTATGGAAATTTGTAAAGAAATGTTAAATCTTGTTGAGCAGCAGGAAAGCGTTAGTACCTCACCTGGGGAACTTCTGATATGTCAGGTATTGTCCTAAATCAAAAGATTTATACTCCATATTTACAAAAAGGATTTATGTTTACATAAAAGATTTATGCTTTATACTTACAAAAGCATATGAAGAACCAGAACTACCCTCACATATTTAATGGTCTTTTCATCCATGTTAAAACTGAACTAAAATGTATTTGTGAAATATCAGTATCTGTCTAATTTGCTCTGGTGAATGTTAATTGTTTAGCCAATATTTACTGAAACAATCAAAGATAAATTTTATAATTTTATTCACAGACAAAAGAAATCTTAATACTATGCTATAAAACATTTTCTTTTACTTTTAAAAGTTGTTTATAATTTAGAAAATGTTCTCAAAAAACATGCTCACCTGCATTGGAACCCCAGATGATGCAGGTGGGTAATGTGCTGGAGGGTGGAGCTTTGAATAGACTGAGTACACTGGTGCTTCATTCACCAATTTGTTATATAGTTCCAGAGCTTCCAGGACTTTAACATTCAATTCAGACAATTCTGAATGCTTCCTGATGTAGAAGAAAAGTATTATAATACTCTTCTAGTTTTTAGCATGTATTTAGTAATATAAATTATTTTTTTAATTTAGCACAATTTCTATTAATATATTAAAAGGCTTTTTTATATTTAATGAAAGAATATTCACAAAGGGAAACTAAGAGGAAGAACTGCTTAATCCTTGTAATAGCTAGGCTGATATTGAGGCAGGAGAATAGGGTCTGGAGGCAGGGAATCTAAGGCTGATTTTCAAGCTGACTTCTTATAACTAAATTGAAAGGAAAACCAACCCTAACTTTCCACACCTAAGTAACAAAAGGACCAGAGGCTACTTCCTTTGCAAACCCCCCACGTTTTCTGTGCAGCAGATGGGAAATTGGGTGTCCGAAAAAAATCAGACTGATTACAGGTCCAGTCTCCATTTGCAACTTTGTAACTTCAGCCTCTGAATGGTTGCTGTCCACAACCAATCAGACTGACTGTGGGCGGAGTCTTCATTTGCAAAGAAATATAACTTTGTAACTTCACCCTAGCCTCTGATTGGTTGCTTTTTGCAACCAATCAGATGTTTGCACAGCAGTGTTACCTTTGTAACTTCATTTCAGCCTCTGGTTGGCTGCTTTCTGCAACCAATCAGACTGATTGTGAGCTTCCACTTCATTTACATGAGGTGAGCACGAAAAGGCCAATGGGAAACTTCTAGGGGGTACTTGGACCCAAGAAGATTCTGTATCCTGGCCCTTGAGCTGCTGCTCAGGCCCACTCCCACACTGTGGGGTGTACTTTCATTTTCAATAAAACCCTGCTTTTGTTCTTTTGTTGCTTCCATCTTTCTTTGCTTTGCTGGGCATTTTGTCCAATTCTTTGTTCAAAATGCTAAGAACATGGACAACTTGCAGTCACAATCCTCTACTGGTGACAATATGACTTTATAATATTAGGGAAAAGTCCTTCCACACCTCATAAAATGCAATCAATTCATAATTTCGGTGCTGAGAGAATTTACTTTCACACATTCTAGGTTTTTTGTTGAGAATTCAATTATTAAAAAGAAAATTCTCAATTTGGGTAAGAATCTGGGCCTTAATTAAAAATCTCAATAAAAGAAAGTACCCAGGCAAGGCTCAGAACCTCTATGAAGTACAATATGATGGAAATTTAAAAACACTTGTTAAAAAAAAACCACACACACACATTTTCATTTGTTTATATCCATGAAAGTGTCAACTGAAAAAAAAAAAACCTACTTAAATAATTATCCTTGAAAATCCAAGTAAAAACAATGTGTAAGTAAGACTAATCTCTACAGCTCATTTGTTGGTTGGTTGATTTTGAGAAAGTAAACCAATGCTTTATTATGTAATAACAACAAACCCAAATAAAAGCATCTTCAAATTTGCCCAAGAAGCTTCAGAGCAAACTCTTTCTACTTGATAGTTCCCCTGGGAGTAATAAAGAACTCTCTTTGCACTGTCAAATTTACAAAAGCTAAGCAACCACTTTTCATCTGGCCTGAAACATCCACAAGCCTTTTTACTGAATGTGGTTCTTTCTACATAAACACAGAGAGGCAACAAGCAGAGGCACACAGACAGACACAGGACTACCAAGTAAATAGCCTGGACTGAGTCCTATCAAGATTTGTCACTTTTCCTCTACTAGAGTCTGTTATGTCTGAACTACAACAACGAAAAGTCTTCTCTCTCTGGTAAGAATGACTGCATTAAGCAGGTCAAACTCTATTATCAAAAATATCAGGCCGGGCGCGGTGGCTTATGCCTGTAATCCCAGCACTTTGGGAGGCCGAGGCAGGCAGATCACGAGGTCAGGAGATCGAGACCATCCTGGCTAACACGGTGAAACCCCGTCTCTACTAAAAATACAAAACATTAGCCAGGTGTGGTGGCGGGCACCTGTAGTCCCAGCTACACGGGAGGCTGAGGCTGAGGGAAGAGAATGGTGTGAACCCAGGAGGCGGAGGTTACAGTGAGCCGAGATTGCACCACTGCACTCCAGCCTGGGCAACAGAGCGAGACTCTGTCTCAAATTAAAAAAAAAAAAAATCAGTTACAAGTCACCCAGAAAGCTACAGAAATTAGTGCCATGCTAACAAATGCATAACTAAAATGTAACCGTAGGAATTTGATCCACAAAACCCAGCATGCTGATGAAACACCAGGAAAATGCAGTAGAAAGACATGATCACTGTGTTTGAAATCCCCTTAAAGATTTGAGACACAATCCCAGAGTAATAAGGCAAAAGAGCAACTTGATCAGGTGGTAGAAAATTACCTTTGGAGGACAGGAGGAAATAAGATTAGAATAGTCTGGAACATAGTTAAGTCCAGACTATGAATCTCTCTTCAACAAATCTACCTAAACTTTTATGGAGTCAATTTACATGTTTACTCAATATAATTTCTTAGGCTGATAAAATGCTACAAAATTTCATTCTGTACAATGACAAAAATGAAATGTACAATTTAACTTTCTAACAGTAGAGATGTTTTTCTTAGTAGGAATAACAAACATGATCCATTCAAGGGAAAAAAGGATATTTTATTCATCTTTGAATACTTGACAAGGGTAAATAATAGTCAATAAGAATTTGTTGAAGAACAGGAAACATTTCCCAGAACAGGAGCTGCATCTGCAGCTGTGGCCATAGAACAAGAAAAAATGCCAGTTGGCCTATTCAAAAACTGAAACTGGTAAGAAAAATGGTTAATGGTTGAGTTCTCACTCAAAAAATTAACTAATATCAGAATGGTCACTTTGATTTTTTTTTCTTTTGAGAGCAGATCTCACTGTGTCACCCAGACTGGAGTACAGTGGTGCAACCGTGGCTCACTGCAGCCTCCTTGACCTCCCAGGCTCAAGTGATCTTCCCACCTCAGCTTCTTGAGGAGCTGGGACTACAGGCGCACACCACCAAGCCCAGCTAATCATTAAAAAATTTTTTTGTAGAGATGGGGTCTCACTGTATTACCCAAGTTGGTCTCAAATTCCTGGGCTCAGATGATTCTCCCACTTCAGCCTCCTGAAATGCTGGGATTATAGGTGTGAGCCCCCACACTGGCCTCAATCTGACTTCTAATTCTTCTAGATCTTTTCCTTTAACAAAATTCTTTTTATGAACCAAAAATAAGATTAAATTGTCATAGTTTCTGCCTTTTTTCATTATATAATATCTGCTCATATCAAGGGATAATTATCAAGGACAATGATTTCCATTGTAGAATGTGTGGACATACACTCAGCCCTCCATGTCCATGGGTTCTGCATCCGTGCACTCAACCAACTTCAAATTGAAAATACAAAAAATTAAAAAAAATTGTGTCTGAACTAAACATACAGCCACATCTATCATAATACTTTTTAATCTTTTCCAGTTTGATTATTCACTGAACATTAACATGCTGCATTGAAACAAAGTAGATGTGTAACGAGATATTTAATGCTTTCTCTAAAATATGGCAAAACTACTGTTAATTGCCACACAGATTTTTCATTTCTTTAGAAAACACAACAAATTTATTTTTAAAATGTCCCCTGGAACAAAGACGACAATCTCTGGTGACTAGGAAAAGTCCTGCTGCTACTGCACTTCTCTGGCAGAGGCAGAAAAGAAGTAGTTTATATTCTCCTTCTTATTTTGGTCCTATCTAATCTTTTCTTCTTGTGCTGCTTATATATTAATTCAATAAATACCACTAGAAAGGGATGATGATGGAATACTAAGCCCTATCCCTTGTTTTCCTTTCACTACAGGTTCTCCCTATGACTTCAGATAGAGAGCTGAGAAATAAGGGAGCAGAACCAAGTTAAAAGCTCAAAACCCTGAAAGTCTACCCCCTTCAGTGTTGCTCCTATTTTATTTTTATTTATTTATTTATTTTTTGAGACCGTGTCTTGCTCTTTTGCCCAGGCTGGAGTGCAGTGGCGAGATCTCGGCTCACTGCAAGCTCCGCCTCCTGGGTTAACGCCATTCTCCTGCCTCAGCCTCCCGAGTAGCTGGGACTACAGGCCACCACCACCACGCCCGGCTAATTTTTTGTATTTTTAGTAGAGACGGGGTTTCACCATGTTAGCCAGGATGGTCTCGATCTCCTGACCTCATGATCCACCCGCCTCGGCCTCCCAAAGTGCTGGGATTACAGGCTTGAGCCACTGCGCCTGGCCGCTCCTATTTTTAAAGGACAATAAGGGACAGGCACAGTGGCTCATGCCTATAATCCCAGCACTTTGGGAAGCTGAGGCAGGAAGATCACTTGAGGCCAAGAGTTTGAGACCAGCCTGGGCAGCACAGCAAGACCCTGTCTTTAAAAAAAAAAAAAGCTGGGCATAAGGCTGGGTGCAGTGGCTCACACCTGTAATCCCAACACTTTGGGAGGCTGAGGTGAGCGGATCACGAGGTCAGGAGTTCGAGATCAGCCTGGCTAATATGGTGAAACCACATTTCTACTAAAAATACAAAAATTAGCCGGGCATGGTGGCAGGCACCTGTAATCCTAGCTACTTGGGAGGATGAGCCAGAGAATGGCTTGAACCCTGGAGGTGGAGGTTGCAGTGAGCCGAGATCGCACCACTGCACTCCAGCCTGGGTGACAGGGCAAGACTCCATCTCAAAAAAAAAAAAAAAGAAAAAAAGAAAAACAAAACTATGTAGGATAAAATTAAAAGAGCAATAGAAACAAATACAAGGACAAGAAATGAAAAGAGAAGGTGTGATTTAGCTTCAAACACTAGAGAAATTTCATTTAAAATTTTTATAAGTACCACTTCTCATAAGAATTCAATTCTTGGCCAGGCACAGTGGTTCATGCCTGTAATTCCAGCACTTTGAGAGGCCAAGTTGGGCAGATTACAAGGTCAGGAGTTCGAGACCAGCCTGGCCAACATGGTGAAACCCTGTTTCTACCAAAAATACAAAAATTAGCCAGGTGTGGTGGTGCACGCCTGTAATCCTAGCTACTCAGGAGGCTGAGGCAGAAGAATTGCTTGAACCGGGGAGGCAGAGGTTGCAGTGAGCCGAGATCATGCCACTGCACTCCAGCCTGGGCATCAGAGCAAAAGTCAATCTCCAAAAAAACCCCAGAAAACTGTTACCTAAATAAAAAACACCAGGCTCCCCAGCCATCTTGGCAGCTGCTCTTAGTTGGGGACCCTCCTGGACTTAAGGCAGGATGGTCTCAAAGAGGAAAAAGTCAGTGGAGTTGATTAACTCTAGGCTCCAACTTATGAAAAGTGGAAAGTATGTGCTGGGGTAAAAGTAGACTCTGAAGATGATCAGAAAAGGCAAAGCAAAATTGGTCATCCTCACTAAAACTGTCCAGCTTTGAGGAAATCTGAAATAGAGTGCTATACAATGTTGGCCAAAACTGCTGTCCATCACTACAGTGGCAATGATGGGCACGGCATGCAGAAAATACTAGAGAGTAGGCACACTGGCTATCACTGATCCAGGCAGTTCTAATATCACTAGAAGCATGCTAGAACAGACTGGTTAAAAGTAAGCCATGCAAAATTTTTATTTAATAAAACTTGTCAGAGCTTGTTTTTTAGAAAAACAAAAACAAGATAAAAAGCACCACCTTGCTATAAATTTGTTAAAAGCCTGGGAAACTGAAAAACAATTTCCATGAATTGTACAGTTCCACAAAAACTTTCCCTACTTTACTGTTTGCCAAAACACAAGTGAACCCCCCAAAACTATACTTTTTATTCCTGCACGAAAAATCTCACCTATCAATTTCTTCAAGTTTTTCATCTATCATTGGACCCATCTGTTGGCAGATATCTGTAAATACAAAAATACTTACAAATATAGAAACTTAATCCAGTTTAAGCCAATTTCAACAATTTTTAACAATATAGCACCAATATACAACACTATGCATAATACACACAGATTAAGCTCATGCTAGAGAAAGACTACTATTCAGCACTACTACTACATATTACTATCATGTGACTAAAAGCAAGGTCAACTTTAAAATAAAAACCTCATTATGTTTTCTTGAAACTATTAACTAAGTTGACAGACTGTGAAATCTGGAGTTATCCCAAAGTCTTAAAGACATCTAGAAAACTATGATTAGTTAACTAAAACAAACTTAAGCCACAGTATATAAACTATGTAACCTTTGCCCATCAGATATGAAGATTTTTCATTTACTTAAGACATTTCAAGATTAAACATACTGTGTATTTCCCAATGTGAACACTGACACAATAAAGAGCACAACGCTGTATTCTATATTCATAACCAGATGTTTCTTCTATATAAAGATTTAAGAAGAATTATTTACCAGAGATTCTTATCCCAAAAGATTTTTTTTAAAGCATAAAAAACACGTTTTAATTGTTCTCACATTTCTTAGAGACTAAAAGACACATCAACATGCATCAATTGACTATGTTATGAAGTTAACAATTATCATGTATAATTTTGTCCTTTAAATTCATAATACAAGAACATTAAACAGCAATAAGCATTTTAAACATTTTGACTCAATTTGATGTACTGTTATTTTTAATTCTGTCCTTTTTTGGACTGCAAAAATCTTCAGCCAATTTTACTAGTGGGCTTAAAGAAATACAAATACTTGCTTTATGAAAAGGATTTGCAGGTTTATGACAATGCCTTCCAAGTAATACTTTTACTATTTTACTGTACTAGTCTGTTCCCCACCGGAGATTTCTAACCTCTAGAGGCAAATACAAGGCAGAAGAAACTGAAGACATCATGAATAGCTAAAATATTAAATAATATTAAAATAATATAAAATATTCACTAAGTACCTTCTAAATCCAAAAGGTCTTGGGAGTCTGGTTTTGAATCTGTTGGATCTATACTCTGAAGTACCTGCAGGGCTCTATCCATCTTATCCTAAAAAAGTAACAGGACACTTTTCAAAAACTCAAGAGTTTTAACTTCAGTAAATATGAAATTACTCTTTCCAAGCATTCTCAAAGATAGTACATTTAAATGTCTTGATAGTTTAACTATTAAACAAAAGAGGGACCCTACCTCATCTATATAAACAGGCTCAGGCTCTGATTTCTTAATTTCCTCCACATCATCATCAATTACATTCAATTTGTCCACAGCCGCTATAGAAACAAAGTAATTTTAAGTTCCTCAGCATTTACTTCAGTAATTTTAGTCATTAATTTATAAGTGGCCTATGATTGTCCATAAGAAAAAAAAATAAAAGTCCTTCAAATATTCACCACATTTTATAATCAATATTACATACGTTTATTACATACGTTTGGTCATTTATTTCACAAACATTTATTTAGTACTCATTATGTGCCAGGCATTGTTCTAGGCATTTATACAGACACCGGTGAATAAAACAGACAAGAATCCCTAACCTCTTGGAACTTAAAATTTTAGTGGAACAAGTGTACAATATAAACAGCAGCTGACATTTTAGGCATTTTCCTGAAAACTGAGTGTTACCACTGGGGTGAATAAATATATGACAGCAGACTATTATCTAGCAGATTATTAACTAGCTAATTTCATAGTTACATCTACGAGTTCCTTCTACACTCTTCCCTTCTATTTAAAAAAACTATTTCCTATATGAACAAAAAATAAAACTTATTTTAAGCTAACTTCGATAATAGTTAAAACAACACTAAACACAAAAGTTTTTCATGAAGAGAAGGTTGAAAAAAAACTTACAAATACATAAACCCAGAAAACTATTTAAATGTTCCCTGGAGTATTGCTAGAATGTACCATATTTTAACAAAGTAAATTTTGGTAAAAATAAAACTACAATAAAAACCTATGTAGCCAAACAATTTTAAATCCCAACTGTTAGTCATTTATTTCAAATATTTGGCTAACTTTCAAAGAACAGAAGTCAGCATAACACAAGGATAAACTGAAAATCCACAATATTTTTTCCTCTTAATACTCTCCAGCCTATGTCAAGGAGAAACTGCTATATAGAATCCCCTGAGCATGATCTATAAAGTTATTTTTTAAAGGTATCTCCAATATTCCTATCTACTTAGAGAGTCAGTTAAAAGGAATAAAATTATAAATAATGGCAAAGTACTCTATATTCAAATCAGTGAGTATCAACCTCTCACGACTTCATTTTTCTGAATGTATCACTCTACACATACAAAGACGATGTTACACATGCATAATGCTTTCATTTGAAGTTCTTTCTCCTGAACTGGCAAGGACTAGCACTGATATATCCCTCAGTGAGTCATTGTTAAGGTCAAACTGACTGACTTTAGAATCCTGGCTCAATCACTTACTAGACACATAATCCCTCAGCCTCAGTGTCCTTATCTGTAAGACAGGGCAACAAAAGTAGCTATCTCACAGAACCGTGAGATTGAAATGCAATAGTACAGATGACTTAGCACAATGCCTGACAAATAATGAATGCTCAAAAACCAGTAACTATTTCTGATTACCATCATTAGTACTATTACGAGCTGTTCCTTTACACTCAGATCCCCCCACCTCCCTACCTGAATAACAAATGGAATGCTTTCTCAGCATGGTTGACAATGGCTAAAGTGACTAAAATGGAACTGTCTGTGGCTGCAGACTGACTAAAGTTCAGCAGATCTGAAACAGGAAGCTTAGTGGCTTGATTACATTACTTTGTTGTTATTGTTTCAAGCTCCCTAGGATCAAATCAAGGTGAGGAAAGGTCTAAAATTTAGGAGTACTCCTAACCCCAGTAATCATATTCGGCACTTGCCAACCACAACCTCCCCACACCACTCCCGCTTTGCCTCTGTGGTTCACTGATGAATCAAAACACTCTTTGTACAGAATAGATATGAACTGCCTCTTACACTACATAGTTAGGTTGATTTAAATACCTGCATGGTCACAAATGATTTTATGCCTGACATTTAACTATGTATGCTAACTCTCAGAGGATGTAAAATAAGAGGAAATAATTCTTGGGATTGACACAGGCTAAATTAACCCCTTAATTTGGTTAAAAAGTAGGTTAGATTGTCATGCCTATAAAGAAATGATTTAAAACAAAAGTTAAATGCCAATCTACTTTACATCCAAAACTGAAACATAAAATTTAAGTGAAAAAAACTTAAATAGATCTAATGTCGTCTAAGATTTAACTTACCTGCCTCAGTCTCTATGTTTAAATTAGTTGTTACAAAATTGGATGGGAAAAGTCCTATTCCTCTGTGATTTTCTCCTTTCCACCAATTGGCATCACTAAAAATACAGTGCAAAAAATATCATTTGTTCCCCACATTTTAATACAATAAGCAAAGATGAATTAAAAATTAAATTTAGCCTCCTTTGAATATATCCGTTTACAAGCAGCTATAATTGAGTCATTTTTCTTAAATTTAATAAACGATATTAAAAAGTACAAGTAAAACAAATATCCACATCCCTATATCTAAACTTAGAACCAGCCAGGCGCAGTGGCTCACGCCTATAATCCCAACACTTTGGGAGGCCAAGGTGGACAGATCACCAGAGGTCAGGAGTTTGAGATCAGCCTGTCCAACATGGTGAAACCTCATCTCTATTAAAAATACAAAAATTAGCCAGGCATGGTGGCACACACCTGTAGTCCCAGCTACTTGGGAGGCTGAGGCAGGAGAATCGCTTAAACCCGGGAGGAGGAGGTTGCAGTGAGCCAAGATGGCACCACTGCACTCCAGCCTGGGTGACACAGCAAGACTCGTCTCAAAAAAAAAAAAAAAAAAAATTAGAACCAATTAGCAATTAATCATTTTTTATTCTGGACTTTAAAAAAGTAAGGCCGGATGCAGTAGGTCATGCCTGTAATCCCAGCACTTTGGGAGGCCGAGGCGAGTGGATCACCTGAGGTCAGGAGTTCGAGACTAGCCTGGCCAACATGGCAAAACCCTGTCTCTATTAAAAATACAAAAATTAGCCGGGTGTGGTGGCAGGTGCCTGTAATCCCAGCAACTTGGGAGGCTGACGCAGGAGAATCGCTTGAACCAAGAAGGCAGAGGTTGCAGTGAGCTGAAATCACGTCACTGCACTCCAGCCTGGAGGATAGAGACTCTGTCTCAAAAAAAAAATAATAAAATTAAAAAATTAAAAAGTAAACAGGAAACACAAGTGCCCTTTAGTAATGACCCCAAATCCCAGCACCACATCCATCTTACCACACTGCCACAATAAAGTTGGTAGCCTTCTTGTCAGTCTGTTTTTTGTTCTTTTACACGTATCTATAGCCAAGTCCATATAGAAACAGACACAGATGCTAATCCATACAGACCTTTTTAATTTTATATATTAATACTTTCAAATTTTGCTTATTCCTTTTAAATTAAAATTCCAACACACGAATAGGCCATATTTATCCATTCCTGTAGAGATGGACATTTAGGTTGATTCCAGTCTTTCACCATTACAAAGATAAGGTAATGATCATCCTAGACTTGAGGACACCCATGCAACAATTTCTCTGCGCTTATTCACAGACGTGAACTTGCTGGGATTTAAGAATATAAACATTTTTCTTTTTTTTTTTTTTTTTTTTGAGACGAGGTCTTGCTGTGTCACCCAAGCTGGAGTGCAGTGGCACGATCTTGGCTCACTGCAACCTCTCCCTCCCAGATTCAAGAAATTCTCCTGTCACGGTCTCCCAAGTAGCTGGGACTACAGGTATGCACCACCACACCTATTTTTGTATTTTTAGTAGAGATGGGGTTTTGTCATGTTGGCCAGGCTGGTCTCAAACTTTATCTTAAGTGATCCGCCTGCCTCAGCCTCCCAAAGTGCTGGGATTACAGGTGTGAGCCACCGCACCCGGCCATAAGCATTTCATTTTACTAGATATTGCCAAATGTTCCCTAGAATGGCTGTGAAAATTCACCTTTCTCCTCCCCCCGGTTGCATGTAACAATGTCATCTTCCCTTATATGTGATAATTTTCCCAACTAACACTTGATAATCAGACAGGAGAGAAATCGTATTTCATTGTATGCACTTGCATTTCCCAAGCATCTACTTGTGCTTGCTAGCTATTCAGATTGCCTTTTCTGTAAACTGCCTTTTTTTTCGTATTTTTGCCCACTTTTCTTATTCTACTGGATCATTTGTCTTTTTTCATGGATCTGTAGAAGTTCTTTACACATTTTGGACAGCAGTTGTTTGTCTGAATTATGCAGAGAACTTCTTCTAGGCTGTCGCTGTCTTTTCAGCATATGTTTATGGTTTCTTTAACTGTACAGTGGTTTTTTCCCCTATGCAATCAAATTTGGCAATCTTTTCTTTCATGGCTTATGCTTTTACCCTTTTCTACCCTTAAACTCCTAAATCTATTCTCCTATATACTTAACTGTAGTTTTAGTTTTTTTATTTTTTTTTTCCCTCTCCCATGTTTAGGTCTTTAATTCATTTGGAATGAAATTTTAATGTACTATGTGAAACTGATCAAAATTTTATCTGTAGTATAAAAAGAGCCATTCATCACAGCAAAATTTATTAAATAGTCCACCATTTTTTCTAGTAATTTATAATACCCTACCTTTCAAACAGTAATCTATTCATGAGCCTATTTCTAGACTCCATTCTGTTGCAATAGTCCATGTATCTGTTCACACATCTTGTTAATGTACCTTAATATCTGCCAGGGAAAATACCCTTTCTATGTTACTCTTTCTCATTTATTGCACACCTTCAAATTTCCACATTAATATTAAATTACTTTTCAAGTTCTCTGGGGAAAAAGTCCTGTTGGGATTTGAACTGGAAATGCACTGAAATTATGCAATAATATAAGAAAAAAGAAATCTTTGCAATATTAAGGTTTCTTCCCTATGAACATGGTATCCTCCATTTACATTTATGTAAAACATAATATGTAAAAATATATTTATATTCTTTTATAGCTTTCAAATAATTTTATAATTTAATCCATAAAGACCTTACATATCTTTGTTAGGCTTATTCATTTCTAGATCATTTATATAATTTTTGTTACTACTGAGAATGACTTTTTTTTACTACATTTTCTAAAAAGTTGTAATTAAAGCATACTACTGAGTTTTGTATGTTGAGCTTGTATCCAACAACCTTTATGAACTCCTACCACTTGTAATAGTTTATCCATCGGACTCTTGAACTTTCTATATGGAAAATCATAGTATCTGGAAATAATGATAATTTTATCTATTCCTTTCCAAAAATCTGACTTATTGAATAGACATTCTTAAGTATGAGTCTTATGGATGAATTAATGTCTATGATTATGAAACATCATTTCATTTATGAGCACTAGAAAGAGACGAAAGAGTTATATATCATCCAAGTTCTTAAAGCCAGAAAATAACTGATGTATTGATGTACTGACAGTTCTAAGATATCATATCTGCAAATATCTATGGAAGATAGGAAAAATTTTCTTTCTCTTACAAACACATTTTTAAGTTAACTTTTCATTTTGAAAAGGAGAGCTGAACTTGAGAAATTTTTGTATAAAACGAGAAAACCCAAACCTGTGAAATGGATGCAAGCGTTTTATATGAACCTACCAACAACTGTATGTGTGTACCCTTCCTTAGTGGTTCTACCAATATAGGATAATTTTCCTCCCAGCCACTACTACAAACTCTTTGATGAAGCATAAAAGTAGGCAAAGCAACCAAATTGACAACTCCTTCCCAGCCCTAATCCAGCTCTATATTCTCTCCACTGACTACAAGTTGATTCTATGGAATGTTGATAGCAAAAAAACATTGTTCAAGCTTAAATTCTCAAATTAAAGAAATTGGCACTCTAATTTTACACAAACCATTTAATAATTAAAGAAAATTTTAATGTAGCATTTATATTTAGAGCTTTTTATATTAAAAAAAGAATAAATCACAACTGAGTGAAAAACAAAAAATGATACAAGTGTAAAGAACATAAACCTCACCTTCAACAAACATTATTCAGCTAACATTTATGAAAACCTACCATGGAGAAAATAGTACCTTCAGGCTAAGCACTGAAATTACAAAGATAATTAAGACACCATTTGTGCCCTCAAGAAGTTTAAAATCTAGCACAAAGCTGTAGTCCCAGCTACCCAGGAGGCTGAGGGAGGAGGCCTGCTTGAGGCCAGGAGTCCAGGCTGTAGCGTGCTATGCTCACGCCTGTGAATAACCACTGCACTCCAGCCTCGGTAACCCAGTCATACCCTATCTATAAAAACAAGAAAAAAAAATCTAGCAGTGTTTTACAATCTCTCCTACAGAACTGACTAAAAATATGTTATCTTGCTTTACCTTCAGAATTTTTCTCCTTTCTCCTTCCTCCCACCCAAGGAAGTCATGAGCCTCTTCAGAATCAACTGATTTAGTAGAGAGACATACGTAAAGAAGCGCAGTTTGCCCTCTGTATCTGGCAAGTGCTACATCCATGGACTCAACAAACCCCAAATCAAAAGTATTCATGAAAGATAAACAAAAATGACAATAGAACAACAAAAAAAATTTTTAATACAATATATTGTATTTAAAAATACAATATAATGATTTGCATAGCATTTACATTGTATCAGGTACTATAAGTTATCTAGAGATAATTTAAAGTATACAGGAAGATGTGTGTAAGTTATATGCAAATATGACGCCATTTTATATCGAAGACTTGCATCTGTGGATTTTGGTATCAACAGGGGTTCTGGAACCAACTCTCTAAGGAACTGAGAAATGACTCTATTTAAAATACAGTATGAGAAATGCTGTTACATATGTTCAGAGAGCTATAGCTCAAAGAAGAGAACTCTTAACTCCACTGGGAGCTAAAAAGCAGAGAAAGGTTGAAAGGCTTCTCAGAGGATATAAAATCTGACACGGGTTTTGAAGGTTAAGTAGGCACTTGCCAGGAGGAAAAGAAAATTAAGTCTGTGGAAATAAAAATGACATTTTGCCCTCCTGCCATTATTGATAAGCAAGAAAACAAGGCACGAACAAACAAAAAACTCTGCACTCTGAGATAAAACAAAAAATGTTACCATATTTAGTTTTAGGTCTCAAAGTACATAAAAACTTGAGCCTTTCCTTTTAACTACTGATTTCTTAACAAAAAGTACTCACCTGCTAACTTTTGCAATGACAATGACTGAAGGTAGTGATGTCCTTTATGGATATAATTATCACGTGAGAAAACTGCTATTTCTACCATGAACATATAAATAGCAAACCTGGAAAAACCTGGTAACCTTGTGGGGGTCTTTTCCTTAAAATACCTGTTTTACTTTTTAACATGGGGAGGCAACTTTTCTAAAGCCTGGACTCCCTTGCAAACTGTCCTTGAAAGTAAAGTTCTTTTCCTTTTCTAAATGCTTTTACCTCCTTCAGCAGGGCTTTCCAGGCAGACAGAACCAAAGGTGCAATGCTACAGAGGACTAAGCAGAAAATGGCATTTTTGGAACTGCAAGAATTCCACTTGATTATTTGAAATGGTACACAGAAAACAAACATGGAGTGGGCCAGGCACAGTGGCTCACGCCTGTAATCCCAGCACTGTGGGAGGCTGAGGCGGGTGGATCACTTGAGGCCAGGAGTTTGAGACCAGCCTGGCCAACATGATTAAACCCTGTCTCTACCCCTAAAAATACAAAAAATTAGCCGGGCATGGTGGTGCACACCTGAATTCCCAGCTACTCAGGAGGTTGAGGTGGGAGAATTGCTTGAACCTGGGAGGTGGAGGTTGCAGTGAGCCAAGATCACGCCATTGCACTCCAGCCTGGGCGACAGAGTGAGACCCTGTCTCAAAAAAAAAAAAAAAAAGAAAAGAAAAGAAACATGGAGTGGTAAGATAAAGCTAAAAGTGTAGAAAGTAAAACGCTTTTCTTGATATACTCCATTAATAAAAAATGTGCGCCTTTGGGCCGGCACAGTGGCTCACGCCTGTAATCCCAGCACTTTGGGAGGCCGAGATGGGCAGATTACCTGAGGTCAGGAGTTTGAGATCAGCCTGGCCAACATGGCGAAACCCTCTCTACTAAAAATACAAAAATTAGCTGGGCATGGTGGCGCATGCCTGTAATCCCAGCTCCTGGGGAGGCTGAGGCAGGAGAATCACTTGAACACAGGGGGCGGGGGTTGCAGTGAGCTGAGATGGCACCACTGCACTCCAGCCTGGGCGATAAAGCAAGACTCTGTCTCAAATAAATAAATAAGAAATGTGCACCTTTTCTATCAGCTCAATGTTTTTTTGTTTGTTTGTTTGTTTGTTTTTTTGAGACAGAGTCTCGCTCTGTCGCCCAGGCTGGAGTGCAATGGCACGATCTCGGCTCACTGCAACCTCCGCCTCCCGGGTTCCAGCGATTCTCCTGCCTCAGCCTCCCAAGTAGCTGGGACTACAGGCGTGCGCCACCATGCACGGCTAATTTTTGTATTTTTAGTAGAGACAGGGTTTCACCATATTGACCAGGGTGGTCTCGAACTCCTGACCTCGTGATCCGCCCGCCTCAGCCTCCCAAAGTGCTGGGATTACAGGTGTTAGCCACCACGCCCTGCCAGCTCCATGGTTCTTAAATGGAGATCCAAGAATGATATATTTTCAAGGGACTTCAAGGGACTTCTGTGTGTGAAAATTTTATGCTTCAAATTCCACAAAAGTATAAAAACAATGAATAGAGTCATTTTCTGGATGACTTCCTTTTAACCGAAGACTGTCATTTAACTTTAGCATGCAAGTTTGCATTTGTCTACCAGCGATTACCAATCACCTAAAATGACAATATTTTACCCATAAGCATGCTTACAGCAACTATAAAAGTAGGGTGTCCTATCGTCAAAATGACAGCAATTGACCTACAAATTCCATCACATTCATGTTGAATTCTCTTAGCAGTTACAAATAAAAAAGTTCTTTTTTGAGGTGATAAATCTTAACTGAAAATTGTTTTGTGAGCAGTAATTTATTTTAGAAAATTTTGTTATATAAAGTAATGCTCTAAATTAAAATCTTAGACAAAACCACTCATTTTGTTTTTATTTTATAAATATCTTTAACTTCATAGTTGTATAAGAGTATCAAAACGGTAAACCTAAGTTCTTTTGTAAGTACTCTAACTAAAAGACACTCATAAGCCTGACATTTCAGACTGTCAGTGTTCAGAGCCCACACTATCTCTCCATCTTTACAGACAGTGTCAAACTCATGATGGCATGACTTACGATGGTGCAAAAGTGATACACACTCAGATACCCATAAACCATTCTGGTTTTTACTTTCAGTACAGTATTCAATAAGTTACATGAGATATTCAATACTTTATTATAATAAATAGGTTTTGTGTTAGATGATTTTGCCCAACTGTAGGCTAATATAAGTTGAGAAACATCTGTATTTCTATCTATTCTCCTTCAGGGATCATGGTGTTCCACTCCAAATGATTATTTAAAAAATTTTTCTTTATGGAAAAAAGATTTTCTAAGTGAAGATGGTACTATCTTGATTGCCTAAGAGACCTTCCTTTTCCCATCCTCAACTTCTTGCAAAATTTTTTATCTTATCAAAACCAATCAAGATACACACCTGAAATGGAGCCGCAGGATAAGCCTTCTTTGCCAGATGCTTGCACCAAGTGTAAATCTGCTATCTGGGCTCCAACAGCACCTCTTTTATGGTATTCACCACATTCTGCCTTCCATACAATTGTCTATATGGTAATTTTAACTCCCTTATTTTATTCTAGGTTTTATGAAGACAGAACTGTGTCCTCATTTGTTATTAAATAGTTGATTACATAACATTTTCTCAAGAAATATTTACCACAGTAAAGTAAAACCATTATTTATCTACCCTTTATTTAAAAAATACTAGAAATATATTAGACTAGTGTGTTATAAATAACTAAGTTATTTATAATGGATACCAAATACATCTGCAATCTGTGTTCACAGCAACAAGCTTACTTCTCACTCTTGCTAAATTTCATGAATTTCTTTTAAAAGTACAGAACAGTATTAAGCTCTACAGAGATTGATCTATTTTTTATGACAGCTTTAAATGGCAGAGAAATTCTGAGGAGAATACAGTAGTAGATTAAGAATTGGGGAGGAGCCAAGTATAGCTTTTGGTGCTCTGATCAAGGGTATATTGCTGTATTTCTTCCTAAAGTTTTTCTGCCAATAATTTCAGTACACACAACTGCCAACGTAAACATATTCAAGTAACTGAGTATTTACATGTTTCCCAATTGTGGTCATCAACAATATTATTTAATACATCTTTCATCCAAGATATAAATTATCAAATATAACAAACATAAATTATCAAATATAACGAGAAGAGGCTCACATTACATGCCTAACTTTTATTTTAGAAAAAACAAGGTATGAAATGGTTCTATTATGATTTAAATACACTAAAAGTCAAAGAACTGAATACTCTGGATTCTAAATTAAGGGCATTACACTTTAAACCTTCCCATAAAGATTTAAAACTTACCTGTCATCCAAAACAATAATTATTTCACCATGTTTAAAGGTGAGTTCATTGTCCTCAACAGCTTCAAAATCATATAAAGCTCTCACTTTCCGTGCAACCTTATTATTTAACTGAATTTCTGAAGATGGATATAAGGATTTTGTTTCTGTGTGTTGCTGTTTCTGTTCTTGCAGCGATAATTCAATAGCTAGTTTCAAAAATTAAAATGCAAAGAAACTGGAATTAATTTTGATAAAATAAACATTAGATGACAATGTAAAATTTAATAAGAATAAATCAAGCATTTTATTTGTCTAATTACATGCTACAGTTAACTTTCGGGAGGGTGGGGCAGGGCAGGGAACCATGACATTTTTAAAATAAAGTTTTTGCTCATTCTTTATTATCACGGTCTGTCATACACAGCAGCAATTATTTTTATAGCAAACAGATTGTGACATTATAATATGGGTAGCTTTCCATATAGGATAAGCCATGAACATATTTCTCTGCTTGACTCATAACTTTGGCATTAAAAAAAGGTGAAATGTAATCTCTCCAAAGGTAGCACATCAAATACATATTACTGAAAAAAGATAATGAATTAAATTCATTTGATAGCATGTCATTTGTTTTCCTTACTTTTTGGATGCTACTAGTTTTTAGATTTGAGGTAAAAATAAAAGTATGCTAGTTTTATTATCATTTTTATTTCAAAAAAATGTTCTGGCAAATACATATATATATTTTTTGAGATGGAGTCTCACTCCATCGCCAGGCTGGAGCACAGTGGTGCCATCTTGGCTCACTGCAACCTCCGCCTCCTGGGTTCAAGCGATTCTCCTGCCTCAGCCTCCCGAGTAGTTGGGACTACAGGCGCCCGCCACCACGCCCAGCTAATTTTTGTACTTTTAGTAGAGATGGGGTTTCACCTTGTTGGTCAGGCTGGTCTCGATCTCTTGACCTCATGATCTGCCCACTTCGGCCTCCCAAAGTGCTGGGATTACAGGCGTGAGCCACCGCGCCCAGCCCTGGCAAAGATATTTTAAGCAACACTAAATTACATGTGCTTGATCATTTACCTTTAGCTATGTCTTCATCCTCTTTGTTTTTGTTCGATGACGTACCATTCTTGGCAGCAGCTGAGACAGTCTGTAAATGTATGAGTAAAATGAACACAACTATCTTTTCAAACAAAACACAAGCTCCATAATTACTTGCAGATGGTAAATTTTAAAAAATACTGATATAACTGAGTTTCATTTAAAAGTGAAGTTCTTTTTTGAGACAGGGTCTCATTCTGTCAGCCAGGTTGCAGTGCATGGCACAGTCATAGCTCACTGTAACCTCCAACTCCTGGGCTCAAGTGATCCTCTTGCCTCAGCCTCCTGGGAAGCCGGAACTAGAGGTGTATGCATCCACAACCGGCTAATTTTTATTTTTTGTAGAGACAGGGTCTCACTATGTTTCCTGGGCTGATCTGCAACTCTTAGCCTCAAGTGATTCTCCTGTCTCAGCCTACCAAAGTGCTAAGATTACAGGCATGAGCCACCATCACTGGTCTAAAAGTGAAGTTCTTTATAATAATTTTAAATAATTGTTTTCAAATACTAAAATAAAACATCAGATTTTTCAAGAAAACATTATAAACTCACACAGGGATCAAACTGGCTTAGATTTTGCATAAATGTAACACAGAACTTGGCATACAGAAAGTACTTAAATATTAATAGAATTTAAAAAAGACTCTTTTCTGATTGTATTCCCGATCTCAATTGTCCAAGGTCTCTTAGTGAGAGGAGCTCTGCTATAGGAGTACAGCTACACGAGGAGTGCCAGCAAGAAGTCATGATCATCACTGAAGAGAGAGGAATGGGGACAGAGACAAGAGGTGCAGTTCTAGGAATATGTGTGAAGTCCTTTTACTAGTTATTGTGGCTGGGTGGCAGTGGTCTGCCAGACATAGCAGAGAAGTAAGGAAGGTCATGCTTGAATTTAATAAACAGCATGTAAGACAGGTATCCAGGACTGATCCATCAACCGGTTCTTTACATAGATTTTTCAGAAAAATATGCAGAAAGGACAGAACAGGAAAATGTTTCCTTTTTATTACTTATAAGACTCTTATCTCAAAACGTTACCTTGTACCCTTAGGTCTGGTCAGCTATAAAGAATCTTTTTTCGGCCAGCGTGGTGGCTCATGCCTGTAATCCCAGCACTTTGAGAGGTCGAGGCAGGTGGATCACCTGAGGTCAGAAGTTTGAGACCAGCCTGGTCAACATGGTGAAACCCCGTCTCTACTAAAAATACAAAAAATTAGCCGGGCATGGTGGTAGGCACCTGCAATCCCAGCTACTCTAAAGGCGGAGGCAGGAGAATTGCTTAAACCCGGGAGACAGAGATTGCAGTGAGCTGAGGTTGTGCCACTGCACTCCAGCCTGGGCAACAAGAGCAAAACTCCATCTCAAAAAAAAAAAAAAAAAAATCTTTTTTTCTCTTTAATCTATGATTTAAAATAAAAGAAAATATAGTACTTCTCATCGTCTCTTTCCCTAGCCCATATCTTAATATTAATGGGAAGGAATAAGGTACTGAGAGCAAAACCCAAGGAATAGTATTTTTCTCCCCTAGACCTAAAAAAACCAGCCCACTCCATGAGTCAACATCCCTGCCTCCACACCCCAGTTCTACTAAAGCTATCCCTTCTCCCAGCAAATAAATTTCTAGTCTTACATTTCCATCCATCTTGTATGTGAAGCATTCACTCTAGGCATATTCACTCTTGAACAAACAAGTCTTGAGCCTCTCAATTCCATGAATTTGTTCATTTCACTTACCTCCTGATATGACTTCTTCACTTCTCTCTAACAAAATATTAATACATTCAAGTCTCAAAATTCTACCTCTTTACCTTCTTCACCATTCCAATCTGTAGTCACCTCTTTCTCTCTTTGGTATTAAGATAGACAGTATGCAGTCTATTCCCCTCATCCTGTATTTGTCACTTACAATCTAAATTAGTTATTTTTCACATGTATAAAGCTATCATTCAAATTTGCTACAAATTTCTTGAATATAAGGGGTATGTCATATACCTATGCCTTTTGCATGACTGTAGACTTAGAGGAACATTAAATACACTATGTCTGATTAACTTCACAAGGTTCTGATATGTGGAAGAAATACACATAAAAACTAGAATGTCTACTAAACGTAAGGAAGGCACTATGCTAGAGAGTCATTTGGGAAGTAAAGGTGGAAAATGATAATCTAGACATACCTTGCCTAGTCTTTACATAACATACATACCTTCAAAATATTATAGGGTCAACCATGGGTCTGAATAAATCTCTCACCTGAGAACCTGCTGGAGGAAAAGTAATTCCTTCTTCTTTCATAGATTTAATAGTTGCAGATATCAGACTAAACTGAGGGTCCTTCTGAAATTCTTCTGACCACTCCACCATTAAAGATTTCAGTTTTTCACATACTTTAGGATGTGCCTTTTAAGGAAAAGGAAAGGAAAATAAACAAAAATCTACGGTTAAAATAAGTACTTAAATTATTTAACAAGGAGAATTACCATCAAAATTCTCTTTAATTATATGAACATCAACAAAAGTCCTGAAATTTCTAGCCTAGTTGAGTAATTGATAGATGCCTATTTACATGTTGTGATATAGTTGTTTCATACAAAATGACTGTTTTTAACACCAATTCCTAAGTCTTACTATAATGACAACAGATCTTTTATATTCAGAGATTATTTCCTCCATGTTTCGGAGAATGGAGCCAGAGAAACCTGGATGTAAATCATGGCTATTCCAGTTACCAGCTGCATGACCTTGGACAAGTTACTTCTAAGTCTCAGTTTTTGCATTTATAAAATAAGAATGATAAGGGAATCTAACTTCCAAGAATCTAATGCTCCAAGGGTAGTTAAGAGCATTCAACAAGACAGTATATGTAAAATGCTTAAAGTAATGACTACTTACTAGCCCTCAAAAAGGATTTGCTATTATTTACAGTATATATACTTTGGGGAGAATAGTTTTTGGTGCTACACATTAAAAAATCAAATTTCAGAACAGTTTATTTCATTTCAATGATCTAAAAATGACTTCATTTATAATACTTTAGTAATGCCACATATAGTTATAATGACACACAATCTACATTTTTTTAATGACTTAAAGTTCTTCTGTTTTTAAAATTTACCTTATTTTTAATCACAGCACGTACTTCTGTTGCAAAATCACGGGAACATACTTCTAAATGAAATATCTTTCCACAGTTTGCCACACAAGCCCCAAGAAGCTATTAATTGAAATAAAAATATATGAATATTGAAATATTAACTTACTGTAATTAAAAACACATTTAAAATTTGCGTCAAATAATAACATGCCTTGTACTCACAGTTAGTGCTTGCAGAGCAACATGTGGAACCTTATGATTTACCCTTTTCATTATGGCTTTTAGGCAATCTTTCGCTCTAAAAAAAAAAAGAGAGAGAGAGACAGTTAAGTATTTACTGATAAATTTAATTCAAACATTAAGGTATTATTCTATTACCAAATAATTTTATATTTAATGGCTCATGCCTGTAATTCCAACACTTCGGGAAGCCAAGGCGGGAGGATCACTTGAGCCCATGAATTTGAGACCAGCCTGGAAAACAAAGTAAGATCTCATCTCTATAAAAAACTTAAAAATTAGCTGGGCATGGTGGCATGTGTCTGTACTCCTAGCTACTCAGGAGGCTGAGGCAAGAGGACTGCTTGAGCCCAGGAAGCTGCTGTGAGCTGTGTCATGCCACTATACTCCAGCCTGGATGACAGAGACCGTGTCTCAAAATAAAGAAAGTATAAAATAAAAATAAACTAAACTAAAATCCTGGAAATTTCATATTGTTAAAGGAATAAATCTATAAAATGATTTTACACAATATTTTGTTTATAGGCTCATAGAACTTTAAAAAAAAAAAGCATGTTGCAAATGTTGTGTATTCCAAAATTAAGAGACAAACCATTTCACAAAAGATCTGTCAACACAAGAGACGTATACCAGATCTTTCTATTTCTTCAAGACAGGTTTAGCTTTCAAACAGCAAAAGCTTATCTTGAAAAAAATCTAACATGATATACAATTTTAAGAGGTTCAAGTATAAACATGTGAATGTACTATGAAAAGCTTTAATGTTAAAACAAATGCTTTCATCACTCTTCTAAATTTCTAACATATAGTTCAGCTAATTGCCACATCTCCCCAAAAGCACTTTTTTATATTCACTTTTTTCATTGTTAATCTATTATATTTATATGTATATTATTTGAAGACTTTTTTGTTATATTATCTACTGTGTTATCTACTTCATTATTTAAAAGTTCCCATACATATAGAAGTCCCAGAGGAATTCCTTAAATAACTCACCTATACATTGTTATCATGTATCCTATTGTGTCAAGGCTTTAATTATGTGTGTTACTATAGCAGATTTTCAGTTGAACTCTTTTTCATGTAAATTAATCCCATAAATCCAGCATTCAGGCTTTTTTAACTTTTATGTCCCAAAAGTAAAACAACTGACCCTTTAACTACATGAAAGTTAAGGACACCAACACCCCACGCAGCCGAAAATCTGTGTATAACTTTTGATTCCCCAAAAACTTCACTATTAATAGTCTACTCTTTTTTTTTTTTTTTTTTTGAGACAGAGTCTCGCTCTACCGTCCAGGCTGGAGTGCAGTGGTGCCATCTCGGCTCACTGCAAGCTCTGCCTCCTGGGTTCAAGCGATTTTCCTGTCTCAGCATCTCAAGTAGCTGGGATTACAGGCGCACACCATTATGTCCAGCTAAGTTTTGTATTTCTAGTAGAGATGGGGTTTCACCATGTTGGCCAGGCTGGTTTCGAACTCCTGACCTCAAGTGATCTGCTCGCCTCGGCCTCTCAAAGTTCTGGGATTATAGGCGTGAGCCACTGCGCCCAGCCAACTAACAGCCTACTCTTGACCAGAAGCCTCACCAATACCATAAACAGTAGATGGACATATATTTTGTATATACATAATATACTGTATTCTTACAATAAGGTAAGCTAGAGAAAAAAAAATGTTGTTAAGGAAATCATGAGTTGGAGGAAGAGGGGTTGGTCTTGCTGTCTTAGAGGTAGCAGAGGTGGAAGAAAACCTATGTATAAGTGAACCCTCGCAGTTTAAATCTGTGTTGTTCAAGGGTCAACTGTGATAAAGTCTCATTTTCCTCTCAAAGTTACATCACAAAAAGAGACACTGGTTATCAAGTTCCTAGACATTCACTGAGCATGACTGGACATCTTACCCATTAGGAGTACTTCCAACTTTGTCACATATGTCCATAATAAGACTCCAATCTTCTGTAGTGTTGTACTCATTCGTGGCTTTTTCTATAAAATATATTGGCATACACAACAATGAGGACACATCTCATATAACACTAAAATACCAGTAAAGGTCCAACAGTTAAGAAATCCTACCTTTTCTATTGCCGAAGATACTACAGACGACCTTCAGAAGACAAAAGTACTTCTACTAACTTCAATTTTAAATTGTATAATTAAATGAACTAAATATCTTGAGGTAAAGCAATAAAATGCCTTCTAAATAAACAAATTACTAAGTATCAATAATCCCATCAAATTCTAATTTGGAAGAAAGTTTTAAAGATGTATAATCCAGGCCGGGCATGGTGGCTCATGCCTGTAATCCCAGGCATGGGAGGCCAAGGCAGGAAGATCGTTTGAGGCCAGGAGTTCGAGACCAGCCTGGGCAATATAGATAGACCCTGTTTCTACGAAAAATAAATTTTAAAAATTAGCCAGGCATGGTGGCAAATGCCTGTAATCTTAGCTACTTGGGAGGCTGAAATGGGAGGATTGCTTGAGCCTATGACCTCAAGGCTGCAGTGAGCTATTATCATGCTACCGCACTCCAGCCTGGATGACAGGGTGAGACTCTACCTCTTAAAAAAATTAGAAAGTATATCATACAAGTAAATATGCACTACACTGTCCAATAAAGCATTGGTTTTGTAAATTTTTTTAATAGATAAGGGGTCTCACTATGTTGCCCAGGCTGGTCTTGAACTCCTGGGCTCATGGAATCCTCCTTGGCTCCCAAATGTTGGGATTACAGGCCACTGCACCCAGCCTGAAGCACTGTTTTCAATAGCAAAAAGGAAAATTGATTAATAAATTCATACAACGAAATATGAAATGAGGAATACAAAATTAAATGAACAAAAATTTATGAATCTCAAAATATGATTTGCTTGGGCTTATAACGCTGAGTCAAAAAAGCTAACAGCAGAAGAATTTATAATATTTACATGAGTTCTTTTTTTTTTTTTTTTTTCGACAGTGTCTTGCTCTGTTGCCCAGGCTGGCTGGAGTGCAATGGCACGATCTCAGCTCACTGCAACCTCCACCTCCCAGGTTCAAGCAATTCTCCTGCCTCAGCCGCCTGAGTAGCTGAGACTACAGGCGCCTGCCACCACACTCGGCTAATTCTTGTATTTTTAGTAGAGATGGGGTTTCACCATATTGGTCAGGCTGGTCTCAAACTCCTGACCTTGTGATCCGCCCACCTCAGCCTCCCAAAGTGCTAGGACTGATTACAGACATAAGCCACCGCACCCAGCTACATGAGTTTTTTAAGACAGCTTTATCGCTATAATTCATGTATCAATACAATTTACACATTTAAAATGTACAATTCAATGTTTTGACTATATTCATAGAGTTGTACAACTAACACCAGTATCTAATTTGAGAACATTTAATCACTTCCAAAAGAAATCCATACCCATTGGCAGTCACTGTTCATTCTCCCCACATATTCCCAGCCCTACGCAACCACTTGTCTACTTTCTGTCTCCAAAGATTTACCTATTCCGGATTTTTCATATAAATAGAACCACACAATATATGTTCTTTTCTGACTGGCTTCTGTTATTTGGCATAATGTTTGCAAGGGTCATCCACGTTGTAGCATGTACCAGTACTTCATTTCTTCTTATGGCTAAATAATATTCCATTGTATAGATATACCACATTTATTCATTCACCAGTTCATGAACATCTGGGTTGGTTGGTTGGTTGGTTGGTTGGCTTACTGAGACAGGGTCTCACTCTGTTGCCCAGGCTGGTGTGCAGTGGTGTGATCACAACTCACTGCAGCCTTTATCTCCCGGGGCTCACGTGATCCTCCCACCTCAGCTTCCCGAGTAGCTAGGACTACAGGTGTGCACCATCACGCCCAACTAAGTTTCGTATTTTTTGTGGAGACGGGGTTTTGCCATGTTGCCCAGGTTCGTCTCAAACTGCTGGGCTCAAATGATCTGCCCACCTCGGCCTCCCAAAGTGCTGAGATTACTAGTTTGAGCCATCATGCCCAGTCAACATTTGGATTTTTAAAAATGTTTTTGGGCCAGGAGCGGTGGCTCACACCTGTAATCCAGCACTTTGGGAGGCCGAGGTGGGCAGATCACGAGGTCAGGAGATCAAGACTATCCTGGCTAACACGGTGAAACCCCATCACTACTAAAAATACAAAAAATTACCCGGGTGTGGTGGCAGGCGCCTGTAGTCCCAGCTACTCGGAAGGCTGAGGCAGGAGAATGGCGTGAACCCGGGAGGCAGAGCTTGCAGTGAGCCAAGATTGCGCCACTGCACTCTAGCCTGGGTGACAGAGTGAGACTCTGTCTCAAAAAAAAACAACAAAAAAAAAACTTTCTGGCTAATATAAATAATGCACTGATGCGATGAACATTCATATACAAGTCTCTGTGTGGACATTACGCCTTCATTGTCCTTTGGTGTATATCTAGGAGTAGAAATCCTGTGTCATATGGTAACTCTAAGTTTAATTTTTTTAGGAATGGGCAGTTTCCCAAAGGAACTATACTATGGTACATTCCCACCAGCAATATGTGAATGTTTCACCTGAAGTTTCACAACATCCAAAAAATACACCATATTCTTTAGGGATATATACACAGGTAGTAAAAATATTAGAATGCAGGAGAATGATAAACATCAAACTTGAGGGGGGCTCAAAAGAAGACAGGGGCTTCATTGTATTTATAAAGGTTTATTAAGTTGTACAGTATGTATGTAGAAAATATTTTCAATATCTTTTTTTGTGGTCTGAAATATTACATGATCAAAGTAAAAACTGACAAGTAATTAACCTGCATTGTGAGAAATAAAATAAATTAATTAAAGGTAAACTGTTAAAAAGCATGATCAGAATATAATGATTGAGTTACAGAGCATTTTTACTTTATTAACTTTTACAAAAATTTCAATATCAAAGAATACAATTTTTTCTGCTAGTATGGAGAGGTGGAGATATAAAAAGTACCACTTTAGAAACACTGTATCACATTTTATGTCTTTTCCTCTTTATTATATATACCTTGTAATTTCAAATATAGAATAATCTAGCAAAACATACATATATATATATGAATGACAGGTAATATCACAGTGATCATCAGGAAAGATGGTAGGAATCCAGAGTAATTTCTTTTTTTTTTTTAATAGCAAGGAATAATCAAAAGAAGCCAAAAAATGAACAGGCTTAGCAAACAACTATACTTCGTGAGTAAAGAGAAACACACCAATGCAGTTAACCTCAGTTAAATACTGGAACTCGCTTTAAAAAGCCATGCAAATTGCCTACTACTTATGGATGGAAAGCAATTGTTTTGACATGTGATGAAATGACAAACCAGGGTTTTTAGAAAAGTAATACATTTTTGCCTACTGAAAGTTCTAAATCCAGGCACCAAATGCTACGCAGGCAAAACATACCTACTCAGGTTTTCACCTTCTTCCCTTGTGCCAAAAAGACTATTGCTTTGGAAAGTCAGAGCAGACTATACTGTTTTAGAGGCTTAAAAGGCTTAACTATTTCTGAACTACATATCTAATAAATTCCATGAATTTAGAAGTACAGACAAGGAAAAACCTCCTAATTCTACGAATCCTTTTTCCAATCCCTTTTAAAACTATGATGCATATCCTTCCAGACATTACATACACACACACACACACACACACACACACACACACGCAAAAATAATAAAAGTTAATGCAAAATTAAATAAAATAGTATAAGGTGTATAAAGGCAGCACCCAAAAACAGACAACTCCTTCCTTGGTTAAGCTATGAACAAGACGAGAAACAAAACAGAATAAAATAACACTTTTGTTATTAACAGAAGCTTTAGATACACTAGCCAAATGAATTTGTTAATAGTGAACCCCAGAAGTGGGCATGCCTTAGCACTAGAGAGGGGAAGGCCTCTCCCTGCAGGGGTAAGGCTCTGCATAACTTATTCCATGGAGAAGCAAATGAAAAATCACTCAGTGGTGGTGGAAAGACTAGCTAGTCCTACACAGAAGGGCATATGTAAGACCAGTTACTCTCAAACTTACCAATCAGGTGTCATCACACCAGAGACGAAGTGAATAAAAAAGCAAGGGCAAACTAGGTGAGGTGGCACACACCTATCATCCCAGCACTTGAGAGGCCAAGGTGGGCAGATCAGTTGAGACAGGAGTTCAAGACCAGCCTGGGCAACATGGTAAAACCCTGTCTCTACAAAAAACACAAAAAAGTTAGCTGGGCGTGGTGGCACGCGCCTGTAGTCCCAGCTACTTGGGAGGCTGAGGTAGGAGGATGGCTTGAGCCTGGGAGGTCGAGGTTGCAGTGAGACAAGATCGCACCACTGCACTCCAACGTGGACAACAGAGTGAGCCCCTGTCTCTACAAAACAAAACAAAACAAAGGGCAGGCTCAGGGTGACACTAATGGAACTCCCTTCTCACAAAGGAAACCACAGGGGTAGAGAAAAAATATTCCCCACTAACATTGTGATCATACTAAATGTATCAGTTCTTAACATGCATTTCTACTCATAATAAACATCTGCCCACATTCAGAAATATACGTCTATACCAGTATTTTTAGTACCTGCATAATGTACCATTACATACAGAGTGGCCACAAAGTCCCAAAACAAGCTAGAGAAAAGTTATCAGCAAACTGGTTCTAAATCCATTAGGTACTCAATCTGTCTTCTTTGTTATACTTATTGGTATCTTTCATATTGGTGACTCACATAGACTAAATATAAAATAATTAGGAAGGCAGGATTTTGTGCATAGTCCTTTCTAAAGATGTTTCATAGCATTTTTTTGTTTAGCATCTGTCTTTGCCACAACCTTTCACCACATTCCACCCCCAGAATGAATGTAACCATCATGGCACGAATTTTTGTTTGTTTTGTTCACTATTATTATTCTTAGTACATAAACAGTATTTAGGGCACGAAGTAGGTGCTCCATAAATATTTGTTTCATGAGTGAATGAATGATGTTGGTTGCTCCTCCACATCCCATTAGCCTGGTACAATGTGTAAGGTGGGAAACAACAGCAGAGCTTTTGAGTACACGAACTAAAAGGGCTTTAACTCTGATGCCCATCTGTGGACATAGTTTGGCTGATGTGTGCAAAGTTCTGGACCAACCAAAGCTTCACTGCTGAGCATACAAATATTCAACGGGCTACATAGGATCAAACTTCAATAGCAACACCACATGGCAACAAAACGTAACAGCACTAGTGAGCTTATGAAGTTCTAGTTCTCCTCTTGTTTACTGAAGAGAAGTAACTCTCCGTTTGGGAGTCTCAACAAGGAGACAGGGTAAGTGGGGAAGGCAATGCTTCAAAAGCTTCTTAGATAGGTAACTAACTTTATATACTAAGTCTGAAAAGCAAATCATATATATTACAGCTTCATGCTAATCTTTCCTGTTTGTTTATGATGCAGTTTTTGCTATAACAGAATCTACCATTTTTCTTTTTATAGTGTCATTTAGCATACTGTTTGAATTACCTGAAGATTAAATATCTACCCACATTCTTTTCTGTATATTATTCCCCTTTCACATGTAAATCTTTAATGTATTTAGAACTTCATTTAGTGTATCTGGAACCTCACACGTGGTGTGAGGCAGGAACAGAAAAATATTTTTACGAATTTTTTGTCAGTTCTATTATTTAAGAATCTATCCTTTCTTCACTGATTTGAGGAGCCAGTATCATCAATTATCAAATTTTATGAGTATGGATATGTATGAGTACAAAGACACACACATAATCACGTGAATCTGATTTTAGACCATCTAATAACCTACCTAGTCCAGCTAGAACTCAACTTTTCATGATATTTTTCCAATTCTGGTCATGTAATACATTAAATATGAAGCCTATCTCATGCCTTCTAAAGCCGCCCAACAATTTTTAAAATATCTAATTAGACTATTGTTTATTTAATTTCCATAGAAAATGGGAAATTCCTGATTTGAATACTCTATCAAGCATAGTTTAGTCTCTACAAATATAAGACTCACAATTACTCTTTTTAAAAATATAAAATCTGAAGACTTCATAATGGCCTGCCAAAAAGGACTTTGTTTTTCAAGGGAGCTAAATAACATTTAAATTATGCACTTAGGAGTATTTTAAACCCCTGGAAAATTTTAAATATTATAATTAAGAAACCATTCTTTTATAGCATGTCACTTTGCCCAATGTTGGGGCCCTATATCACATTATTCTGTGTCAAACGCATAGAGAGGTAGAAAATTAAAAGAGCCCTCCTGGGGCCTAAATGCTAAATCGCCGGCATTTGGTGGGTGTAAGTCATAACATTTCATCACCAGGCTTTGATTACTGTATAAAAAGAGCCTCAAATACAATGTGAAATAGCTTAGAAAGATTCTAACAATATGATAAAGAATAATTCCATCAATATCTACCTACAAGGAACAAAAAGGCTCCCCCCCTTACAGTCATTATGTTCAAAGTACAGCTTTAAAAAGAATCTAGCTCTACCCATAAAACTTTTAATAAAATAGGCTCTATCAGTAATAAACAACTTAACTACATAAAATAAGAATGCTGCAAGAAAACTTTAAAGCTCCTCCTATTATGTTTGCAAATAAAAATTCATGACTAGTCTTCTGCTTCCAAACATGATAGAATATCTGGTACCAGACTTGCGATCCTACCAAAAACAATGATAAAACAGGCCAAAATCAATGAGGCAACTGTTTTCAGGGAATGAATAGCAGGCAGAGCAGGTCCCAGATCTTTGAGGGAAGGGAAATATGTAGTGAGCCTCACGATGGCCTCAGCTTTCTGCCTTGGAATACTTTCCCATCCAGCACAAGGAGGACTAGCCCAAGTAGAAGAGGACTAGCCCAAGTAGAGAAGGACTAGCCCAAGAAGAGCGAGAGATGGCGACCAGGTTTCTAAGCACAGTGATTAACCAGAGGCCCTTGGCCAAAGGCTGGGCTACACAAACACACTTGAGATGAGTCTCTATGGGGTCTAGCAGAGATTACCTGCTATGGGGCTGAAAGGTCAAGCAGCACTGGGAGTCATCCTCCCTATTATGCATGGAATGTTTGTGTTCCTCCCAAAATTCTTATGTTGAAGCCGTAATCCCCAGTGTGGCTGTATTTGCAGATGAGGCCTCTAAGGAAGTAATTGTTGTTAAATGAGGACAAAAGGATGGGACCCTGATCCAATAGGATTAGTGTCCTTTTAAGAAGATACACCAGAGAGCTAGCACTCTCTTTGTGTACACACAGCAAGGAAAAGCCATATGAGGGCACAGCAATAAGGGGGCTGTATATAACCCAAGGGGTGAGCTCTAACCAGACAGCACCTCTGCTGGCACTTTGATCTTGGACTTGCAGGCCCCAGAACTGTGAGAAAATAAATTTCTGTTGCATAAGCTACCTAGTCTATGGTATTGTTATGGCAGCCCAAGCAGGCTCATTAACACTGTCCAAACAAAGCAAGAGAACACTTCATGCATTTAGTTGAAAATCCAAAAAGGGCACACCTTAGGAGGAAAAGCCCTCTAGAATTTAGTTCAAAACCAAAATAGGCCTCCCTCACAAAGAATAAAACCAAGCCTGTCAAAACGTAAAAGATCCCCCCAATAATATTACAACCTGACAGAACAAAACTCAACACCATTTAAAGGAAGACAATGTAATTTAGCCTCCCTACAAAGAATAATCACAATGTCCACCATAATATAAAAAATTACTAAATAAGCAAACAAGTGTCCCAAAATCAAGATTAGTCAATAAAAATAGATGTCAGCATAACCCAAATGTTAGATTTGGCAAGAAAGAACTTTAGAGACATTATTATATTTTCAAGAATGCAAACATTGGTGAATGCTCAGCAGAGAAATGAAAACTATAAAAATGGAATGTCTGAACTGAAAAGTACAATATCTCAATTTAAAAAGTCATTAAATGGGCTGGGCGTGGTGGCTTATACCTGTAATCCCAGCACTTTGGGAAGCCAAGGGGGGTGGATCACGAGGTCAAGAGATCCGAGACCATCTGGCCAACATGGTGAAGCCCCGTTTCCACTAAAAATACAAAAAATTAGCTGGGTGTGGTGGTGGGCGTCTATAGTCCCAGCTACTCAGGAGGCTGAGGCAGGAGAATCACTTGAACCTAGGAAGCGGAGGTTGCAGTGAGCCAAGATTACATCACTACACTCCAACCTGGGCGACAGAGCAAGATTCCATCTCAAAAAAAAAATAATAATAATTGTAATACCCGATCACGTGGAAACTTAACAATCAGGACATGTGGATAATTTAGAGTAAACAGAAGGCAACATAAAAATGTATTATGATTAAGATATTACATATTAATACCTTTGGACATGACTAAAGCAATTTAGAACTTTGTCTTAGTCTGTTTTACACTGCTATTGAACAGAATACCTGAAACTGGGTAGTTCGTAAAGAACAGAAATTTATTTCTCACAGTTCTGGAGGCTGGAAAATCGAAGATCAAAGCACTGGCATCTGGTCAGGGCCTTCTTACTGTGTCCTTACATGGCAGAAGGTAGAAGGACAAGGGAGAGTGAACCCACCCCTGTAAGCCCTTTTTATTGCAGCATTAATCCATTCACGAAGGAGGTACTCTCATGACGTAAACACTTCCCAAAAGTCCCCATCCCCCAATACTGTTGCATTGGGGACTGTCTCCAACTCGTAAATTTTGGGGGATACATTCTGACCATAGCAATCTTAGGAAAAAAAATTGCCTTTTATCTATTAATAGGAGGAAAAAAAACCTCAATTGCTTCTACACCTTAAAATTGCAGTATAAGAACCAAGAAAAGCTAGCCAAAAAAAAACCATATATATATATATATACACACACAGATATATATAATTTTTTTTCTAAAGCAGAAACAAGAAGCTGGGCACCATGGTGGTGCACACCTGTAGTCCCCACTACTTGAGAGGCTGGGGTGGGAGGATTCCTTGTGCCCAGGAGTTTAAAGCTGCAGTAAGCTATGATCAAGCCACTACACTCCACCCACACCCTGGGTGACAGGGTGAAACACTTGTCTCTAAAACAAAAAAAGAAAAGAAAAAGGAAAAAGAAAAAAACCAGAAAATGAAAAACAAGTAAATGAGTAGAATTAATTTGCATACATTGCAGGAAACCACAATGATAGCTTTTACTAAAGATAGAAACATTCTTTCTTTGGACTAATTCATTAAAAAACTAAATTCTTCAAAAATGTAGAAAAGCCACTTTTTTTCTAGTCTATGAATAAATTGTATATATTTAGACTATTAAAATCATTATATAGAGCCTAATCCTCTATCATCTCCTGAGCGTCCCTCATGAGTGATCACTTCTGAGTCCTCCCGCATGGAGAGCTCACCCACTGGGGGCATATTTTTCCCATTGGAAAAGTATGGTTATTGAAAGTTTTCCTCGTTTTTAAAAGAACAGGATTGCTCCCTCTCCCTCTCCCTCTCCCCACAGTCTCCCTCTCCCTCTCTTTCCACGGTCTCCCTCTGATGACGAGCCAAAGCTGGACTGTACTGCCGCCATCTCTGCTCACTGCAACCTCCCTGCCTCATTCTCCTGCCTCAGCCTGCCCAGTGCCTGCGATTGCAGGCGCGCGCCGCCACGCCTGACTGGTTTTCCTATTTTTTTGGTGGAGACGGGGTTTCGCTGTGTTGGCCGGGCTGGTCTCCAGCTCCTAACCGCGAGTGATCTGCCAGCCTCGGCCTCCCGAGGTGCCAGGATTGCAGACGGAGGCTCCTTCACTCAGTGCTCAATGGTGCCCAGGCTGGAGTGCAGTGGCGTGATCTCGGCTGGCTACAACCTCCACCTCCCAGCCGCCTGCCTTGGCCTCCCAAAGTGCCAAGATTGCAGCCTCTGCCCGGCCGCCACCCCGTCGGGGAAGTGAGGAGCGTCTCTGCCTGGCCGCCCATCATCTGGGATGTGAGGAGCCCCTCCGCCTGGCTGCCCAGTCTGGAAAGTGAGGAGCGTCTCTGCCCGGCCGCCATCCCATCTAGGAAGTGAGGAGCGCCTCTTCCCGGCCGCCATCCCATCTAGGAAGTGAGGAGCGTCTCTGCCTGGCCGCCCATCGTCTGAGATGTGGGGAGCGCCTCTGCCCTGCCACCCCGTCTGGGATGTGAGGAGCGTCTCTGCCCGGCCGCCCCATCTCAGAAGTGAGGAGACCCTCTGCCTGGCAACCGCCCCGTCTGAGAAGTGAGGAGCCCCTCCGCCCGGCAGCCGCCCCGTCTGAGAAGTGAGGAGCCCCTCCGCCCGGCAGCCACCGCGTCCGGGAGGGAGGTGGGGGTCAGCCCCCGCCAGGCCAGCCGCTCCGTCCAGGAGGGAGGTGGGGGGTCAGCCCCACCCAGGCCAGCCGCCCCGTCCGGGAGGGCGGTGGGGGTCAGCCCCCCGCCCGGCCAGCCACCCCGTCCGGGAGGGAGGTGGGGGGGTCAGCCCCCCGCCTGGCCAGCTGCCCCATCCGGGAGGTGAGGGGTGCCTCTGCCCGGCCGCCCCTACCGGGAAGTGAGGAGCCCCTCTGCCCGGCCAGCCGCCCCGTCCGGGAAGGTGGTGGGGGGGTCAGCCCCCCACCCGGCCAGCCGCCCCGTCCGGGAGGGAGGTGGGGGGGTCAGCCCCCCGCCTGGCCAGCCGCCCCATCCGGGAGGTGAGGGGCGCCTCTGCCCAGCCGCCCCTACTGGGAAGTGAGGAGCCCCTCTGCCCGGCCACCACCCCGTCTGGGAGGTGTACCCAACAGCTCATTGAGAGTGGGCCATGATGACGGTGGCGGTTTTGTGGAATAGAAGGGGGGGAAAGGTGGGGAAAAGATTGAGAAATCGGATGGTTGCCGTGTCTGTGTAGAAAGAGGTAGACATGGGAGACTTTACATTTTGTTCTGTACTAAGAAAAATTCTTCTGCCTTGGGATCCTGTTGATCTGTGACCTTACCCCCAACCCTGTGCTCTCTGAAACATGTGCTGTGTCCACTCAGGGTTGAATGGATTAAGGGCGGTGCAAGATGTGCTTTGTTAAACAGATGCTTGAAGGCAGCATGCTCGTTAAGAGTCATCACCACTCCCTAATCTCAAGTACCCAGGGACACAAACACTGCGGAAGGCTGCAGGGTCCTCTGCCTAGGAAAACCAGAGACCTTTGTTCACTTGTTTATCTGCTGACCTTCCCTCCACTATTGTCCTGTGACCCTGCCAAATCCCCCTCTGCGAGAAACACCCAAGAATGATCAATAAAAAAAAAAAAAAAAAAAAAACATTATATATACTTACTAGGTTTCTAGACTACACAATTCTTGTGTAGTGAAATTTAGATTAAAATATTTAAATGCCCAATACCTCAACCTGATAGACTGTAAATAATTCTACTCCTTCTCTCCCTTAAATGACAATGACTCTATTTAGCATTTTATAGTTAAACTTAGGTTTACCATAAATTTTCTCACTTAATTTTCCACCCCATTTAATGTTCTGTTTGGGTTAATGTTTATCGATGCAAATCTTTACCCTGGGGAAAGCAGCAATACACATAGTTCTTAAAAATACATTCTGCATACCATTTTTTTTTCTTTTTTTTTTGAGATGGAGTTTCACTCTTAGCTGCCCAGGCTGGAGTGAAATGGCACGATCTTGGCTCACTGCAACCTCTGCCTCCTGGGTTCAAACGATTTTCCTGCCTCAGCCTCTGGAGTTGCTGGGATTACAGGCATGTGCCACCACACCCGGTTAATTCTGTATTCTTAGTAGAGATGGGGTTTCACCATGTTGGCCAGGCTGGGGGTAGAACTCCTGATCTCAGGTGATCCACTCATCTTGGCCTCCCAAAGTGCTGGGATTACAGGTGTGAACCACTGTGCCCAGCCCAATCTGCATGCCTTCTAAAATGAAAACCTACTTACAGCTCTGAGTACTGAATGACAGATAGCAATTTAATTAAAAACAATAATAGCAATTAAGCAATAACTCCTGAGCATTTTACATAAGCTAAATCACTTGCTCCTCAATCAAATGAAGGATCCCCATAAGTGGGGACTGGGCCCGGTGGCTCACAGCTGTAATCCTAGCACTTTGGGAGGCCAAGGCAGGAGGATCACTTGAGAGTCCAGGAGTTCAAGACCAGCCTGGGCAACATAGTGAGATCCCTCACCTCTTAAAAAAAAAAATTGAAATAGTAGTCTGGTACGGTGATGCGCACCTGTAGTTCTAGGTACTCAGAAGGCTGAGGCAGGAGAATACATGAGCCCAGGAGTTTGAGGTTACAGTGAGCTATGATTGTGCCACTGTACTCCAGCCTGGGCTGGGTTATTTTACAACTTTGCATATAAAATAAATAAATAAAAATAAAAACTATATAAATGGGGAAGCTGAGACACAGAAAATTATTCTTATTATTATAATTTGAGATACAGTCTCACTCTGTTGCCCAGGTTGGAGTATAGTGGCGCGATCTTGGCTCACTGCAACCTACGCCTCCCTGGTTCAAGTGATTCTCCCGCCTCAGCATCCCAAGTAGCTGGGATATAGGCGCACGCCACCATGCCTGGGTAATTTTTTTTTTTTTTAATTTTTGTATTTTTAGTAGAGACAAGGTTTCACCATGTTGGTCACACTGGTTTCGAACTCCTCCTGACCTCAGGTGATCTGCCCGCCTCAGCCTCCCAAAGTGCTGGGATTACAGGCATGAGCCACTGTGCCTGGTCCAGAAAATTATTAAATAACTAGCACAAGGTTATACAGCTAGTAAGCAATAAAATAGATTTCAATTTGTGCCATCTGGCTCAGGGTGTGTGCTCCAGGTTCAAATCACTATATTAAACTGCCTCTTGAGAGGAATTTTTGTTCAAAATTGCCAAATTAACATAGTTTTTCTGTTTCCCTATGTATATACATTGTTGCAAGAAGTCAGGGACCCAGAACGAATGGAGGGACTGGCTGGAGCCGTAGCAGAGGAACATAAATTGTGAAGATTTCATGGATATTTATCAGCTCCCAAAATTAATACTTTTATCATTTCTTATGACTGTCTTTACTGCAATCTCTGAACATAAATTATGAAGATTTCATGGACATTTATCAGTTCCCAAATAATACTCTTATAATTTCTTATGCCTGTCTTTAATTTCTTAATCCTGTTATCTTCGTAAGCTGAGAATGTATGTCAACTCAAGACCCTGTGATGATTGCATTAACTGTACAAATTGATTGTAAAAGACGTGTGTTTGAATAATAAATCTGATTGTAAAACACGTGTGTTTGAACAATATGAAATTGGTGCACCTTAAAAAAGAACAGAATAACAGTGATTTTAGGGAACAAGAGAAGATAACCATAAGGTCTGACTGCCTGCGGGGTAGGGCAAAAAGAGCCATATTTTTCTTCTTGCAGAGAGTCTATAAACAGATGTGCAAGTAGGAGAGATATTGCTAAATTCTTCTTCTAGCAAGGAATACTAAATATTAAGACCCTAGGAAAAGAATTGCATTCCTGGGAAGAGGTCTATAAACGGCCGCTCTGGGAGTGTGTGTCTTATGCGGTTGAGATAAGGACTGAAATACGCCCTGGTCTCCTGCAGTACCCTCAGGCTTACTAGGATTGGGAAACTCCAGCCTGGTAAATTTTGGTCAGACTGGTTCTCTGCTCTTGAACTCTGTTTTCTGTTAAGATGTTTATCAAGACAATATGTGCACAGCTGAACACAGACCCTCATCAGTAATTCTAATTCTGCCCTTTGCCTTGTGATCTTTATTGGCCTCAGAAGCATGTGATCTTTATGACCTACTCCCTGTTCGTACACCCCCTCCCCTTTTGAAATCCTTAATAAAAACTTGCTGATTTTGCAGCTCTGGTGGGGCATTACGGACCTACGGCCCGTAATGACCTGGTGGCCCAGCTGTAAAATTCTTCTCTTTGTACTCTTTCTCTCTATTTCTCAGACTGGCCGACACTTAGGAAAAATAGAACCTATGTTGAAATATTGGAGGTGGGTTCCCCGATAATACATATCTTAAACACACTGAATAGGAAACATGCAAATTCAACTCTCGTTTACAAGCAAAGAATCAGGCAGAATGCCATGATTAACTTTTTTTTTTTTTTTTTGAGATGCAGTTTCACTCTTGTTGCCCAGGCTGGAGTGCAATGGCACGATCTTGGCTCAATGCAAACCTCTGCCTCCCGAGTTCAAACGACTCTCCTGCCTCAGCCTCTTGAGTAGCCGGGATTACAGGCATGCGCCACCACGCCGGGCTAATTTTGTATTTTTAGTAGGGACAGGGTTTTTCCATGTTGGTCAGGCTGGTCTCAAATTCCCGACCTCAGGTGATCTGCCCACCTTGGCCTCCCAAACTGCTGGGATTAAAAGCGTGAGCCACTGCGCCCAGCTGATTAACTCCATTTACTAAACCATATAATAATACAATATATTTAAGAGCTGCTTCCTCTGATGGAATACAGATCAGTCATTGCCATTCTATTCATTTCTCATGTCACCACCAACATTTCTGGGGCGACTAGGAGGAGTTGAGAGAATTGAGCATAAGGGGAGCCAGGACGAAAAGAAGGGGGAAAAACACATAAAAATTACCTTTTACTGTCCTTTAATATTTTAAACCATCTATTAAAAAGGCAAAAATCCTGGGGCCAGCCTTTATTTTCCTACAAGTTCACTTTCTTCTTGGCTGATATTTCCAAAATACCCTCTGTAATCCTGTTAGGTGAGAACCACGTCCCCCTAACTCCACAAAACGAGCACACTCATTTACACACACCCTTACTCAGGAGACAGGGCAGAAGCATACATGTTATAATTTCCATTGTAATAGGCCTATTAGGAAGCATAATGTGCTAGACATTTTCTAGTGGCTGGGATAAAGGAAAAATGAGTCGGTCGGGCGCGGTGGCTCATGCCTGCAATCCCAGCACTTTGGGAGGCCGAGGCGGGCAGATCATGAGGTCAGGAGATCAAGACGAGCCTGGCTAACACAGCGAAACCTCGTCTCTATTAAAAAAAAAAATACAAAAAATTATCTGGGCATGGTGGCATGCACCTGTAGTCCCAACTCCTCAGGAGGCTGTGGCAGGAGAATTGCTTGAACCCAGGAGGCAGAGGTTGCAGTGAGCCGAGATAGCGCCACTGCACTCCAGCCTGGGCAACAGAACGAGACTCTGTCTCAAAAAAAAAAAGTCTCCAAGGCAGCCACTAACATGCCAAAAAGTTACAGATAGAGAATCAAAAGCAAACAGGCCAGGCAGATGATTACATTACCTCTGCAGACTGAGAAAACCATTATGCACACTCCGTATGCACCTGTGGAGTACTGTCAGGCTTCAGGGGGGTGGCGCGGGATACACATCACCAATAAAACAACGAGGACCTGCCTTGCCTACATCCATCTCTGAAGCTTTCTTACTAGCTTATAAGCTTTGGAGTAGTTCACCTCCATTCTGACTCAAACCCAAATCCATGTTCTCATTTGTCAAATGGAGATTAAAATAGCTGCCGTGCTTAAAAGAGTTGTGAAAATTAAGTGAAAAGAAAAATGGACAAAATATTTAAACAAGTAGTACTTTGAAAAAGAGAACATTCATTTAGCAAATAAATATATTTAAACGTGCCCAAAATCAAGAGTTATCAAGTAAATGCACATTAAAACTACAATGAAGGCCGGGCACAGTGGCTTATGCCTGTAACTCCAGCACTGCGGGAGGTCAAGGCGGGCGGATTACATAAGGCCAGGAGTTGCAGACCAGCCTGGCCAACACAGCGAAACTCTGTCTCTACTGAAAATACAAAAACTAGCCAGGCATGGTGGTGCACATCTGTAGTCCCAGATTGAACCTGGGAGGTGGAGGGTGCAGTGAGCCCAGATCACGCCACTGCATTCCAGGCTGGGGGGCAGAGCAAGGCTCTGTCTCAAAAACAACAACAACAACGACAAAGCCCACAATGACATACCCACTAGAATAGCTAAAAATTTTAAGACTACATCATCATGTAGTGACAAATTTCTGACATAAAACTGGAGTAATATGACAAAATGAAAAATCAAGGCAGGGGAAGAAGAGGAGTGGTCAGATTCAGAGACAAAAAACAACCAAGGAGGAAAAAAATAACAAGAGATAAAGAAATGATATATCCTTAAGTTTTATTTTGATATCTGGGTGATAGATGGTTAGAACTGATAGTTGTCAAGTAACCAGAGTTTGATATCCTACCCTACATACATATATACACAGCCTATTCTTAACACCTATAAGCAGGTGGCCACTTCAGAATGTCAATAATTTTCAGGGGACAATGGCCATTCCCAGATATCTGCCACAATGACCTTCTTAGGTTCAATCTCTCCATTAAATATAAAGGTTTATTCATTATCAGGTAACTTAAGAGAACCTAATAAGGTATTAATGTTTGAAAAAAAAAAAGTTCTTCCCCTTCAACCCTCCACCTCAAGGACTTAGTACTGCTGGGGACAAACCAAAACACTGCACATGCTAGATTTCTTTAAGCAGATCTTTTTTTAGAAGAGAAGGTTAAGATAATTCATCCCATGACAAATGAAAGTAAAAGCTGCTGCTCCAGATAAGAATAAAAAAAACTTTTAGTACAAATGAGAAGTAAAATTCTGAGTCACTACAATTCTCATATTGCAAATGAAAATAAGCAAGTGCTTACTAAGGGTACGTTTACCGACCAAGAAAATAGTTTGCGAGTTTTCAGATACAATAACAATTTCACTGAATAACAGATTTTTCATCCAACTGCTATCATTTAAAAATTACACTAAATATGAGGGAGACTGTACATAATAAAATTTTTTAAATCCTTCATCATTTCCCTTCATGCTTTTTTTAAATATGAGATTAAACACAGTTCTGAGCTTGCATTAAAAGTCAGTAAGAACTGGAACTACTTCACAAGACACTTCATTTTCAACATTTCTTAACTGGAGGAAACTAAAGAAAGGCCTCCCTGAATGCAACAGAGATCGCCATAACAGGTCTCCATGGTGAAGAACTGTAAATGTTCCACAAGGTGCTATAGGGACAGAGAGGTGCTTGTCCTTTAAGCATAGCAGCCACAGACCCATTAAGAAAATAACGCTAAAGGAAGTCTAAAAGCTGGGAGCAACACTTACTACACCAAAAAAGATAGCAGATGCCAATAAGTCAATGTGAAACTTAATCCTAAAAAACAAAGGATGAGGGAAAAGAATGTTTCAACAATACCAAAATGCCTCAGGAACTAATATCCTTCTCACCCATGGTGTTGGACAAATATTGCCAATTAGCTGATATTTTTATAACAGGAAAAAGACTGTAAGCAAAAACACTTTTAAAGACTTTGTAACTTAGGCCAGGCATGGTGGCTCACTCCTATAATCCCAGCACTTTGGGAGGCCGAGGCAGGTGAATCACTTGAGGTCAGGAGTCCAAGACCAGCCTGGACAACATGGTGAAACCTCATTTCTAGAAAAAAATAAATAAATAAATAATTAAAAATTAGCCAGGCATGGTGGTGGGTGCCTGTAATCCCAGCTACTCAGGAGGCTGAGGTAGGAGAATTGCTTGAACCCAGGAGACAGAGGCTGCAGTGAGCTGAGATTGTACCACTGCACTTCAGCCTGGGCGACTGAGTGAGGCTGTGTCTCAAAAAAGAAGAAAAAATAAAATAAAATAAAAGCTTTTTAACTTAAGACAAAATGAAAAATCAAGGAAGGGGGAGAAGAAAAGTGGTCAGATTAAAGGACAATAGACAACCAAGGAGGAAAAAAATAACAAGAGATAAAGAAATGATATATCCTTAAGTTTCATTTTGATACCTGGGTAATAGGTGGTTAGAACCATCACTTGTCAAGTAACCAGAGTTTGATATCCTACCCTACATACTTATATACAAGGCCTATTTTTTTTTTCTTTTGAGATGGAGTCTCGCTCTGTCGTCCGGGCTGGAGTGCAGTGGCGCGATCTTGGCTCACTGCAACCTCTGCCTCCCGGGTTCAAGTGATTCTCCTGCCTCAGCCTCCCGAGTAGCTGGGACTACAGGCATGCACCACATGTCCGGCTAATTTTTGTATTTTTAGTAAAGATGGGGTGTCACCATGTTGGTCAGGCTGGTCTCGAACTCCTGACCTTGTAATCCGCCCACCTCGACCTCCCAAAGTGCTGGGATTATAGGCATGAGCCACCGCGCCCAGCCACAAGGCCTATTACACGCAACACCTCTGAGGTCCTTTATTTAAACAAAAGCCATGCTAGAGACACATCCACCTAACTACACTGCTATAGTATTATGTTGTATATTCACTGGCAGAAAATCATTCTCTTCTTGACTTACTTACAAATTATACATAAGCTTATCATTAAATGTTATTAAGGAATAAAAATATATTTTAAACCATCAATATCAGCTGATGTGAAACAAAAATAAAATTATAATGTCTTTTCTCTTACATCCTAAAAACCTACAAGAAATTCCCTTGTATAATGATTTTAACCAATCTGTCATATAATCCATTTGAAATGCCCAAAATAGCTAAGACAATTATAAAACAGTGGGGAAAAAACAGACAATTCAATCCACAGTGATTAGACAATTGATTATTGTCTATTGTCAACTGGTTATCCAATTCAATTCCTCCGCAGACCTTATACAAAAATTAATTCCTGGTGGATCAAAGACCTAAATGTGAAAATCAAAAGTTTAGTAAAACTTGCAGAAGAAAATATGAAAATATCTGTATAACCTCAGGGTGGAGAAGGGTTTCTTTTCTTTACTACAGGTGTGAGCCACCACACTCAGCCCTGAAGCCTTTCTTAAGAAAAATAAAATTAAGGGAGAATGACAAATATCACTAAGTGAAAACCCACATTTTCTTTACAATAAAAGACAGCAGAAACAAACAGAACTAGAATACAGATTTGTAACATACATACCCAACTAAAGATTAGTAAGAAATGTATCTGGAACTCTAAAAATCAATTTTGTTTTATTTTTTGGTGTTGGTTTTTGGTTTCGTTTTTTTGTTTTGTTCGGGAGACAGGATCTGGCTCTGTCACCCAGGCTGGAGTGCAGTGATGCAATCATGGCTCACTGCAGCCTCAACCTCCCTAGCTCAAGCCATCCTCCCACCTCCATCTCCCGAGTAGCTCGGACTACAGGTGCGCGCCACCATGCTCAGCTAATTTTTGTATTTTTTGTAGAGATGGGGTTTCATCATGTTGCCCTGACTGATCTCGAACTCCTGAGATCAAGCAATCCACCAAGTGTTTGGATTGCAGGTGTGAGTCACTGCACCCTGCCATCAATTTTTAAAAAGTAACCCAACAGAATAATAAAAGTAATGAGCAGGCAATTTATAGAAAAAGAAAACAGAATGATGAAGAAACATATGAAAAAATGCTCATCTTCACTGGCAATGAAGTAGAAATAGAAAATGAAATGAAAACAATGTCTTACTTCATATTCATCAGATAGGCATAAATTAGAAAATCTGACAATGCTCAGCATTAGTGAGGATGTGGAACAACAGGAATTTCACTGCTGACAGGAGGGAAATCAACAAACACTTGGAAGGGCAACTTTGCAAGAGCTACACTTTTTTTTTTTTTTTGAGATGGAGTCTCACTCTGTTGCCCCAGCTGGAGTGCAGTGGCACAATCTCCGCCTCCCAGGTTCAAGTGATTCTTCTACCTCAGCCTCCCGAGTAGCTGAGATGACAGGCATTCACCACCACACTCAGCTAAGTTTTGTATTTTCAGTAGAGACACGTTTCATCATGTTGGCCAGGCTGGTCTCAAACTCCTGACCTCAGAAGATTTGTCCACCTCAGCCTCCCAAAGTGCTGGGATTACAGGCATGAGCCACCACACCAGGCCAAGAGCTACACTTCTACTGAAGAATTCCCCTTCAAGACGACAACCTTTAAGAATTTTGCACTCCACTGGGCACAGTGGCTCATATCTGTAATCCCAGCACTTTGGGAGGCCAAGACGGGCGGATCACGAGGTCAGGAGTTCGAGACCAGCCTGGCCAACATGTGAAACCCCGTCTCTACTAAAAATACAAAAAAAAATTACCTGGGCATGGTAGCAGGCGTCTGTAATCCCAGCTACTTGGGAGGCTGAGGCAGGAAAATCATTTGAACCTGGGAGATGGAGGTTGCAGCGAGCTGAGATCGCGCCACTGCACTCCAGCCTGGGTGACAGGGCAAGACTCCGTCTCAAAAAAAAAAAAAAAAGAATCTTGCACCCATAAACACAAGAAAACATAGATAAAAACTTTCAATACAGAGCTGTCTGTAGGTGCAAGAAATTGAAAACAAAGTCATGTTCGTCAATAGGACAACAGATAATGCATATTCATATAGTAGTATAGTATCACGCAGCCATTAAAATTTATAACCTAGAGCTACAAACATCAACATGAATAACTCTCACGAAGAAATGCTGAATGGGCCAGGCACGGTGGCTCACGCCTGTAATCCCAGCACTTTGGGAGGCCAAGGCAGGCAGATCACCTAAGGTCAGGAGTTCGAAACTGGCATGGCCAACATGGCGAAATCCCATCTCTGCTAAAAAATGCAAAATTAGCCGAGCATGGTGGTGCGCACCTGTAACCCCAGCTACTCGGGAGGCTGAGGCACAAGAATTGCTTGAACCTGGGAAGCAGAGGTTGCAGTGAGCTGAGATTACACCACTGCACTCCAGCCTGGGCGACAGAGCAAGACTCCGTCTCAAAAAAGAAGAAATGCTGGATGACAAAAGTTGCAGAATGACAAAAAGACACCATTTTTAAGAAGTTTAAAAACATCCAAACAATATATAGTATATTTGTAAGTGTAGTATTATACTATTAAAGAGAATTTCTATCTATTTATAGAGTGTTTAACTCGGAGAAAGGAGGAAGAATGGGATCAGGTAGCTGCTAAAAATACTAAAGTATTTCACTGCATCTTGAATGTTCCTTTCTTAAAAAAAAAGAATCAAGTATATCAAAATATTAGCACTTGACATAATTGCCTGGCAGGAATGGGAGTTCATATTTTCTATTTTATGCTGAAAATATTTCATAGTTTAAAAAGCTACAAAATATATTAGAAAAAAAACTGGCTGTTAAGTCTACTATTCTTATTCAAAACCAAAAAACTTTTTAAAAAAATTTTTACTTTTACAAAGATTTTAACTTATTGTACAAAGAGTGGCCTAGTTAAGTAAATGTTATAAATTTGTGTGTATGTTATGAATTTATATTATTCTTATGCTATCAATATCTATTTTTATATTGGGATTTCTTATAAAATTTCACTGGAGAAAAGGACTGCATGACTGCATTTCACTGGAGAAAGTCCCAAGCTACTTCCTGGTCAACTTCTTCTAACACAGCAAAAGTCAGAAACACAGCAATACACACATTAAAATGTCACTTGGAAATGTATTCTCTTAAAAGCTAACAATTCAAACCACTGCGTCCACAGAGTTTTGTAGAGGTAGAATTTGAGCTCAGCTTTGTGGGACACAAGCGTATCTTTAAAGGAAATACCAAGGTTGAAAAGAGCAAACATTTAGCAATGAATGGTAAATAGCACAGAGGCAGAAAACTGGCAAGAAAGATTGCCTGGCTTGAGTAAAGGGAAAAAAGATATGCAAACAAGAACCGGAGTTAAGGCTTAGAACAGACAAGTCATGACTTGGAAATCAATGAATAAGGAAATGACATCTTCTCTGTTAACACTAACCACTGTGGCCCCGTCCCCCATGTTTCACTTTCCCCTTGGAATTCTACAAGAATGGCTACTCCAACCAGGCTCTACCTCAAGATCCCTGTACCCCTCTAACACTTGAGGCCCAGCTGGGGAGAAGAGGTGGGACCTAAGGATATTTTCTTTTTTCCCCTCAGAACACATCAAAGAAATCTTATTAAACAAAACAAAAAAATGAATCTAGATAAAATGTTTAAAGAGTTCTAACACTACCAAATCTAGTATATCCTTCAGGGCTTGTAGGTTCTGATGCCAAGAAAAGACAGGAATTTGCCAGAGTTCCCTACTTCCTAGCCTTTGGCCTGCTTCCATTTGACAAGTCACATATCATCATCAATTCATGAGTGCCTTCCTAAGACATCTTGACCCATCCTTTTCTCAGCCCCTGAGAAAAGGATTCCTTCCTCATATGACTGTCAGAAAGACTGCTCACCCTCCTGCAAGACTCTTCACCTACCAAAAGAGATTAATCTTTAAAGGCCTTTAATCATAAAATGACCATATCATACATTAGCAAAAGGTGGTTACTTCCTGTTGGGAAAGTGCTATCAGAGAAGGGGGGGAGGAGGCTGGGCACAGTGGCTCACGCCTGTAATCTCAACACTTTGGGAGGCCGAGGCGGGCAGATCACTTGAGGGCAGGAGTTCAAGACCAGCCTGGCCAACATGGTGAAACCTCCATCTCTATTAAAAATACAAAAAATTAGCCAGGTGTGGTGGTGCGCACCTGTAGTCCTAGCTACTCGGGAGGCTGAGGCAGGAAAATCACTTGAACCCGGGAGGCGGGGTTGCAGTAAGCCAAGATCAGGCCACTTCATTCCAGCCTGAGAGACAGATTCGTCTCAAAAAAAAAAAAAAAGAAAAAGAAAAAAGAAAAGGTGGGAAGGAGAGGATAGTGTCAACACCTTTACAGAGAAAGCTCCTATCTGAAGGTCCTTGTCTTTTCTTCAGGGACTATGACTATTTTAAATAAAAGAGGATTAAAGCTTCTTGTATATTTGTAGCACTATACTTATCGTACTAAATTACAGGTCTTATGTCTCTCTGTTTCCTCCATTAGATTGAGAGTTCCTTGAAGGCAGGAACTCACAGTCTATTTACTCATTTTGTGTCCATAGATTAACACAATGCTTGACACACAGTAATTATTCAATGTATGCCTGCTGAATGAAGAGTGAACAAAGGAATGACCAAAAAAAAAAAAGGGTAACAAAAATCTGACTGAATCAAAGAGAACAAGTGAAAAAGACAATGACAATGTAAAGTAACATTTCCTGTAGACATCTCAAGTCAAATAATGACTTGCTTTGTGTATGCGTGTGTGTCTGTGGGCGTATATACACACATATATATACATATATATATATATGTATACATATATATATATATTTTTTTTCGAGACGGAGTCTTGCTCTGTCGCCAGGCTGGAGGGCAGTGGCGAGATATTGGCTCACTGCAACCTCCGCCTCCCGGGTTCAAGTGATTCTCCTGCCTCAGCCTCCCCAGTAGCAGGGACTACAGGCACGCGCCACCATGCCTGGCTAATTTTTTGTATTTTGGTAGAAACGGGGTTTCACCATGTTGGTCAGGCTGGTCTCAAACTCCCGACCTCCAGTGATTTACCCGCCTCGGCCTCCCAAAGTGCTGGGATTACAGGCGTGAGCCGCTGCGCCTGACCCTTGCTTTGTATTAACGATTTGAAATGAAAAGTTTTAAGATATTAAAAACGTAATATATAATTTTTCTTCTATGATATACGTGCAAGTCCAATTTGAGCTCTTTAGTATTTCATTCTACTTTTTCTAATTCCATTCTCTTGTCCAGAAGTTACAGGAGGGCCTCAAATTCATTCTTTCACCCTTAAAATGCCTTTGGGGTTCTGAATTCAGTCATGCTTAAGCTAATATGTAACTACTTGAAGCTCTGGCTTATGGCACTGGCCATAAAATAATCTAGACACAGTTTTTTTGTTTGTTTGTTTTTTTAATCTCAACAGCAGTGCCTCCTTTACAACTGTAGGACTAAACTGTGATCCACTAAACCAATGCTGGGGCCTCGGGAGCCAGGCAGGGAAAGGTTTAGAACAGAACAGACAGAGCAACTCTGCCTACTTGTACCAGAGAATTTTTCCATCAGAAAACAATGAACTTTCAAGAAAAATTTATATTGAAGAAAAGAATTCACGGTTTTTAAGTTTTAAAATCATTTGTCTAATTCTATTTTGCGCCTTCTGTTTTATTTCATTAGAACAGAATCAAAGTGTTCATAATAGCAATTTTTTAAAAGTACAGGTTGCACAAAGGTTGTATGATTCAAACAAAAGAATACTGCAATGAGGCGTTCCAAAAGGAAACAGTGAGCCTTAAGAGTGATGTTTCCCAGATTTACGCCAGTCACCTGTATTCATCCACCAAAAAAAAAGTTTAATGAAGTAAGGAACATACATATTTGAACTATTTACATATATTATTTGACTCAAACATGTTTTTTAAAATGGCTTAGGGGATTACACAACGTATCAGAATAGGGCACTTTCTACAGTCTCCTAATAACCAAATGTTAACTATGAAACAGGGGAATTACTGCTGAGATGTGCAGTATTCTTCTGAGTCTCCCCGCCCCAACCCCATTTCCAAGTTCTAAAAATTTACCTAGGGTTCTGTTAACTACTGCTACAAAAACAAACAAAAAACAAACCTGTAGTCCCAGCTACTCGGGAAGGGGAAACGGAGGTGGAGGCTGAGGTGGGAGGAATTCTAGTCGCACCTGGGCAACATAGTGAGACCCAGACTTTCGAGAATACATACATATATTTCTCAGTTTGTTTTAGTGTTACTCAAATTTCCTAAATAATTTCGTATATATCTTATCCATGTTTTTCTCATTCTATAGTCACTGAGAGACCAGCGCTTTATGACTGCAACATGTAAAATACTTGTTGTTCTGGAGTGTTTTGAGACTGGAGATTTCCTTTTCATACTCTAAAACCGAACATCTCCTAGCACCCGCGCAATCTTTGCAATCCGGGGATGAAGAGCAACACCTTTACAATTGTAATAAATCTTAAAGCTACCCTATCAGGGATTGAATGCATGAGTAATATAAATAATGGGGAAGTAAGTTCTTCCTATTCAATGCGGTTGTCTAGGTGTCAAGTGTCTAGTGTTGGGCTTCTCTAGACAGCAGGGTCTCCACTGCTGCATCATCTTCAGAAAACGATGGGGCAAAGACGGAGGTAACCAGCTGTCGAACGAGCAGGAAGTTTTTAATCACCAACTCCACAACTACTTAATCAGTCCAGTCTCCAGCGAGCCCTAGGCTCTTCCCAAATCCTACGCTTGGCAAGGAGAACGGCCCTTTGAGGGTCCCCAAACTCAGGCGGCAGGAAGCACTCCCCAGACCGCTAGCGACGCGCCGAGGTTGCCCCAGAAAAATCCCAACGTCGAAGGAGCGGGCGGCACCGCCCCTCCCCTCCCTTCGCTTTGCTTCCTAGTCCCCGGAGTCGCTACCGCCCACTTTCTAGCCGGACAAACAGCAGTCCAGGGCCAGGCACACAGCAGTCCAGGACCGGGCACAGCACTCACCCACGTCTTGCTCGAAGGGGTTGGCGGTGAACAAAGGCATCTCGCCGGCGCCCGAGCCCTAGTCGCTGCTGTCTAGCTGACACTCAGCAACTGCTACCCGCCGGGTGACCCGCGGCCGCGGCTCCCTAGACCGCTCCGCTTCGGCCTCCGTCCCTGCACTTCCGCCACCGCACCTGCCCGGCTCTTGCCTGACAGGCCGGCTCGGAGTCCACCCTTCGATCCCGCGCTCCTGTCCCAACTTTTCTCCCGGGGCGAGATCCCTCCGACCATGGGCGTCCTCCCAAGGCCTTTGTCGCTGCCCCTGTCCCAGACTTTTGTAGGGGTCAGGCGGCCGCTACGGCCACCTTTCCAGCGCTAGGACCCCGGCTAGCCACGAAGCCGGGGACCTTCGGAGCCGGAAGTAGTCCCGCCTGGAACTGGACGACCCCGGAAGCTGCAGTGCCAGCGGCGGCGCGGCAGGGGGCGCGGTTACCCGTGGTTTTTCGCGTTGGACGACGGGCTCTGAGGGCCAAGTTCTTGTCACGAATTTAGTTTGTTTCAGAGCGGCAGGACTCGTAGCTAGAGAACGAGGACCCACGACGCGTACGCGTTACAGTCCTGTTTCCCTAGAAACGGAGCTGCCGGCGCGGAGGTGGCTTTGAGATTCTGCGAAAGACCTGACTGCTCTTCAACAATTATTGTGTTGCACCCTCCCAGGCGCCCAGTCCAAACCCCGTCAGAATAACCACCCGGGACAGCGGTGGTCGAAGTAACTACGCCTAACTTTTCGCTTTCCATCGTGTCCCCTCCATAAAAACACTGCTGGGCCCCCGGAATCCAAAGGCGAAGGAGGCACACTCCCTGCCTTAGACTTGTTGAGAGTTTTATAGGGGCAGTGCATAACGTACATGATGGTGTATGACGATTCGGATGGTAGTACGAGTCATAAACTCAAATTCCAACAGCATCCAGCCAGGTATTTAAATGAATGCAAAAGCCCAAGCACCCTTCCCACCCACATATTCTCTGTTCCTCTTAGAAAACTGTAGTAATGATTATGTTGCCTGTCTCTCCTCCTCATTAGATTATAAACTCCCTGATAAGTTTTGGTCACTACTATATCCCCAGCGTCTAAAACAGTGTCCCAAGTAATAGACGCTCAATGCTTTTCGAATGAAGCTGTAACTTTCTAACTGAACAGTGCGTATCTAAAGATGTCAACTACTGGTAAATTGCAGCCATTTATTGAAATGTGGGTCCTACTAGAGTTTGCAATTTTTCAATGATGTTTAAATGTTGAGAATTACTCCAACATTTTAAATAATAGATTAATCAAAACCATTTTACAAACTCTAGTATAAAGACCTGATGCTATAGAGAGCTCATACACATTCAGAAAGGTGGTTGCATTTTATAAAGTTCGGGGCACAAATGAGAAGGAATCGTGCAGAAGGGGCTGTTTTTCATAGAACGTTGAACCTAGGGATGTTCAAGATAAATTGGGAGGCCGGGCATGGTGGCTCACGCATGTAATCCCAGCACTTTGGGAGGCCAAGGCGGGCAGACTGCTTGAGGCCAGGAGTTCAAGACCAGACTGGCTAACATGGCGAAAAACCGTCTCTACTAAAAATACAAAAATTAGCCAGGCATGGTGGCGCAAGCCTGTAATGCCAACTTCTTGGGAGGCTGAGGCACGAGAATCACTTGAGCCCAGGAGGCAGAGGTTACAGTGAGCCAAGATCAGGCAACTGCACTCCAGCCTGGGCAACAGAGCAAGACTCTGTCTCGAAAAAAGAAAAAAAAAAAAGACTTAGAGATTTTTTGGACAGATAAAGACTTTTTGTCTAAGACTTAGTGTTGGAATGGAAAACAAGGCTGACTAGGTATAAGAGGAAACAGATTGACAAGAATTTTAAAGGGCAAGCTGGGAATTTTTTATTTTGATTAAGGCACTCAATAATTATTTAAGGATATTGGGTAGCAGAATAGTAAAAAAAAATTTTTTTTGAGATGGAGTCTCACTCTGTTACCCAGACTGGAGTGCAGTGGCGCGATTTGGGCTCACTGCAAGCTCCGCCTCCTGGGTTCACACCATTCTCCTGCCTCAGGAGAATGGCCAAAACTGGCCATAGACAAAATCTCTGCAGCACTGTGACATGTTCGTGATGGCCATAATGCCCACGCTGGAAGGTTGTGGGTTTACTGGAATGAGGGCAAGGAACCCCTGGCCCTTCCAGGGTGGAAAACCACTTAAAGGCCTTCTTATGCCACAAACAATAGCATGAGTGATCTGTGCCTTAAGGACATGCTCCTGCTGCAGTTAACTAGCCCAACCTATTCCTTTAATTCGGCGCATCCCTTCGTTTCCCTTAAGGGATACTTTTAGTTAATTTAATATCTGTAGAAACAATGCTAATGACTGGCTTGCTGTTAATAAATACGTGGGTAAATCTCTCTTCGGGGCTCTCAGCTCTGAAGGCTGTGAGACCCCTGATTTCCCACTTCACACCTCTATATTTCTATGTGTGTGTCTTTAATTCCTCTAGCGCCGCTAGGTTAGGCTCTCCCCGACCGAGCTGGTCTCGGCAGCCCTTGTTGAAGGAATACTTATGGCAATGGTGATCACCGCTATGGTAGCTACCATTAAATTACTCGTTGTGATTGGTTGTCCCGCTTTCCTCAGGTTTTCTTCTGCCATCTGTGACAGCTTCTTGGTCTGTCCCCAGGTGGGTGGCTGTGTTTGATGGGTATAGCTCACGACAGTTGGGGTCCTTCTCAGTGTCAGTCTCAACATGGCTGCAACCGGGGGGGGGGGTCCTTGGGATCCTCCCAGAATCTCTTCCTTGGCATCTGGCTAATGATAAGGTTTCAGGTGTCTTGATGGTATCCAAATCGGCTGTTGATTTTGGCCTGGAGAAATACAGCATAACCTCTACCCCAAGTTATTATTTTACCTATTTCCCAACTTTTTGTTACCGGATCTCTCCACCAAATCAGTTGTTCTGCTTCTGTCTTTGCATCTGGTTTCTGTAGATGCTGTTCAGCTGCTGATAACATCTGGCCTTCTTTGGGCAGGCTCAAAACATTTAAAGTTAATAATGCTAGATTCAATTGTGTATGGGCTGTCCCATAATCCCTATTTCTCCCCCTTTTTTGTTTTTGTCATTAGTTGTTTATCTGTATGAAATAGTAACAGCATTTTTAATTAATTGTGTGGAATGAACCACGTATGAAGCAGCAGAAATGACATTAATAGGCATATTAAAAGCAGTCCATACCTCAATTACAGCTACAAGCTCCGCTTTTTAAGCTGAAGTATAGGGCGTCTGGAAAACTTTACCTTTTGATCCAGAATAAGAAGCTTTGCCATTACTAGACCCATCTGTGAAACAAGGAAAACACTTAGCAGGCTGCAGGTTGTTTACTGCAGGAATTGTAAATGCAAACTGTTCACAGTCTTGCTCAGCTAAAGGGATAGTAAAGAAATAGTCTTTTAAATCTATGACTATTAGAGGCCAATTTTTTGGAATTATAGCAGGAGAAGGCAATCCTGGCTGTAATGCTCCCTTAGGTTGTATAACTGAATTGATGGCCCTTAAGTCAGTTAACATTCTCCATTTACCTGATTTTTTCTTAATTACAAAAACTGGAGAATTCCAAGGGGAAAATGTTAGAGCTATGTGCCCATTTTCTAATTGTGTAGTAACTAATTTCTCTAAAGCCTCCAGTTTCTCTTTACTTAGCGGCCATTGTTCTATCCAAATTGGCTTATCTGTTAACCATTTTAAAGGTATAGGTTCTGGAGGCTTAACAATGGCCATCAAAAATGATATCCTAATCTTTGGCAGGAATTTTGTCTTTCTGCTTGAAGCAGTTCTTGCAAACCTTGCAAATTTTTTTTTTCTAGTCCCATACCAGGGACATACCCCATTTCATGCATTGTATGTTGACTTCGAGGGCTATATAATTGTTCTGGAATTAGAACTTGTGCTCCCCATTGTTGTAACAAATCTCTTCCCCATAAATTTATAGGTGCAGAAGTTATAATTGGTTGAATAGTCCCAGGTTGTCCATCAGGCCCTTCACAATGCAAAATATAACTACTTTGATATACTTCAGGGGCTTTACCAACTCCAACTATGTTAAATTGAGCGGGTTGAATTGGCCACACAGACGGCCACTGCTGTAGAGAAATGATTGAAATGTCCGCTTCTGTATCTACCAAACCTTTAAATTTCTTTCCCTGAATAGTTATTTCACAGGTAGGACATTTATCAGTAATTTGATTTACCCAATAAGCTGCTTTGCCTTGTTTATTTGTGCTTCCAAATCCTCCTGTTCGTTTAATTTCACTTTTTCCCATTCCCACATACGGCACGATCAGGAGCTGTGCTATGCACTCTCCTGGCTCTGCTTTCCAGGGAACAGAAGTAAATATAACAATTTGAATTTCCCCATTGTAATCTGAATCAGTGACTCCTGTATGTATTTGTACCCCTTTTAAACTTAAATTAGACCTTCCTAAAAGTAATCCTATTGTCCCCATTGGCAAAGATCCACAGACTCCTGTTGGAACCTTTTGCAGGGATTCCCCAGGCAGAAGGCTCACAGCTTTTGTGCAGCATAAGTCTACCGTGGCACTACCAGCTGTGGCAGGGGACAGACATTGTACAGGGGTGAGGGAATGGCCTGAGCCATTCTGGAATCCCCTATATGGCAGCCTGACTCGCTGATTATTTCTATATCCTTTTTTAGTATTAATAGCTTGTTTAAATTTTTTTAGTAATTTAAAAGGAAAAGGCTCAAATGTAGCTATAATATTTCCCTGTTGATCTGGGGGGTGTATTCTAACAGCAAAATGCCAAGCCTCTAAATCAACCTCTTGTGTAGCTTGCTAAATTCCTGCTTGAATAGAACTGAGAGCAGTCGCTTAAGGCACTTCTCGAACAGTCACTGGGGCAACTACTTTTCGCCCAGTGTCTTCCAGGAAAGAAAGATCTGGAGGGTCATTTTCTTCAAAATAATAGGGAGGGGATGCAGAAGGGTGGGGATGAACCTCTCCCTGCTTTGCCGCTTTAGCTTTAGGTGGCAAACAAACCTGCTCTGTAACCTCTTCTGTTATTTCGTTATACTCTCCTTCCTCCTCATCATCAGCGTGAAAAAGTTCCAAGATGGAACGAACCACACCCCGCACTTGTCCCATTGTTACCCTGACGCTTCCGAGCTCCCCTTCTTACTCACCACGGGGATTGCTTTAAGAGTACTTGGGTGTCCTCCAGCTAGTTCCATGTTTTCCAACTGTCACTCTGGCGACCCTTCAACCTGGATTCGAGCCCCCCACAATGGATGCCACTTGCCGAGACCAGCTTGGTCAGGGAGACCCTAACCCAGTGGTGCTAGAGGAATTAAAGACACACACATAGAAATATAGAAGTGTAAAGTGGGAAATCAGGGTCTCACAGCCTTCAGAGGTGAGAGCCCCGAACAGAGATTTACCCACCTATTTATTAACAGCAAGCCACTCATTAGCATTGTTTCTATAGATATTAAATTAACTAAAAGTATCCCTTAAGGGAAACGAAGGGATGGGCTGAATTAAAGGAATAGGTTGGGCTAGTTAACTGCAGCAGGAGCATGTCCTTAAGGCACAGATCGCTCATGCTATTGTTTGTGGCTTAAGAATGCCTTTAAGCAGTTTTCCGTCCTGGGTGGGCCAGGTGTTCCTTGCTGTCATTCCAGTAAACCCACAACCTTCCAGCGTGGTCATTTTGGCCATCATGAACATGTCACAGTGCTGCAGAGATTTTGTTTATGGCCAGTTTTGGGGCCAGTTTATGGCCAGATTTTGGGGGCCTGTTCCCAATAGAGGTGGGAAGATCACCTGAGCCCAGGATTTCAGGGTTACAGTGAGCTATGATTGTGCCACTGCACTGCAGCCTGGGTGAAAGAGTGAGACCCTGTTGCAAAAAAAAAAAAAGAAGTAATTTTTTATAAAGAGCAGAAAGCTGAGGATTTGCCTTTGGAAAGCATTCATTTTTATTTATTATTATTATTATTATTATTATTATTATTATTATTATTATTGAGACAAGTTCTTGCTCTGTCACCCAGGCTGGAGTGCAGTGGCGCAATCTTGGCTCACTGCACCCTCTGCCTCCCAAGTTCAAGCAATTCTTCTGCCTCAGCTTCCCATGTAGCTGGGACTACAGGCGCGGGCCACCATGCCTGTCTAATTTTTCTATATTTGGTAGAGATGGAGTTTCACCATGTTGTCCAGGCTGGTCTCAAACTCCTGACCTCAAAGTGATCTATCCGCCTCGGCCTCCGAAAGTGCTGAGATTACAGGTGTGAACCACCGCTCCCAGCCACATTCGTGTTTTAAAAAGACTCTTTTAATTCCTCCTGTTTAAAAGCAAGTATACTCAAGGATCTATAGGTATTTTTTTTCTATGTATATACTCAGTTCCTCAGTGAGTTCCTCTAATTAACAAAGTTTTTTTTCATCTTTTGTAATTAACAACATTTTTAATAGTTACCGGGAGCAGACCCTGTGTTAGAAACGAGGATACAATAATTGTTCACTGTTGCTTCATCTTAGGAAGTAATTGGGCAATTAAAAAATATTTCAGTGGCAGTCTAAAAATTGTGGTGTGCAAAGAATTTGAAAACCAGTTTACAAAAAAAAAAAAAAAAATCTAGAGGCTTGGTGGCATGCACCTGTAGCATCAGCTACTTTGGAGGATGAGGCAGAAGGATTGCTTGAGCTAGGGCAGTCAAGGCTGTAGTGAGCCATGATCATGTCACTGCACCCCAGCCTGGATGACAGAGGGAGACCCTGTCTCAAAAAGAAGCAAAAAAAAAAAAAGAAGAAGAAGAAGAAAAAGAAAAATAAAATATTTTATTTACCTTTATTTATCTTTTTTTTTTTTTTCTGGAGACAACATCTCTCTCTCTGTGTCACCTGGGCTGGAGTGCAGTGGCACAATTATACCTCATTGCAGCCTCAAACTCCTGAACTCAAGCAGTCTTCCTGCCTCAGCCTCCAAAGTAGTTGGGACTACAGGTACGCACCACTGACCCTAGCTCATTTTTTTTTTTTGTAGAGACAGGGTCTCACTATGTTGCCCAGGCTGTTTACCTTTATTGATTCCTTCTCTAATGCTCTTCGTTTTTAAAATGTTGATCCAAGTTTCTGACCTGCATCATATTCTTTCTCTCTCAAGGACTTTTAAAATTCCTTGCAACGCAAGTCTACTGGTGACAAATTCCCTCAAATTTTGTTTGCCTGAGAAAGTCTTTCGCCCTCACTGTTGAAGGATAATTTCACTGGATACAGAATTCTAGGTGAGTGGTTTTTTTTTTTCTTTCAATACCTTAAATATTTCACTTTTCTCTTCTCTTGCTTGCACAATTTCTGAAGAGAAGTCTAATGTAATTCTTATCCTTACTCCTCTGTAGGCAAATTGTGGTTTTTTTTTCTCCTTTTTGCTTCTTTCAAGATTTTCTGTCTTCAATTTTCTACAGATTGAACATGATTATGGTTAGGTGCAGATTTTTTGTTATTTATACTGTTTAGTGTACTCTGAGCTTCCTGGATCTGTGGTTTTGTATCCTTCGTTAATTTGGGGAAATTCTCAGTCATTGTTGCTTCAAATTTTCTTCTTTTCTTCTCCCTCTGGTATTTCTGTTATGTATATGTTACATCTTTTGTAATTCTCCTCCCATTTTTGGATATCTGATTTTTTCTTTTTTTCTCTGTGCATTTCGGTTTTAGAAGTTTTTTTTTTTTTTTTTTTCAGTTTTAGAAGTTTCTTGTGACATTTTTTCAGGCTCAGATTCTTTGTCTCTGAAGTTTATTGATGGAGCCCATCAAAGACATTCTTCCTTTCTGTTAGTGTTTTTTATCTCTAGCATTTCCTTTTGATTCTTTCTTAGAGTTTCTATCATTCTGCTTACACTACCCAGCTGTTCTTGCATAATGTTGATTTTTTTCCATTACAGCCCTTAACATATCAATCATAGTTAATTTAAATTCCTTGTATGATAATTCTATTATACATATTCTAATAACATTCTTGCTATACCTGATTCTGATTCTGATGTTTGCTCTGTCTTTTCAAACTGCATTTTTTGTCTTTTGTTAAGTGTTGTCTTTTTGTGAAAACAGGACAACATTTACTGGGTAAAAGGAACTGAAGCAAACAGGCCTTTAGTATGAGGTTTTATGTTTATTTGGCTAGGGATTAGGCTGTGTTTACTGCTTGCTATAGCATTAAGTGTCAAAGGCTGATTTCCTTGTTTTTGTCTCCTCTGTTGTCTTTGGGTTCTTGAGACTTAAATAAGGTCTGAGAGTAGGTCTCAATTCTTTAGTGAGCCTGTGCCTCTGCTATGAACTTCACAAGTGCTTTCTGGCCATGTGTGGTGGCTCATGCCTGTAATTTCAGCACTTTGGGAGACTGAGGTGGGAGGATCACTCGAGCTCAAGAGTTCAAGACCAGCCTGGGCAACATAGCAAGACCCTGTCTCTACAATAAATTAAAAAAAAAAAAAAGCTGGGTATGGTGGTGCACACCTGCAGTCCTAGCTACTTGGGAAGCTGAGGTGTGATGATCGCTTGAGCTAGGGAGATGAGGGCTGTAGTGAGCCGTGATCGCACCACCTACACTCCAGCCTGAGCGACACAGTGAGACCCTATCTAAAACAAAACAACCACCACCACCACAACAAAAACACAGGTGCTTTCTGTCCCTCTCCCCCTACCTACCTCCCCATCCCCAGTCTCCAGTTTTGGTGAGACAAGAAGGCTTAGGGGAAGCTAGAGTTGAGAATTTCCCTTCCACCAGCTAGGTTAGGCTCTGGTAAAACCCTAATTGCTTAGGCTCGGGTCAGATAGTTTCTCTTGAGGATGTTCTTTAAGAACATAATTCTGTGGGATTATTCAGAATAATTTCTTTTCCTCTCCCCCTTCCAGAAACACACAGTGATTTCTCTTACTGTGAACCAGATTGAATTCCTGGAGGTAAAACTCACAAAACCGTGGGGACCCTCCAATAACTAGGCCCCCATGGAGTTTTTAACTCTCAGACTTGTCTACACTGAGCCTCCAGCAATCTGTCAGTGGCAGTTCAGGTTTTCCTACCCCAGCCACTGGTCCCCAAGGACGTTTCTGCTCGTGGGTTTCCTCCAATAAATTGTGATCCTCTGTATCTATCTATCTCTCCAATTTTGAGGGCAGTAGTTTGCCCTGTGACCTTAGCTCTCTACTGGGTATAAAATGCTCCAGAAATAAACGCTTGGTGCCGTGAAGTAAAACCAGCACTCAGGCAAAAGTTTAATTCTCTCAGCAAGGCAATTTACTTCTGCAGAAGGGTGCCACTTGGGTCAATCAAGATCACAGGAGCACAGAGAACAAAGGAGACCAGGGGGTTTTTATCCTTAATGCAGTCCCTATCTCTGTGTCACTCCTCCATGGGCTGAGGTCAGACTGCACAATCTGAGCTGACCCGATTGGCTACTTGTACATATTTTCCTAAATATAGAAGGGGAGGGGGATGTGAGGTACAGAGGTGGAGCGTGTGGGATGTGCAGTTTTGGGGGAACAATTGGTACAGGTAACACGGGAACAGATGTGAGTTATTGATTAGAGCTGACGGGAAGTGGGTAGGCTGTTTACGGTAACTAGGGGCAAGGAAGAACAAGAAAGCTGAGTTTGAGAACAAAGGATAAGGAAGTTAACAGGCTAAACCCTTGAAGAGAAACTCAGAAAGATTTATTGTATCTTACATTCTCTGATGGATCTAAAAAGAGTTATTGATTTTTACTTTGTTCAGTTGTTTTCCTTGTGTGGATAGGAGTGGTGACTTCTAAGCTTCCATGCCCGATTAGAACCCAGAAATCAGCTCCCTTTCTTCTATCTCTCTCTTTTTTTTTTTTTTTTTAAGACAGGATCTCAGTCTGTCACCCAGGCTGGAGTGCAGTGTGGCACAATCTCAGCTCGCCGCAATCTCAACCTCCCGAGTTCAAGAGATGCTCCTACCTCAGCCTCCTGAGTAGCTGGCACTACAGGCATGCACCACCATGCCCTGCTAATTTTTGTGTGTGTGGTTTTTTTTGCTTTTCGTTTTTTTTGAGATGGAGTCTTGCTCGTTGCCCAGGCTGGAGTGCAGTGGCACGATCTTGGCTCACTGCAACCTCTGCCTCCCTGGCTCAAGTGATCCTCCTGCCTCAGCCTCCCAAGTAGCTGGGACTACAGGCGTATGCCATCACGCCCAGCTAATTTTTGTATTTTTAGTAAAGACAGGGTTTCACCATGTTGGACAGGCTGGTCTTGAGCTCGTAGGCTCAAGTGATCTGCCCCCCTTGGCCTCCCAAAGTGCTAGGACTGCAGGCATGCACTACCACACCCAGCCCTTTCTATCACTTTTCTATTATAAGTGCCGCAGTGTGTTAGACCAGCATACTGGAAACCTTGGAATAAACTCTGACTTTGCTCTGATTTTGCCATTTTAAAAATTTTTTAATTAAATTTTTAATTTTTTGGATTTCTTTTTTCAAATTTTGTTTTTGCTGTTTTTTCTCTTTCTTTTGGCATTGCCTCCATTATAGCACAGGCTTCCATTTCCTCCATGCCTTCCAATTTCTTCGTTTTAAAAGAGAGTGCCCAAACTTGGGAGTGAGAAGAGGCTGGAGTCTACTTCGTGCTCTGTTAACTAAGTTAAATACCCATAAGGCTGCATCCTTCCTAGACAGGGAGGCTTTTTTTCTAGTCATCGAAAGAAATCATGTGGGCTAGCCTACCCCTGCACACAACAGTCTACTTAATATCCTGAAATACCACTTTTGTAATTTTGTTCTCTTCCTTGAGAGTCTACTGGATTTTACATGCCATAAAAAGGTCAAGCTGGGGTGTCACTGTCTCTGGTAAATGACTCATTTTTCCCTATCTAACAGGCTTATTTTCTATAGCTTAAAGCTTCCGTTTTTGGAGTCACATAAAATTTCAAATCACAGCTGTGTTTGAACAAATACTTAAGTTTTAGGGACTTCAGTTTTCTTTCTTTTCTTTCTTTTTTTTTTTTTTTTGACAGAGTTTCGCTCTTGTCACCTAGGCTGGAGTGCAATGGCGTGATCTCAGCTCACTGCAACCTCTGCCTCCCGGGTTCAAGCAATTCTCCTGCCTTAGCCTCCTGAGTAGCTGGGATTACAGGCGCCCGCCACCACGCCCAGCTAACTTTTTGTATTTTTAGTAGAGACAGGGTTTCACCATGTTGGCCAGGCTGGTCTTGAACTCCTGACCTCAGGTGATCCACCTGCCTCAGCCTTCTAAAGTACTGGGATTACAGGCGTGAGCCACCGCGCCTGGCCCTTTAACTATATACGTTATTATTTATTTATTTATTTATTTTGTGTTTGGAGACAGAGTCTCAAAATATAAAACATTTAATATAAATAAAATATATTAAATTTAAAAATACTTTATTTATTTATTTATCTTTTGAGACAGTCTTATTCTGTCACCCATTCTGTCACACCCAGTGGTGTGATCTCAGCTCACTGCAGCTTTGACCTCCGGGGCTTAAGTGATCCCCCCACCTCAGACCTCCAAGTAGCTGGGACTACAGGCACATGCCACCATGCCTGGCTAATTTTTGTATTTTTTGTAGAGATGGGGTCTCACTATGTTGTCCAGCTGGTCTTGCATTCCTGGGCTCAAGCAATCTGCCCGCCTTAACCTCCCAAAGTGCTGGGATTACAGGCATGAGCCACCACACCTGACTACTATATACTTTATAAGGTTGCCGTGAAAATTAAATGGGATTATGAGAGCTTTTTGTATAGTAAATACTCAATAGCACTCACTATAGTACAATAGAACTTTTTTGCGATGATGGATGTGTTTTTTGTTCTTTGTTTTTTTTTTGTTTTTTTTTTTTTTTTTTTGAGAAGGAGTCTTGCTCTGTTGCCAGGCTGAAGGGCAGTGGTGCGATCTCAGCTCACTGCAACCTCTTCCTCCCGGATTCAAGCACTTCTCCTGCCTCAGCCTCCCGAGTAGCTGGCACTACAGGCACGCACCACCATGCCCAGCTAACTTTTTATATTTTTAGTAGAGATGGGCTTTCACCAGGTTGGCCAGGATGGTCTCGATCTCTTGGCCTTGGGATCCACCCACCTTGGCCTCCCAAAGTGCTGGGATTACAGGCATGAGCCACCGTGCCCGGCCGGATATGTTTTATATTTGCATTGCTCAATACAAATACCAACAGGCATATGTGACTGTTGATCACTTGAAATGTAACTATTGCAACTGAGGAACTTAATTTTTAATTTTATTTCATTTTAAATGCAAATACCCACATGTGGCTGCCTAGTAGCTAGTGTAATAGAGTGCTCTACACCATACTTGAAAATCAGTTCAAGGAGAAATAGGAGTGTCTTCCATCTCTGTTATTTGCTTTATGATATTTCACTTTCCAAAAATGCATGCTTACTTCTTTCACCTATCTTCATCTTTTATCTCTTTTCATTTTTCACATCTGGAAATTTAAGAATCCATTCAACAGCCCATCTTCTCCAGAAATATTCCTCAGTTGATCCCAATCTACATGTTTTTCACGTTTCTGAAACTTTTATTGAACATGGGTCAACATTGCACTGGTTAGCACTTAATATTCTTCTAACCTATCTTGTGTGATTGTTGGAACTTCCCAAGAGCACAGTATCAGGATCTCTGTGGCTTTTAATTCTGTGTCCTCCCTTTCAAGACCAATTAGCCCATTACTTAGAATACTTAAACACTGATTTGTGTCTCCCCAACACTCACATGTTGAAATCCAATTCCCAGTAAGATAGTATTTGAAAGTGGGATTTGGGGGAGGTAATTAGGTCATGAGAGTGGAATCCTCATGAATAGAATTAGTGCCCTTATAAGAAGAGGCCAGAAACCTCTCTTGCTCTCTTTACTTCATGTTAGGACACAATGAGAAGTCAGCAGTTTGCAACCAAAAGAGTGTCCTCTCTAGAATCTGACCAGGCTGACACAGCAATCTACAACTTCCAGCCTCCAGAACTGTGAGAAATAAATTGCTGTTATTTATAAGACACCCAGTCTGTGGTACTTTGTTATAGCAGCCTAACATGACTAAAACACACTGAATAACCCAATGTTTGAGTGATTACCTGTCCTTTACTTCTCTTATCCATTCCTCTTGCCTTCCAATTCCTGCTACCATTGTCTAGAAGTTGGCTGAAAGGAACAAAGAGCACCTGATCAGTTATCTAATAACATTTATTACTTTTTTATTTCCTACATTGTGTTACTTTATCTCTCTCACTCCTGCATGATGAATAAAATCATTTTTTTCAGAGGCATTACGCTTTTCACACTTTATTTAGTAAATATTGGGCACCTACCATGTCCAAAATACTAGCAGTAGGGGCAAGGGTTGATTAGAGGGGAGGCATGAAAATAACGTAATCACTGCCCTCAGTGACTCATATTCAGGCAAGGAGAAAATGATTTATAAAAGTAGTTAATGGAAGAGAATACATAGGAATAAGGGGAATTCCATGTGGAGGCCAAGTGTAGAGTAATGGTATTTTGCTTTGTACCCACTGGAAATTATATTTTAGTGCCCAGTTGAGGTAGTTAGTCCAACAAATTTGATGTTGGGAATACTTCTGATTGTAATTGAGAACTATTATCTCAAACTAAATTGTTACAAATTGGAGTTTGAATCTTTAGAAAGAAAAAAAGAGAGAGAGAAGCTATGTATAGACCATCTAGAAAAAAGTCATTTTGGAAATCAGCTTATGAAAAAGGTAATATGGGAAAGTAAAACATAAGCAGAAATGATAATAAAATTGATTGGTTAGGTGAAAAGAGTTGAAGGGAAAAAAATGTACAAATTCAGGAAATTGTGTGTACACGTGTGTATTTAAAAAAACCCAAAAACCTTCAGCTAGGCATGGTGACCTATACCTGTGGTCCTAGCTATTCTGGAGGCTGAGGTGGGAAGATCACCTGCAGGAGGTCAAGTCTGCAGTGAACTGTGATCACGCAGCTGCACTCCAGCATGGGCCATACAGCGAGACCCTGTCTCAAAAAAAAATAAAAATAAAAAAATCCCTAAACCAAAAACTTCAAGGAAGGCTATCTTAAAAGCCCATAGATCCTTAGCCAGGCATGGTGGTGCATTCTTGTAGTCTCAGCTACAGGGGAGGATCACTGAGCCCAAGAGTTTGAGCCTAGCCTGGGCTACATAGTAAGACCCCATCTATTAAAAAAAAAAAATTCCCACAGCTCCAAAGGCCTGGCTTCACAGGACTCCTAGCAGACCTGGTTCATTCTATTCAGTAACTATTTTTACTGGCAATTCAGTTCAAGAGTACTGTAACTTGTATGGATGGATCCGCTTAATTTTTACTTCATAATTTATTTAAAACTCTATTATTACTCTCTGTTCATTTTCCTTTGTCATCATCATTACCGCACTCTTCACAGTAGGTGGCAACAGTGCTTCACTCCCAGAATCGACTGAACGGCCTAGAAGTACAAAACAGAGGCAAACATTGAAACAAATTTCAGGATCCTAATTTGGCCAAAAATAAAAGCATTGCCTTATAAGGTCATGTCAGTAATATGCCATTATAATATGCCAATTATGTGCCAAATTGTTATATATTCTACATTCAGTGTTTAGTAAAAATTCATATGTTGAATAATTCATTTTGCCAGTGAATGTCAATAAACCAGGATGTGCTATCTTAAAAATTAATATTCACTTAATCTTTCTTATCATAATATAATAAATTATCTCCTTTATAGTTTAATGTAAAGGTAGGTATTTATTTCTACTTAATTTCACGCGTGCTGGTCATTCAGCAAATGTTTATTATGTCTACTATGACAAGAACTTCATTTCTGCACATGTGCAGAGAAAAGCAGTTATCTGGGTGGTGCACTAAAGACAGATATAATCCAAATTGCACAACATAAGTTGACATTTAAAACATCACTTTAAGGCAATATATGCTATAGAGTAGTAAATTTTAGTTATCCTAACATTTACCTCTTTTTTTTTTTTTTGAGATGGAGTCTTGCTCTGTCACCCAGGCTGGAGTGCAGTGGCGCTATCTCAGCTCACTGCAACCTCCACCTCCCAAGTTCAAGCGATTCTCCTGCCTCAGCCTTTGGAGTAGCTGGAATTACAGGCACATGTCATCACGTCTGGCTAATTTTTGTATTTTTAGTAGAGACAGGGTTTCACCATATCAGCCAGTCTGGTCTCGAACTCCTGACCTCATGATCTGCCCACGTCAGCCTCCCAAAGTGCTGGGATTACAGGCGCGAGCCACCGTGCCCGGCCTAAAGCTTCTTTTAAAATGGCTTATATACTAAATATATACTAAATAGACAATTTTTTAATTTTTTGGTAGAGACAACATCTCACTATGTTGTCCAGGCTGGTCTGAAACTCCTGGGCTCCAGCAATCCTCCTGTCTTGACCTCCCAAAGTGTTGGGATTACAGGTGTGAGCCACTGCATCCAGCTAATTTCAAAGAATATTAAGATCAATGTATAGATGATATATACGTAATGAGTTGCTAGGAAAAAATAGAGGACAGTGTTTTTCAACAAAGCATCTCCATGGTCTGTGGTAGAGCCAAACCTGAGATGCTGAAAGCAGATGTCACATGGAATTAAGTACATTGCTGTATTCACCTAAATATCCTGTTTGCGAATCTTAATACACAACAAAATTACTCCATTAGGACTAACCTTCAGTCATAAGATTCCATATTCCATCTTCCTTATTCCACTTACTCAAAATGAGAACAACCATTGCTTTGTAAATTCATTAGCACCTTAGTAGAATCCAGGCCCATCCCTGGTTAGAGAAATGGCAAAATGAAACCCTAAGTGTAACAAATGAATGACTTTACCACACAAATACTCAACACATGTATTCCCTGTTCTGGCTTCAGTTAGAAAATAAAATGTTTGTGATTTTTGTGTTCATAAAGGGATCTGGAGGCTTAAAAAAAAAGAAAAATGGGCCCTGCACAATGGCTAATGCCTGTAATCCCAGCACTTTGGGAAGCCAAGATGGGAGGATCATTTGAGGCCAGGAGTTCGAGACCAGCCTAGCCAACATGGTGAAAACCCGTCTCTACTAAAAATATAAAAATTAGCCAGGTGGGATGGTATGTGCCTGTAGTCCCAGCTACTGGGGTGGCTGAAGCATAAGAATCACTTGAACCCAGGAGGTTGTAGTGAGCCAAGATCATGCCACTGCACTCAAGCAACGATGTCAGAGCAAGACTGTGTCTTGAAAACAAAACGGAACAAAACAAACAAACAAGACAAATGAAAAATATATCTCTGCTTTAGCTAGTTCCCAAATACCTTTTTTCAAAAGCCTTTTGACTACATCTAATCTAACTATAATACAAATCAGGCTGTGATATTGGGCCAGAGCTAAGAAAAGGATAGTTTTAAAGTACTCCACCATAATCTGTAGTTGACACTTTTTAGTTATGACGACATGAGGTGTTAATATCTGTTTCATAATAATCTGTCCAGTACCACTCATTTAGCCAAATCAAACAACATTGAGATGGCTTTTCAGGTTTTTTTATGCAAAGATTTGCATGACATGCAAGACAATGAAAACAAAGTGTTTAGATATTTTTCACAAATTATCTTAATGTTCTTAAGACATGCAAAGAGAGTGGAACACAGAAGAGGCTCTTCAGAGCATTTAACTTTTTTTTTTTTTTTGAGACAGGCTCTTGCTCTGTCACCAGGACTGGAGCGCAGTGACGCGATCATGGGTCACTGCAGCCTCAACCTCCTGGGCTCAAGCAGTCCTCCCACCTCAGCTTCCTGTGTGTCTGGGACTACTGGCATGTGCCACCATGGCTGGTCAATTAATTTTAAACTTTTTTTTGTGTGTGTGTGGAGATACGTTCTCACTGTGTTGCTCAGGCTGGTTTTGGAACTCCTAGGCTCAAGTGATCCTCCTGCCTTGGCCTCCCAAAGTCCTGGGATTACAGGTGTGTGCCCGGCCTGATTTTTTAAGCAACACAATCAAGTATAAATGATTTCGAATCACTGGAAACAATATGACTCAAAGGACTTTGAAGCTATAATTTTACAGACATGTATACAAGGTCTACAATAATCAGAGCCTTGTGTCTGTTTTACCCTTCCCACAACTCAAAGGAAAGTTGAGGAAAGATCTCAGGAGATGTGCAGGAGCCAGTAGAAATGTGATCTGAGGAACAAGTGCAGACTCTTGCTGAGAAGTAGAGGCAAGGGCAGCACCAAAGAAGCAAAAGTAGGCATCTGTCTAGTCCAGAGGGAAAGACTACAGAAAGAAGACTGGTCAACAAGTCAAGAGCAAGGAGACAAAGAGCAGGCTGGCAAACTAGTATGAGACAAGACAGGGCAAGAAACTAGAGGCTTTTTCCGGAGGGATGCTGCAGGTTTATACACCTGCAGAGAGTAAAGACAGACACTCTGGAAGATAAGAATAGCATCAAACAGTATAAAATGAGGTTGCTGATCTTAAGAAATGGACACTATAGTTGGAGAGACAGGGTTTACACCAATGGAAAGAGAAATAACACCGAACAATAATTCAAGTGGTGTTGCAAAACCTTGTATGATTAGTTAAATACCAAATTATTAGTCAGGGAAGGCTTCAAAGTAGAGAGGAGCTTTGAGTTCAGTCTTTGATGAATGAGAAGAGTTCAAAGAGGTAAAACAAATACGGGGATTAACAGAGTTAATAAAAGGAAGGGGTTCGAAATATATCTGGTATAAGATCAACTAAATGAAATAAAGCATGAAGACAAGATTAGAAAAAAAAGAATGAAAAGGAATGAACAAAGCCTCCAAGAAATATGGGACTATGTGAAAAGACCTAACCTCAGTGATGGGGAGAATGGAACCAAGTTGGAAAACACTCTTCAGGATATTATCCAGGAGAACTTCCCCAACTTAGCAAGACAGACCAACATTCAAATTCAGGAAATACAGAGAACACCACAAAGATACTCCTCGAGAAGAGCAACCCCAAGACACACAATCGTCAGATTCACCAAGGTTGAAATGGAGGAAAAAATGTTAAGGGCAGCCAGAGAGAAAGGTCAGGTTACCCACAAAGGGAAGCCTGTCAAACTAACAGTGGATCTCTTAGCAGAAACCCTGCAAGCCAGAAGATAGTGGGGGCCAATATTCAACCTTCTTTTTTTTTTTTGAGGCGGAGGCTCACCCTGTCACCCAGGCTGTAGTACAGTGGCGTGATCTCAGCTCACTGAACCTCCACCTCCTGGGTTCAAGCGATTCTTCTGCCTCAGCCTCCCGAGTAGCTGGGACTACAGGCACGCAACACCCTGCCTGGCTAATTTTTCTATTTTTAGTAGAGACGGGGTTTCACCATATTGGCCAGACTGGTCTCGAGCTCCTGACTTCGTGATCCACCTGCCTCAGCCTCCCAAAGTACTGGGATTACAGGTGTGAGCCACCACGCTCAGCCTCAACATTCTTAAAGAAAAGAATTTTCAACCCAGAATTTCATATCCAGCCAGACTAAGCTTCATAAGCGAAGGAGAAATAAAATCATTTACAGACAAGCAAATGCTGAGATATTTTGTCACCACCAGGCCAGCCTTACAAGAGCTCTGAAGGAAGCACTAAATATGGAAAGGAAAAACTGGTACCAGCCACTACAAAAACATACCAAATTGTAAAGACCATCGACACTATGAAGAAACTGCATCAACTAATGGGCAAAATAACCAGCTAGCATTATAATGACAGGATCAAATTCACACATAACAATATTAACCTTAAATGTAAATGGGCTTAATGCCCCAATTAAAAGACATGGACTGGCAAACTAGATAGAGTCAAGACCAACTGGTATGCTGTATTCAGGAGACCCATCTCATGTGCAAAGACACACATAGGCTCAAAATAAAGGATGGAGGAATATTTACCAAGCAAATGGAAAGTTAAAAAAAGCAGAGGTTGCAATCCTAGTCTCTGATAAAACAGACCTTAAACCAACAAAGATCAAAAAAGACAAAGAAGGGCATTACATAATGGTAAAGGGATCAACGCAACAAGAAGAGCTAACTATCCTAAATATATATGCACCCAATACAGGAGCACCCAGATTCATAAAGTGAGTTATTAGAGACCTACAAAGAGACTTAGACTCCCACACAATAATAGTGGGAGACTTTAACACCCACTGTCAATATTAGACAGACCAACAAGACAGAAAATTAACAAAGATATTCAGAAATTGAACTCAGTTCTGGACCAAGCGGACCTAATAGACATCTACAGAACTCTCCACCCCAAATCAACAGAATATACATTCTCAGCACCACACCGCACTTATTCTAAAATTGACCACATAATTGGAAGGAAAACACTCCTCAGCAAATGCAGAAGAACTGAAATCATAACAGTCTCTCAGACCACAGCGCAATCAAATTAGAACTCAGGATTAAGAAACTCACTCAAAACCTCACAACTACATGGAAACTGAACAACCTGCTCCTGAATGTCTACTGGGTAACTGAAGAAATTAAGGCAGAAATAAGTTCTTTGAAGCCAATGAGAACAAAGACGCAACATACCAGAATCTCGAGTACACAGCTAAAGCAGTGTTTAGAGGGAAATTTATGGCACTAAATGCCCACAAGAGAAAGTGGAAAAGATCTAAAATTGACACCCTAACATCACAATTAAAAGAACTAGAGAAGCAAGAGCGAACAAATTCAAAAGCTAGCAGAAGACAAGAAATAACTAAGATCAGAGCAGAACTGAAGGAGATAGAGACAAAAAAAAAAAAACCTTCAAAAAATCAATGTATACAGGAGCTGGGTTTTTGAAAAGATTAACAAAATAGATAGACCACTAGCCAGACTAATAAAGAAGAAAAGAGAGAAGAATCAAATAGACACAATAAAAAATGATAAAGGGGATATCACCACTGATCCCAAAGAAATACAAACAACCATCAGAGAATATTATAAACACCTCTATCCAAATAAACTAGAAAATCTAGAAGAAATGGATAAATTCCTGGACACCTACACCCTCCAAATACTAAACCAGGAAGAAGTTGAATCCATGAATAGATCAATAACAAGTTCTGAAATTGAGGCAGTAATTAATAGCCTACCAGCCAAAAAAAGCCCGGGACCAGACGGATTCACACCCGAATTCTACCAGAGGTACGAAGAGGAGCTGGTACTATTCCTTCTGAAACTGTTCCAAACAATAGAAAAAGAGTGACTCCTCCCTAACTCATTTTATGAGGCCAGCATCATCCTGATACCAAAAACTGGCAGAGACACAACAAAAAAAGAAAATTTCAGGTCAATATCCCTGATGAACATCGATGCGAAAATCCTCAATAAAATACTGGTAAACCAAATCCAGCAGCACATCAAAAAGCTTATCCACCACGATCAAGTCAACTTCATCTCTGGGATGCAAGGTTGGTTCAACACGCACAAATCAATAAGCATAATCCATCACATAAACAGAACCAATGACAAAAACCACATGATTATCTCAATAGATGCAGGAAAGGCCTTCAACAAAATTCAACAGCACTTCATGCTAAAAACTCTCAATAAACTAGGTATTGATGGAATGTATCTCAAAATAATAACAGCTATTTATGACAAACCCACAGCCAATATCATACTGAATGAGCAAAAGCTAGAAGCATTCCCTTTGAAAACCGGCACAAGACAAGGATGCCCTCTCTCACCACTCCTATTCAACGTAGTATTGGAAGTTCTGGCCAGGGCATTCGGGTGAGAGAAAGAAATAAAGGGTATTCAAATAGGAAGAGAGGAAGTCAAATTGTCTCTGTTTGCAGATGACATGATTGTATATTTAGAAAACCCCATTGTCTCAGCCCAAAAACTCCTTAAGCTGATAAGCAACTTCAGCAAAGTCTCAGGATACAAAATCAATGTGCAAAAATCACAAGCATTCCTATACACCAATAATCGACAAACAGAGCCAAATCATGAGTGAACTCCAATTCACAATTGCTAAAAAGGGAATAAGATACCTAGGAATATAACTTACAAGGGATATGAAGGATCTTTTCAAGGAGAACTACAAACCACTGCTCAAGGAAATAAGAGAGGACACAAACAAATGGAAAAACATTCCATGCTCATGGATAAGAAGAATCAATATCATGAAAATGGCCATACTGCCCAAAGTAATTTATAGATTCAATGCTATCCTCATCAAGCTACCACTGACTTTCTTCACAGAATTAGAAAAAACTACTTTAAATTTCATATGGAACCAAAAAAGAACCCATATAGCCAAGACAATCCTAAGCAAAAAGACCAAAGCTGGAGGCATAACACTACCTGACTTCAAACTATACTACAAGGCTACAGAAACCAAAACAGCATGGTACTGGTACCAAAACAGATATATAAACCAATGGAACAGAACAGAGGCCTCAGAAATAATGCCACACATCTACAACCATCTGATCTTAGACAAACCTTACAAAAACAAGCAATAGGGAAAGGATTCCCTATTTAATAAATGGTGTTGGGAAAACAGGCTAACCATATTCAGAAAACTGAAACTGGGCCCCTGACTTACACTTTATACAAAACTTAACTCAAGATGGATTAAGGACTTAAACGTGAGACTTAAAAACATAAAAACCCTAGAAGAAAACCTAGACAATACCATTCAGGACATAGACATGGGCAAAGATTTCATGATTGAAACACCAAAAGCAATAGCAACAAAAACCAAAATTGACAAATGGAATCTAATTAAACTAAGGAGCTTTTGCACAGCAAAAGAAACTGTCATCAGAGTGAACAGGCAACCTACTGAATGGGAGAAAATTTTTGCAATCTATTCATCTGACAAAGGGCTAATATCCAGAATCTACAAAGAACTTAAACAAATTTACAAGAAAAAAACAAACAACCCCATCAAAAAGTGGGCAAAGGATATGAACAGACACTTCTCAAAAGAAGACATTTATGTGGCCAACAAACATATGAATCATAAAAAAGCTCATCATCACTGGTCATTAGAGAAATGCAAACAAAACCACAATGAGACACCATCTCATGCCAGTTAGAATGTCCATCATTAAAAAGTCAGGAAACAACAGATGCTGGAGAGGATGTGGAGAAATAGGAATGCTTTTACACTGTTGGTGGGAGTGTAAATTAGTTCAACCATTGTGGAACACAGTGTGGCAATTCCTCAAGGATCTAGAACCACAAATACCATTTGACCCAGCAATTCCATTACTGGGTATATACCCAAAGGATTATAAATCATTCTATAAAGACACATGCACACATATGTTTATTGCAGCACTCTTCACAATAGCAAAGACTTGGAACCAATCCAAATGCCCATCAATCATAGACTGGATAAAGAAAATGTGGCACACATACACCATGAAATACTATGCAGCCATGAAAAAGGATGAGTTCATGTCCTTTGCAGGGACATGGATGAAGCTGGAGACCATCATTTTCAGCAAACTAACACAGGAACAGAAAACCAAACACTGCATGTTCTCACTCATAAGTGGGAGTTGAACAATGAGAACACATGGACACAGGGAGGGGAATATCACACACCGGGGCATGTTGTGAGGTGGGGGTCTAGGGAAGGGATAGCATTAGGAGAAATACCTAATGTAGATGACAGGTTGATGGGTGCAGCAAACCATCATGGGATGTGTATACTTATGTATCAAACCTGCACGTTCTGCGCATGTATCCCAGAACTTAAAGTATAATTTTAAAAAAAGTGAAAAAAAAATATATCTGGTATATTATGGGAAAGTAATTAAACCAACCTGAGAGGTGTATTAATCATGTCTTTCATTTTCTATATTTTGTGAGGCTTTGACATATTGGGGTTTTGTGGATTCAGGGAGGGACTGCCCCTCTCAGGGATAGCAAATTCCTAGAGATAGCAAACAACTTGGCTTTGAGAATGCCTTTGATATACAAACCAACCACACCCCCAGCTCCTCCTTCCATCAGACTCCTGCAGTGTCCTCCTGACCTCAGCCACCCTAGGGCCAGGTACTGGACAACTAGAGACCACCCCTATAGTCCAGAGCCCGCCCAAATTATTCAAGCTATCCAATCCTAAGCCTGCCTAGCTCCTTATCCTGCCTTGCGCATTCCTTCACATGAAAACCACAATAAAGGCTTTTGCCCATGCCTCCTCCTTGCATCTTCTGCTGCCTAACTGACCCTGGTGGCTTCCCCATGTGGCTCTGCATGGAATGGAGTGCCCCCTTCTCTTGAGAGCTGTGAATAACAAATTATCTTTTTCAGTGACAATTGTCTCCTGCCTGACCTGTTGACCTCACCATACCTGAATAAAAACAAAATCCCAGGTACATTTTAGAACGAGAAGTACAGAGAGTTCGTATAGAGCAGTGGTTCTTGAAATGCAGTCTGAGGAACCCTGGGATGCCTGAGACCCGTCAGGGAGTCTGTAAGATCAAAATCATGCACAAGTATCCTCACACAATGCAAAATAGCCAAACGGATTTTAATATAACAGAGCATGGAAAGACCATTGATACGGTTACAGATTCCTCATTGCAGCTAACCTTTGAGAAACTACCATTTTTTGAATATTAGTGTTGTATCGTAGAAAAATATCTATAGCTAACCATAAAGATTTAAACTACTTCTCTCCCTGTTCCAACTACTTATCTGTGAGAGGCCAGATTTTCTTCATATACTTGAACCAAAACAACATGTTTGTAACATATTGAATGCAGAAGCAGATATGAGAATGCAGCTGTATTTTATTAAGCCAAATATTAAAGAGATTTGCGAATGTGAAAGTGATGCTCTTTTCGTGAAATTTGTTGAATTTGGAAAACATCTTTATTTTTTAATAAAACCTATGGTGTTCATGATAATATGTAATATGTTTATTTTTGAATGAATCAATCTTTTCAACGTTTCTCAGTTTTAATTTCAAATATGGTACATATCAACAGATATGATCAATGTAAAAGAAAGCCCTTTGGGGGCCTCAATAATTCTTACAAACAAAGAGAAGTTCTGAGAGCAAAATTATGAGAGCAATTGATACAAAGGAATAACAACAGTCACAACTGGAAAGACTAGGAAGAGCCAAGCTGTGAAACCACTTGAATTGCAAGCTAACATAGGGATTTTTGTTTTAAATCATGGAAATAATGACTTTGAGCAGAGAGATAATATGATGAAAAAACTTTTTAGGACAAAAACTCTAGTATATATGTATATATGTGTGGAATCATTTGAAAAAGTATGTGTATGAGTCTGTTTACTATGTTTTGATGGAGGGAGACATGGTGAGAAACTGGAGAAGCCAGGCAGGAAACTGATGGAACTCTGTAGACACAAGGTAATTGAGGTCTTAATGAAAGGTATAGTGAGGGAATGAAAATATTAGCTAGTATTTGCTGAAATTTGTGAAGTGCTTACTATGTGTCAGGCACTTGGTGTGGATTATCTCATTATCTTCTCAACAATCTAATAATTAACTTTTACAAAGTGCATTTTAAAGATGAAGATAATAAAGCACAAAGATGCTAACGGAAGATAGCAAGTAAGGGATGAAACTAAGATTTGAAGCCGCACAGCCTGACTGCAGAGCCTGGACAGAAGAGTGTCCAGCATAGAGGATGAATCATTTCAGACACCGCTGATTTTTAAATGAATCAATCTTTTCAGTGTTTCTCAGTTTTAATTTCAATTATGGTAAATATCAACAGATGAAATCAACATAAAAGAAAGCTCTCTGGGGGCCTCAATAATTCTTAGAAACGAAGATAATTCCTGAGACTAAAATTATGAAAACAGCTGATAAAAAGGAATAAGAACAGTTAAAACTGGAAAGGCAATGAAGAACCTTTTCATTGAACTTTATGTGACAGTTCATTTCTTTATGTGACAGATGCCTTCAGTGTCCTCCCTGATCCCCTTACTGGGCAGTGCACCCAACCCCAGCCACTGTGAGTACTGGCTGCTCCTGACTCACAGCTGCACCCTTTGAGGGAGTGAGGGGCGTTACCCTTGGCTGACAGGATATGATTAGAAAGCCTGGAAGGCGGCTGGTGGTGGCCCATGGCCAATGAGTCACTGTGCGAGTGTATACTAGCCCAGCCCTCTTGCCTCCAGGCAGGAAAACCTCTGTGTGAAGTGCTCTACTTGCTCCATGCTCTGGCGCTCTCTGTACCTACGCAGGCTGAAGCTGAGCCTAGACATCTCCTGAAACCACACCTTTGACTCGCTTCTTCCCCTTCCCTCACTCCCTTACAATGTCTCAGGAAAGCACTCTCTCAGTAAATCACTTGCACATGAATTCCTGTCTAAGCTCCGCTTCTAGGAACCCAACTAAGACACTGAAAATTCTGTTTTAAAATATCTTTCGGAATTCCTTTTTTTGGTCTCAGCTTTTATAGCTATCTCTGAGATGGATCTATAATGTGGTCACTCATTAACATTTTTGGAATCTGGATCTCTTGAGAAACTCATTAGATATGAGGTGGGGGTTTTAAATTCATTCCAAGTCATAACTGCAGTTAGAACCTTGAGTACTTTATTTTTTTTCTTAATCAAGCCATTCTGGGCACTCTACTCTTCCCTTAGCAGAACAGAATCACTTTGAGTACAGAAACCTCCATATTAGTCATCTTTTTATTTCCTCAGCACCTAGCATAATGTTCTGAACTTTGGAGGCATATAGTAAATGTATTAAATAAAAAGAAAAACACCTTCAGAACTTACTAAATCATTTTACCGTGATTTTTTAAAAAGACATTTTTTAGACTAGTTCTAGGTTCATGGCAAAATTGAACAGAAGGTCAGAGATTTCCCATATACCTCCTGCCATCACACACACAAACTCCCAACTATCAAAATATCCCACCAGAGTGATACATTTTTTACAACTGATGAACTTACATGAACACATCATTATCATCCAAAGTCCATAGTTGACATTACAGTGCACTCTTGGTGTTGCACACTCTGTGGGTTTGGACAAACGTATAATGGCATGGATCCACCATGTAGTGTACTCTGTGTAATATCATATAAAATGTTTTCGTGGCTGTAAAAATCTTCTGTATTCCACCTATTCATCCCTTCCTCCACCAACCCCTGACAACCACTGATCTTTTTTTTGAGACGGAATCTCACTCTGTCGCCCAGGCTGGAGTGCAGTGGCGTGATCTCGGCTCACTGCAAGCTCCGCCTCCCGGGTTCATGCCATTCTCCTGTCTCAGCCTCCCAAGTAGCTGGAACTACAGGCGCCTGCCACCATGCCCAGCTATTTTTTTGTATTTTTAGTAGAGACGGAGTTTCACCATGTTAGCCAGGATGGTTCGATCTCCTGACCTCATGATCTGCCCGCCTCAGCCTCCCAAAGTGCTGGGATTACAGGCGTGAACCACCACACCCAGCCAACAACCACTGATCTTTTGCTGCCTCTACAGTTTAGCCTTTTCCAGAATATCATATAATTGGAATCATGCAGTATGTACAGCCTTCTGAGATTGGCTGTGTCTTTTTCATGGCTTGACATTTCTTTCTTGTATGATCTCGATACTGAAGAAATCTTTCTGAGAATCTAATATAATTATTTTCCTTCATGTGAGTGAGACTCACCTAGAAGAATGTGACAAAACTCAAGTAGAAAGGTCCCATCCCTTCTACCCCTCCTATTCGGGGTCTTGATATTGCAGGGCTGAGGTAAGGTTAGGAATGTGCATTTTTAGCAACACCACAGGAGATTTTAATGCATTAAAATAATTGGGCCACATTTTGAGAAACAGTTGTTAGATATGAGTTCTAAATTTCTTTTCAAAGAGTTAATATGTCAGTATGTTCAATTCTTTGCCTTCTACTTTTAAACTTAACTTCCTCATAAAGCAACCTTTTTCGATCACCTGCTCCACCCTAACTCATTCCGATCACCTGCTCCACCCTAATTCATTCCGATCACCTGCTCCACCCTAATTCATTCCGATCACCTGCTCCACCCTAACTCATTCTGATTACCTGCTACCTGCTCTGCCTTGACTCCCGCCAAAGCACTCACCCTGTCATTCTCTTTAAATTAGCCAATCGGAATTAGTTTACCCTGTGCAGTCTAACCCTAGCCAATAGGGGAACGACACAGAAGCAGGGGCCACGTGCGTCAGGGATAAGAACCCCTTCCCCTCCCTTGTCCAAATGTGTGTTCACCATTGCTCCATCTGTAAGGGCGCACCCTTCTATAGAAGTACCTTGCCTTGCTGAGAATTAACAAGAAAATTTTATATTCGAGTGCTATTTCTTTTGTGGCACCAAAACTTTATATATAACACATTGTTATAAAATATACTTAAACATGACATGAGATACCTATTTCAAACAACACAATAAGAAGATTTGAGATCTAAAGGGCATAGCCTTCTCTCACCATCTCCTACCTATAACTATTATTACCAGAATTACAGGCCAAAATAAGGATCTTAGAACATTTTCAAACTTGCCAAATTTTATTGAGATTACTTTGTTAGTAAACTTGGGAACAATGAAAAACATAATGTTTACGACAAGTCGGCATTTAAATATATGTCCAACATCCTATACGATCTGTCATTAGTCGCCTTCTAACATGCTATTAGGACTCCTACGGACCTTGGTTATCCCACCATACATTAACCACAGTGATTTGTGCAGCCTTCAGGCAATTCGCCTTCCATCCTTTTTTTTTTTTTTTTTTTTTTAAATACAGCAATGAACACTTTTGAAGTGTCTCTGAGGTAAATGACCTCTGCCATCTAGAAAGCACTATTAAAGTGATGTCTGCTCTGGGAAATTGTTGCCACAACATTGTAAATCCATTAGTGATTGGTGACCGTGAAAAAGCAAGAGGTTCTGAACAGTCTCAAAGGGGCTAGTTCTTCATGCTGACAATCAGCGATTTACAGGGGACTATGCTATAAGGGACATCCAAAAGGCTTATGACAGAATCATCCCCAGCTTATTCACAACCCTTATTGCCTTTAGGAACAACCCTAAAACGACTGCAAGTAGGTTAGTCCGGCTACGGCATAGCTATAATAACGGGAGAAAGCTCTTTCACTGTCTCACCAATAAACGTGTAATGGTGTGCCAGGGCATACTTTATTTATGTCAACTGTCAATAAATTGTAAGCATCTGTTCAGCTAACATTGCTTCTTAAATATGACTTTGAAACTGAAGATATGGAAAAGTTCCTCTTTTAGCATAGTGGCATAAGCTCCTAACAGACTGAAACTCCCTCAGATAAAAACATAAAAACCAACTAACTACCTGAGAGTTCTGAAGAGTGAACAAAAGGCAGCACATTTTGGAGGGAAATTAAAACTTGGAAGATGTGACCAGCATGGGTTGAATTTCCTGTTTTCTTGTGGTGTGGCTTCAAGCCTAGACTGCAGACAAAGCAGCTAAGACTGACAGAAAGTCAACCATTTTCTGGCATGAGCAATCAGGGGACAGAACTTGGGGTATCAAGGACTTCCAGATAGTGAGACAGAAATCTCAGAAAGGCAGGGCGTGATGGCTCACACCTGTAATCCCAGCACTTTGGAAGGCCGAGGCAGGCAGATCACCTGAGGTCAGGAGTTCAAAACCAGCCTGGCCAACATCTCTACTAAAAGTACAAAATTTAGCCGGGCATGGTGGTGGACACCGGTAATCCCAGCTACTTGGGAGGCTGAGGCAGGAGAATCGCTTGAGCCCAGGAGGTGGAGGGTGCAGTGAGATGAGATCTTGCCATTGCATTGCACTCCAGCCTGGGTGATAGAGCAAGACTCCGTCTCAAAAAAAAAAAAAAAAAAAAGAAAAAAAAGAAAGAAAAAAGAAAAAAGGAAAGAAAAACGCAAGAGGACAGTATAAAAAGGGAAATTTATAAGGCAATATCATTCATGAATTGAAATGCAAAAACCCTAAACAAACTATTTGCAAATTGAATCCAGCTAAAAAAGAGGATGTATCCTTTTTTAGCTCTTGGGAACTTGGTTAAAAAAGAAAAAAAGAGAGACAGAGGATGTCTCCTTACAAAATTGGGTTTAACGAAATATAATATTTAATTTATATTTTTAACAACTTAATGGAGATATATGATTATCTTCATAAATGCAGAAAATGTATTTGCTAATAACATTTATTTATGATAAAACTCTTAGAAAACTAGGAAGAGAAGAGAACTTTCTAAATTTGACAAGGGTTATATATAAAATAAGACATCAAATGTTATTTGTGAAACAATGAAAGTACACTTTCTAGATCAGGAAAATGACAAGGTTAGCCACAGTAATTATTGCTATTCAACAATGTACTGGCCATCCTAGGCAAAGCAGAAAGGCAGAAAGAAAAGGAATCGAGATTAAAAGGAAGAAACAGAAAGCCCACTATTTTGCAGGTGATATGATTGTCCACATAAAAAACCCAAAATAATCTACGGATTACTGATTGGAATTACCTTTAAAAATTAAGCAAGGTTGCTAGCCACATCAATATTTATACATTGTTTCCATGAGCAAAGTGTTAGTTGAAAAAAAAAGTATACATTGCATTTTTGTAAACCATCAACAAATGCTTCAAAAATAAAAAAAATTTAAAATAATATTTATAACAGCATTAAAGATATTAAATACTTAGGAATAAATATAAGAAGAGTGTTATAAAATCTTTTTTTTTTTTTTAAGACAGGGTCTCACCCTGTCACCCAGCCTGAATGCAGTGGTGAGAACACAGCACACTGCAGCCTCAAATGATCTTCCCACTTTGTCCTCCCATGTAGCTGGGACTACAGGCACACACCACCATGCCTAGCTAATTTTAAAAAATGTTTTTTAGAGAAAGGACCCCACCATGTTGGCCAGGCTGGTCTTGAACTCCTAGGCTCAAAGAGATCCTCCTACCTCAGCCTCCCAAAGTGCTACAGAGCAAGACCCCATCTCTTAAAAATAAATAAATAAATAAATAAATACACAAGTAAAAATGAAATAAAATAATACAATTTAATTTAAAGGCATATTTTTAAAAGACCTTGAAGCCATGAGCCTGGTTAAAAAAACAAAAACAAAAAACAAAAAACAAACAACAACAACAAAACAAACAAAAAAACAACTAAATTAATGGAGAGATGCCATGTTCATGGTTGAAAGACTCAATATTGTAAAGATGCCATTTCTCCCCAAATTGCTCTATAGGTTTTATATAATTCCAATCAATATCCCAGAGTATTTACTTTGTTAAATTTGAACAAACTAATCCTAAACTTTATGTGGAAGAGCAAAGGCCAGTAATAACCAACACCCTCTTAAAGAAAATAAATAAGAAGGAGCATACTTAACCTATCAGTTATAAAATTATTTTATAAAGTTGTAGCAATTAAAATGGTGTGGTGTTGGCTGGGCGTGGTGGTTCGTGCCTGTAATCCCAGTATTTTGGGAGTCTGAGGCGGGCAGATGACCTGAGATCAGGAGTTCTAGACCAGCTTGGCCAACATGATGAAACCCTGTCTTTAGTTAAAACACAAAAATTAGCCAGGGGTGCTGGTGGGCACTGGTAATCCCAGCTACTCAGGAGGCTGAGACAGGAGAATCACTTGAACTTGGGAGGCGGAGGTTGCAGTGAGCCGAGATCATGCCACTGCACTCCAGCTTGGGCAACGAAGTGAGACTCGGTCTCAAAAAAAAAAAAAAAAAATTATGTGGTGTTTGTATAGTGACAGGAAAAAAAGACTAAGGGGCAGAACTGAGAGCCTAGAAATAGACCCTTGCAAATACAGATATTTGATACATGAATGAAATTATCTTGCAAATGAACAAGGAAAGAGTGGTCTTGCCACAAATAGATAAACATATGGGAAAAAAAGAAATTGCACCCCTTCACACCATACACACAAGAAAGACAGATTAGAGACCTAATGGAATAACAATACAATTGAGTTTTCAGAAGGCAAAATTGGTTATCTTTATAACATCATAATGGGGAAAGATTTCTTAAAACAGAGAAGTGTAAAAAATAAGGGGAAAATGGTGAATCAACTACATTTAAGTTTAGAGCTTTTATTCCTCAAAGGACACCATGAAGACAGTGAAAAGACAAACCATAAACTGGGAGAAGATAATTGCAGCACGTATAACCAATAAAGGATTAGTCCAAAATGTATAGAGAATTTTTATGATTTTAAAAATTTATTTATTTATTTTTAATTTTTATTTTTGAGACAGAGTTTTGTTCTGTCTCCCAGGCTGTAGTGCAGTGGCACAATCTTGGCTCAGTGCAGCCTCTGCCTCCCGCTTCAAGCGATTCTCCTGCCTCAGCCTCCCAAGTAGCTGGAATTACAGGCTATTTTTTGTATTTTTAGTAGAGAGGGGGTTTCACCATGTTGGTCAGGCTGGTCTCAAACTCCTGACCTCAGTGACCTGCCCACCTTGGCGTTCCAAAGTGCTGGGATTACAGGCATGAGGCACTGTGCCTGGCTGAATTCCTGTGATTTTAATAAGAAAAATACAAACACTCCAATAGAAAGACGGTCAAAAGAAATGACCAGAAATTTCACCAAACGGAAACAGAAATGGCCCATAAACCTATGAAAAGTGTTTAATCTTTTGGATATCATCATGGACATTTAAAATAAAAGCATTATGAAACCATTTCACAAACCAGATCAAAAAACAAAATCACTAACCAAATATATTTCCTCCCCAGATTCATTCCTTGTGATGCAACTGCTTTGATTTTCATTAAAAATTCAACATTGTCTTCGATTCCCTTCCTCATATATAGGTGGGAAGAAATTCACTTCATAGAATGATTCTTGCTGCCTTCCCTGTTTATAGCTCTTCTTGATTGCTAAATGGAAAAAGTGTGGCCAATGCACCATGATGACTTTTCTTTCTACTTTTATTTTTTTTTTTTCTCCACACAGAGTCTGGCTCTGTTGCCCAGGCTGGAGGGCAGTGGCACCATCTCGACTCACTGAAGCCTCCATCTCCTGGCTTCAAGTGACTCTCCTGCCTCAGCCTCCTGGGTAGCTGGGATTACAGGCATGTGCCACCATGCCCGGCTAATTTTTGTATTTTTAATAGAGACGGGGTTTTACCATGTTGGCCGGTCTAGTCTCGAACTCCTGACCTCAGGTGATCCGCCTGCCTTGGTTTCCCAAAGTGCTGGAATTACAGGGCATGAGCGAGGGTGCCTGGCCTGTTTTCTTTCTACTTTTCAGCCATATCTTTGCACCACACTTATTTCTATGTTGATGGCATTTTCTTATTTAAGCACTTACAGCTATATTAACAATGAGCACCTAATAAAGTTAGGTTTATTGTTTAGTTGTAATTTTTTCTAATATGCTGGGAGACTAACCACATTGGAAATCAAATTTCAACTAGAGTTTTGGGAGACTAACCAGACCATGTGAATCCCAGAACTTTAGGAAGCCAAGGAAGGCAGATAACTTGAGGTCAGGTGTTTGAGACCAGCCTGGCCAACATGGTGAAACCCATTTCTACTAAGAATACAAAAAAACTAGCTGGGCATGGTGGCAGATGCCTGTAATCCCACCTACCGGGGAGGCTGAGGCAGGAGAATCATTTGAACCCGGGAGGCGGAGGTTGCAGTGAGCCAAGATCACGCCACTGTACTCCAGCCTGGGTGACAGAGGGAGACTCCATCTCAAAATAAATAAATAAATAAATAAATAAATAAATAAATAAATAAATAAATACAATGAAGTTTCATAGAGGGACAACTTCAGGTCACTGGCATCTTAATTTGAATTCGTTTATTAAGCAATTCTCTTCCCAAACAGAAAGTATGGCAGCGTGGAGTCTGAAATGGAATCGAGGTAAAGGAGGTGTGGGTAGTAAAATGAGGGAAAGAGAATCAAGAAGCAAGTGTGGGAAGCACAGCAGAGCACAAGCTTCACCATTTGCTTAGCCCTACTGTCGAGTCTTATGGTCAGGTGGTGCATTGTATTGTCTCTCCTAATAATCCCTATGAAAATATTACAGATGAAATAAGTTAAAAGACATTTAAGTGTTAGTTTTATTTGGGAAAACAGAGGTAGGTTGCCAGGATATGAATTCTTCTTGGGGGAGGATGCTGGAATCTCCAGGCATTATTGTTTTGCAAACTTTTGGATAATATTTTGTGTTTAGTCATGTAGTACACCAGTTTTCTCAATGAGAACAAATCCTAGTCTTCATTAGCCAAATTCTCTTCTACGGAGAAACCTCTTCCTGATGTTACATCATAATTGTAGTGGCATGTGCACATGATGATACATTAAGACTTTGAAACAGAACCTTAGGTCAGGTTGCTCAGAAGAGATTATTCCTGATAGAGCAAGGTATCCTGATTATAGACTCTTAAGTCCCTGTACACCCTGGTCTTTTGTTCTGGCTCTCAAAGCAAGTTGCTTTCTTGCATATATACCAGTTTTCTGCAAATGGTAAGTGGGTTGGTTTTCATTTTGCCATTTTATTTTAAAATATCAAACCTACAGCACACAACTGGATATTAAGAATCAGACCGGGATCATATATCATCAAAAGTAATCCTAGGGTTCCATATTTATTCCATAATATACACCGACGAATCAAAGTTAAACCATCTGTCATTTTCAAAAAAGGGTTCACATCCATTTTTATATTGCATTCAAAACAAAAAATTCAAAGCTTACAATTTGACCTATCCACAGCAAGTCATAATATTGAAAACATAAGTTTCATTATTTCATGCTAGCTTCATAGCTAACTTGGAACAAAGTCCGAATGCATTAACAGGGGAATATCTCTCAATGTCCATACCTACCACAAGCTGATTCTGACCCTAGTTATCAGAGAGACATAATATGTTTCCAAACTTCTGGGACTATCTTATTTTCTGGATTCAGGTTCTCATGATACGTTCAGCTAAACTAAATTGTAAGTAAGTAGCAAAATCACCAACTCATTTTCTATCACTAAGTATTAAGGCAATAAAGTAAGTTAAAGTTTTTCTTTTTTAACCGAAATTACATGTATTCCCCTTTCCTTAAGTGTAATCCCAAGTAAGTTCAGACTCCTTCACTTTCTCCCCAGATTTTGCTTTATTTAGACTTTCAAGATTACATTTGCACTCAAGATTACATAATGCACTTTCTGCACTAATGTTATTGATCTGACAGTGATATATTTGATGAAAAGGGCTCACTTTTTAACATCTAAATGTTTTTGGTAAATCTTTATTAAGATATAATCACATACAATCTACCTACTTAAAGTATACAATTAAATGGTTTTTAAACCTACAGCATACAGCTGGATATATCACAGATATATGCAACTATCACCACAATCAATTTTTGAACATTTTTATCACCCTAAGAAGACCCTGTACCCTTTAGCTTTTACCCCTCAATCTTCCCACTCCTTGCTCCCACAATAGATAACCACTAATCTACTTTCTATCTCTATAGATTTGCCTATTCTGGATATTTCATATAAATGGAATCATATAATATGTGGCCTTTTGTGACTGGCTTCTTTCACTTGACATAATGTTTTCTTTCTCTCTCTCTCTCTCTCTCTTTTTTTAAGACAAGGTCTTGCTCTGTTGCCCAGGCTGGAGTGCAGTGGTACAATCATACTTACTGCAGACTCAACCTCCCAGGTGCAAGTGATGCTCCTGCCTCAGCCTCCTGAGTAGCTGGGACTACAGGCTCATGCCACCATGCCTGGCTAATTTTTAATTTTTTTTTGAAGAGGGGTCTTGCTATGTTGCCCAGGCTGGTCTCAAACTCTAGGCCTCAAACAATCATACCCCTTGGGCTTCCCAGAGTGCTGGAATTACAGGCCTGAGCCACTGTGCCCAGCCAGCATAATATTTTCAAGGTTCATCTATGTTGTCATATGTATCAGTATTCTTTTTTATGGCCAAATAATATTTCATTGTGTGGATACATCATGTTTTGTTTATTCATTCATTAATTGTTGGACATTTGGGTTGTTTCTACCTTTTGGCCGTTATGAAAATCGCTGCTATAAACATTCAGGTACAAGTTTTTGTGTGGACATATGTTTTTATTTTCATTCATTGTATACCTAGGAGTGGAACTGCTCCATGGTAGCTTTCGAGCCAGGCTGTTTTTCAAAGTAACAGAACAATCACATTCTCACCAGCAGCGTATGAGGGTTCTGATTTCCCTACATCCTCACCAAAACTTGTATTTATCTGTCATTTTGATTGTAACCGTTCTAGTGAGTATGAAGTGGTATGTCATTGTGGTTTTGCCAACTAATGATGTCAAGCATTTTTTCAAATGTTTATTGGTTGTTTGTATATCCTCTTTGGAGAATTGTCTTAAGATCCTTTGTCCATTTTTAAATTGGATTACTTATCTTTTTATTATTTAATTGTAGGAGTACTTTATATATTCTAGATACAAGCCCTTGTCCAATCTTGTCCAATGTATGAATTGTTAGTATTTTCTCCCATTCCGTGAGTTGTCTTTGCACTTTTTCTTGAGACAGGGTCTTACTGTCACCCAGGCTGGAGTTCAGTGGCACAATCACAGCTGACTGCAGCCTTGACCTCCTGGGCTCAAGTGATCCTCCCACCTTAGCCTCCCAAGCATCTGGGACTACAGGCACACACCACCAAGCCCAACTAATTTTTTTTTTTTTTTTAGAGCTGGGATCTCACTATGCTGCCTGGGCTGGTCTTGAACTCCTGGGCTCAAACGATCCTCCTGCCATGGTCTCCAAAAGTGCTAGGATTACAGGTATGAATCATTGCCCTTGGCTCACTTTCTTGACAGTATCCTTTGACACACCAATGTATTTAATTTTGACAAACCTCAATTTATCTATTTTTGTTATTTTTCTTGCTCATGCCTTTAGTGTCGTATCTAAGAAAATGTTGCAGAATCCAAGGTCATGAAGATTTACTCCTATCTTCTCCTCTAAGATTAGGAGATTTTAGCTCTTAGGCCAGGCCTGGTGGCTTATGCCTTATAATCCCAGCACTTTGGGAGGCCGAGGTGGGCGGATCACCTGAGGTCGGGAGTTAGACCAGCCTGACCAACATGGTGAAATGCCATCTCTACTAAAAATACAAAATTAGCTGGGTGTGGTAGCACATGCCTGTAATCCCAGCTACTTGGGAGGCTGAGGCAGGAGAATTGCTTGAACCCAGGAGGCGGAGGTTGTGGTGAGCGGAGATCGTGCCATTGCACTCCAGCCTGGGCAACAAGAGCAAAACTCCGTCTCAAAAACAGAGAAGATTTTAGCTCTTACATTTTATAATTTTGACATTAATGTTTAGGTGTTTGATCCATTTTTAGTTAAGTTTTGTATAGTATGAGGTAGGAGTCGAAAATAATTCTTTTGCCTGTGGCTATACAGTTGTCCCATTGTTGTTTGTTGAAAAGACTATTTTTCTCCATTAAATTGTTTTGGGATCCTTGCAGGCAGGTAATAACTGTAAATGAGAGGGTTTAGAGTAAATTCTCAGTTCTATTCCATTGATCTCTATGTCTGTCCTTATGCCAGCATCACATTTTTTGGGGGGGGTCTTACTCTGTCACCCAGGCTGGAGTGCAGTGGTGTAATCTCAGCTCACTGCAACCTCCATCTCCTGGGTTCAAGCAATTCTCCCACCTCAGCCTCCTGAGTAGCTAGGACTACAGGTGCATACCACCATGACCACCTAATTTTTGTATTTTTTGGTAGAGGTGGGTTTCACCATGTTGGCCAGGCTGGTCACAAACTCCTGACCTCAAGTGATCCACCCCCCTCAGACTCCCAAAGTGTTAGGGTTACAGGAGTGAGCTACCATGCCTGGCCGCACGTTGTCTTGATTACTGTTGCTTTGTAGTAAGTTTTGAAATTGGGAAGTCCCCCAACTTTGTTCTTCTTAAAAGATTGTTCCAGCTATTCTGGGTCCCTTGAGTTTCCATATAAATTTTAGGGTCAGTTTGTTAATTTCCACAAAGATGCCAGCTGGATGCTGAGAGTAATTGCATTAAATCTGTAGATCGGTTTGGAGATTATTGCCATTTTTCTTAGTCCTGTTTAGTGTTGCTGTCACTGAATGCTGGGTAACTTGAAAAGAGATTTATTTGGCTTATGATTCTGGTGGATGAAAAGTTCAAGATTTGGCAACTGCATCTGGTGAGGGCCTCATGCTGCTTCAACTCATGGTAGGAAACAGAAGGGGCATAGGTATGTGCAAAGAGATCATGTGGCAAGAGACGAAGCAAAAGATAAATGGAGGAAGCCAGACTCTTTTTAACAACCTGCTTTCCTAGGAACCATTCCACTCCTGGGAGAGTGAGAATTCACTCATTCTTATGAGAGGGCATTAATCTATTCATGAGGGATCTTCCCCTGTGACCCAAACACCTCCACTAGGTCCTGCCTGCCAACACTGCACACTGGAAATCAAATTTAAACTTGAGTTTTGTCAGGATTGCCACATCCAAACCATAGCACCATCTTAACAATATTAAATCTCCTGATCCGTGAATATGGGTTGTTTTTCCACTCACTTAAATCTTCTTTAATTAATTTCAACAGTTTTGTAGGTTTCAGAATTTAAGTTTTTCACTTCTTTCATTAAATTCATTCCTAAGTATGTTATTATTTTCAATGCTATTATGATGGGATTGTTTTCTTAATTTCATTTTCAGATTGCTTACTGCAAGTTAGAAGAAATACAATTGATTTTTGCATATCGATCTTACATCCTGCAAACTTGCTGAACTCATTTATTAGGTCCAATAGTTTTTTAGTGAAAATTTTAGGACTTTCTATATACAATATCTTGTTATCTGAGAATAGATTTAGTTTTACTTCTTTTCCAATCTGCCCCGGCTAGAATCTCTAGTACAATGTTGAATAAAAGTGGCAAGAGTGGATATCCTTGCCTTGTTGCTAATCTTATGGTAAAATCATCTAGTCTTTTACCATTAAATACAATGCTAGCTGTGGATATTTCTTTTGTTTTTTTTTTTTTTTTTTGAGGCGGGGTCTTGCTCTGTGGCCCAGGTTGGAGTGCAGTGGCACCATCTTGGCTCACTGCAACCTCCGCCTCCCAGTTTCAAGCTATTCTTATGTCTCAGCCTCCCAAGTAGCTGGGATTACAGGGTGGGGGCCACCACATCTGGCTAATTTTTTTGTATTTTTCATAGAGACGGGGTTTCGCTGTGTTGTCCAGGATGGTCTTGAACTCCTGACCTCATGTGATCCACCTGCCTCCACCTCCTAAAGTGCTGGGATTACAGGCATGAGCCATTGTCCTCAGCCAGCTGTGGATTTTTCACTGATGCCCTTTGTGAGGTTAAGGAAGTTCCCTTCGGCTTGGTGCAGTGGCTCACACCTGTAATCCAAGCACTTTGGGAGGCCAAGATAAAAAGATTGCATGAGCCCAGGAGTTTGAGACCAACCTGGGCAACAAAGTGAGACCTTGTCTCTACAAATAATACAAAAGTTATCTGGGCATGGTGGCATGTGCCTATGGTCCCAGTTACTCAGGAGGCTGAGGCAGGAGGATTGCTTGAGCCCAAGCAGTCAAGGCTGCAGTGAGTTATGATTGTGCCACTGCACTCCAGCTTGGGTGACACAGTGAGACCCCATCTCAAAAAAAAAAAAAAAAAAAAAGGTTTTCTTCTATTCCCAGTTTATTAGGTTGTTTTTTTAAAATCATGAAATGGTGTTGAATTTGATAAATATTATTTCTGTATTTATTGAGATGACAATTTTTTCCTCTTTATTCTATTTATATGATATATTACATTGGCTAATTTTCATATGTTGAACCAACCTTGTATTCCTGGGATAAATTCCACTTGGTCATGGTATATAATCCTTTTTATATGCTGCTGAATACAGTTTTCTAGTTTTTACTGAAGATTTTTTTCTCTTTATTTATAAGGGATATTGGAAAGTATATTATAATTTTATATGTATAGGCCCAATGACATATTTTATACATATACTTTACATATACACATACAATTAAATATGTATTTATGCATTTTACGTATGTTTATGGGCACAACTATATAATTGCTTTTAAATCTGTTAGGTGAAGAATTTAGAAGAAAAGAACGTGTTTAATGTTTTGTGGTTTTCTCTGAATTTCCTACTTAGAATTCAGAAAAATATTCAGATATATTTTCTTTTAGATTACTATGATTTCATTATTTCCACCTTTTTTATTTTAAAGAGACAGGGTCTCACTCTGTCACCCAGGCTGGAGAGCAGTAGCACAATCCTAGCTCATGGCAGCCTCAAATTCCTGGGCTCAATTGATTCTCCCCTCAGCCTCCCAAAGTGCTAGGATTACAGGTTTGAGCCACCATGCCTGGCCAATTATTTCCACCATTAACTCTGATCCCCAGAATTCATTTTAATGTTTTGTCAAAAGTAATGAATTTTTTTTTCAAATTGCTAAGCAACTATCCCAGATAATTCCTCCTTTTCCCTCTTTCATCATGTAATAAAGTACATGTAAAAAGGTGTGTGTCTCCATCATATTGTTGGTGGTACATATCTGATGTTTTCTTCCTTATTTCCTTTAAAGAACTGCTCCTTCATTTTCCACCAAATTCTGGTGTAGCTGCCAATCATTTTGCCACCACCAGGACTGGATGTAGGGATGCACATATGGTAGCTTGGTCCAAGTGATAGGTATAGGACACAAGCAAGGCTAAGAACACTTCTCTGTGATTAAATGTATACTTTTTCAGAAAACAAGGAGTTCTCTCTAAGATTGTTAACTTGAACAGTGTCATTCTTATTTCCTGTAAAATAGTAGCTGTATTGGAGGTTTGATCAGACTGAGGTTCTATATTTTTTAGGTAGGCTTCTTCTGTTAGTTCATGATGGATGTAAATGGTGATATATTAGTTTTATCATTCCTTTGTCATATATTAGCTTGAATATTTCTTTAAAGAGAAACTTCCTTCCACCGATTGTGGTATAATTACAATGTGCAAATCAAGAATCAATTTAGGCTTTAATTTTATGAGGCAAACACCTAGGGAGAGTCTATCCATTGCTAGAGGCCAATTTTAGCCTAAAGGATGCCTGTCAAACATATAGAGACACTGCAGAATACCCAATTTCACAGTGATCATGAGAACTGACATTCCACTTCCAATTTATTCATTCTAGAGCAGAATCAAAGTCCCTGATTGGCCCTCAGTTGGCTTACATTCCTGAATAATTGGGAGTTTCCAGAAAAAAGTATTAGATTGAGGATAAGGTGATGGTTAGCAATCTCCAAAACTTCTGTATTTATCTTTAGCTGACTACATCTAAAATGCCTAACTCCCAGATCAACTTCTACAACCAGTAATTAGGAACCAAGTAATTTGGACCAGCTCTTCTGAGGACAACCTGAAAGGCTGGACAAATGCCCAAACCAAACCAAACTTTAAAATTTTTGCTTGAAGACATCAAAGATCAAATAAAATAAGACTTTTAGGGCAATATTTGAGAGAAGTGGAAAATCCAGAAAGGTAAGCTTGTCTCTCTTTTTTTTTTTTTTTTTGAGATGGAATCTCGCTGTGTCTCCCAGGATGGAGTGCAGTGGTGCGATCTCGGCTCACTGCAAGCTCACCTCCCAGCTTCACGCCATTCTCCTGCCTCAGCCTCCCAAGTAGCTGGGACTACAGGCACCCGCCACCATGCCCGGCTAATGTTTTGGATTTTTAGTAGAGACGTGTTAGCCAGGATGGTCTCGATCTCCTGACCTCGTGATCCGCCCACATCGGCCTCCCAAAGTGCTAGGATTACAGGCTTGAGCCACCGCACCCGGCCAGCTTGTCTCTTTTTACAGTGACTTTTCCCCCAGGGACATTTGCTAATTAGAGAAGAGAAGCCAAGAGTCTGATCAGTGCTTTCAATAACCTCATGGAGTTAGGATAGTAAAAGTTGAAGTCTAAGACCTGCAAGTAGCAGAGTAGCTATGGTAAACCTATGAACCCCAAAAGGCTGAGCCATGGAAACACTGGTGAACAGGAAATAGATTAGTTCTCACAGGAACTAGTTTTACATAGTCCCAATCTGCAGAATGTGATTGTTTATTCATAGTTGCTAGCGTCTCACAGCTTGCCTGAAGGTAAATAAATACACTATGCAGTAAGGTGATTTGTTTTTTGTTTTTGTTTTTTTTTTTGAGACGGAGTTGTGTTCTGTTGTCCGGGCTGGAGTGCAGTGACGCAATCTTGGCTTACTGCAACCTCCAGCTCCTGGGTTCAGGCGATTCTCCTGCCTCAGCTTCCCAAGTAGCTGGGATTACTCGCATGCCACCATGCCCAGCTAATTTTTGTATTTTTAGTAGAGATGGGGTTTCGCCATGTTGGCCAGGCTGGTCTCCAGCTCCTGACCTCAAGTGATCCGCCTGCCTCACCTCCCAAAGTGCTGGGATTACAGGCCTGAACCACCGCGCCCAGCCACAGTATGGTGGTATTATCCTAGACATCAAATTATTTTTATAAACATTTTCAGATACAATGTCCAGTATACAATAAAAGAACCAGGTACCCAAGGAGACATGACAATACAATTGAGAACCAGCAGAAACAATAAACAACAGAAACAGACTCTCAAGGTTTATTAGAGTTATCAGAAATAGACTTTTTTTATTTTTTATTTTTTGAGACAGAGTCTTGCTTGGTTCACTGCAACGTCCACCTCCCAGGCTCAAGTGATTCTTGTGCCTCAGCTTCCCAAATAACTGGGATTACAGGTGTGCACCACCATGCCTGGCTAATTTTCATATTTTTAGTACAGATGGGGTTTTGCCATGTTGGCCAGGCTGATCTCTAACTCCTGGCCTCAAGTGATCCGCCTGCCTTGGCCTCCCAAAGTGCTGGGATTACAGTCATGAGCCACAATGCCCTGCCAGAAGTGGATTTTAGAATAAGTATGTTTACCATGCTCAAGAAGGTAAAAAGACACGATTGGTAGCTTTGGGAGCTATAGAAAATAAAAGACTTGAAAATCTTACCAAATATAATCCTATAAATGAAAAGTGAATAATTAAAATTAAAACTTAGATTCGACATATTATGTAAAAGAAACTATTGAGAATGAAGCACAAAAAGACAAAAGGATGGAAAATATAGGGCAAATGGTTAAGAATGATAAAGGATAACATAGGTATAGATGAAGTCCCAGAAGAAGAGGAGAGAGACTGAGGGTTAGTATCTGAATAGATAATAGCTGAGAATTGTCCCAAAACTGATGAAAAATAAGTTAAAAATTCAAGAATCTCTAAAAGCTCTAAACAGGATAAACCAAAAAAAATCTACCCTTAGGCCCATCACAGTAAAATTTATAAACATATAAGTAGAAAATATTAAAAATCAAGTGGGATGAGGAGAAGCAGCCAGAGGGGAAAAATAGATTACCTTCAACGAGCAATAATTACATTAAGAGCCAACAGCTAACCTCCCAACAGAAACAGTAGAAGCCCGAAGACAATGGTAATGAAGGCAGTTAAAAAAATAATAATGACCAAGTAGAAATCTGTACGCAGTCAAAGTATTCTTCGAGAATGAAGGGGAAATAAAGACATTTCAGACAAATAAAAACTGGGAGAATTAGTAACTTGCACATCTACATTAAAGGGAATACCACAGAGGTTTTTTGTTGTTGTTTTAAGAGAGGGTCTCACTGTGTCTTCCAGGCTAGAGTGCAGTTGTGTGATCATAGCTCACTGCAGCTTCCAGCTCCTGGGTTCAAGTGATCCTCCTGCCTCAGCTTCCTTTGCAGCTGGGACTACAGGCACTCACCACCGAGCCTGACTGATTTTTAAGTTTTTTGTAGAGACAGAATCTTACTATGTTGCCCAGGCTGGTCTCAGACCCCTGGCCCCAAGTGATTCTCCTGCCTTGCCTCCCAAACTGCTGGAATTACCAAAGGCATGAGCCACTGTGCCTGTCCCAGGATATTCTGTAGGTAGAAAAAGAATGATCCCAATTGGAGTGAAAGCAGTAAAATTAAAACATTTGGATAAATCTAAATGAGTATTTCCTGCACAAACAGTAATAATAATGACATTCAGTCTTTAAAATATGGAAAAATACAGAACAATAGTATATTAGGAGAAAGAAAAATATTGTTAAAGTGTTCAAAGGTTCTAACACTTTCTGGAAAAAGGGTAAACATATTAATAAACATCAGATTTTGTTAAATCACAAATGCCTGTTATAATAATTATGGTAACCACTAAAAACATAATAAAATAGCAAATACTTTTTTAGTTAATCATGGGTCAAGAATAGGGAGATTAGGTTTATCTAATAACTAGAAATATGATTAAGCAAGAGAAATTTTAATGAAAAATACATATTTCAGAAGACACGAACTCATTTTAGGTAATCAAAATCTTGAATAACTGGCACTTATTTAGCATTCTACTTTTCATTTATGGCTATTTCACCTTTTCATTATAATTTCTGAGAAGTCAACTGTTTCCCAAAAGATTTGTTTAAAAATATCTAACTTCATGCATTTTATTCGCAACCAAAAATAAAATGGAATTAAACATGTGCAAAGTAACTGAATGCCAAGTAACCAGTTATGCAGCCAGCTCATTTACACTGAATTAGTAATTTGTTCAAACAATCTGCAATTTATGTTAAAGAAAGATTATCTTATGTTATACATTTACATAATGACATAAATGTCTCATTCTTCTTTGTAAATGTTATTATTATCTTAAGTTTTCATTTTTCCCACTATTAGCCTGTTAGAGTAATCCATCTAACGTCATTTTCATTATACATTTGCTGGCATTGTAGTTGGGAGAATATTCAACTTAAAAATTAAATAAGTACTAAAAACACATAGGATTCCCTTGGCTTCAACAATATGTGTGATATTCTGCATAAAATTACAGTCATCCTTCGGTATTCATGGGGAATGGGTTCCAGGACCTCCCACAGATACCAAAATCTGCTGATGCTCAAGTCCCTTATGTAAAATGGTGTAGTATTTGGAATAACCTATGCACGTCCTCTCATATACTTTAAATCATCTCTAGGTTACTTATAATACCTAATTCAATGTAAACACCATGTAAATGGTTGCTATACTATGTTGTATAGGAAATAATGACAAGAAATAAAGTCTGTACATGGTCAGCACAGATGCAATTAAAATAAAAATTTCCATCCACAGTTGGTTGAATTCACACATTCAGAACCTAGAGACATGGAGGGCAGACTGTATATATTAAAGATTAGACATCCACTGTGATATATTTAGTTTTAAAATATAAATAGGCTGTTATGCTTTCTAAAGTTTTATATCTTTTTAGTGTAATTTTGTTTTTATAAAATCTTCTTAATAAAAAAAATTTTTTTTTTTTTGACAGGGCATCACTTTGTCACCCAGGCTGGAATGCAATGGCTCAATCTTGGCTCACTGCAACCTCTGCCTCCTGGGCTTAAGTTATCCTCCCACCTCAGCCTCCTGAGTAGCTGGGAGTACAAGGGGGTGCCACTGTCACTGGCTAATTTTTTGTATTTTTAGTACAGATGGAGTTTCACCATGTTGCCCAGGTTGGAATTGTAATCTTAATAGTAAAATATTTGTGAAGTATGTTGCATTCTTTTTTCCCTATATTGCAGAGAGTAAACATTGACTTGTGTATTAATCAGTGTTTTCCAAAGAAACAGAACCAACAGGATATATATAGATTGAAAGGTAGATATACAGGTTGAATATCCCTTACTTGAAATGCTTGGGAACACAAGTGTCTCAGATTTTTTCTGATTTTGGAACATTTACATATACATAATGTGATATCTTGGGGATGAAACCCAAGTCTAAACATAAAATTCATTTATGTTTCATAAAGACCTTATACACATCACCTAAAGGTAATTTTCTACAATATTTTAAATAATTTTGTGTAATATTTTGACTGTGTTTTGACTGTGACTTGTCACATGAGGTCAGGTGTGAATTTTCCACTTGTGGTGTCATGTGAACACTCAAAAAATGTCAGATTTTGGAACATTTTGGATTTCAGATTTTCAGATTAGGGATGCTTAACCTGTATTAGAGGAGATTTATTTGGGGAATTGGCTCATGCAATTATGGAGGCGGAGAAGCCCCACAGTCTGCCATGTGCAAGCTGGAGAACCAGGAAAGCCAGTGGTGTAATTCCGTCTGAGTTTAAATGAGAACCAGGAGCTCCGAGAGAAGATGGATGTCCCAGCTCAAGAAGAGAGAGCAAATGTGTCCTTCCTCCACCGTTGTGTTCCACTTGGCCCTAGGTGGTTTGGATAATACCTCACCACACCGGGCAAGGCAGATCTTCCTTATTCAGTCTATAGATTCAAATTCTGGAAACACCCTCACAGACACATCTAGAAATAAATAATAATGTTGTTTTTTGAGACAGAGTCCCGCTGTGTCGCCCAGACTGGAGTGCAGTGGTGTGATCTCAGCTCACTGCAACCTCTGCCTCCCAGGTTCAAGCGATTCTCTTGCCTCAGCCTCCCGATTACAGGCCTGAGCCTCCCTGCCTCAGCTGGGATTACAGGCGCATGCCACCACGCCCGACTAATTTTTTTGTATATTTAGTAGAGACGGGTTTTCGCCATGTTGGCCAGGCTGGTCTCAAACTCCTGACCTTAGGTGATCCGCCTGCCTCGGCCTCCCAAAGTGCTGGGATTACAGGCAGGAGCCACCATGCCTGGCCGCAGGATAATGTTTTATCAGCTATCTGGATATCACTTAACCCAGTCAGGTGGACACATAACACAGCTTGGTTATTTTCATTTGTTCTGAATCCGTGTCTAGCCAGTTAATTTTATGCATATAGTTGGAGGCCTCAATCATTAGCTAGGATGATCTGAGGGAAATGGGACATTTTACTGATAGTCTAGACTGCATATATTCACCAGATAATTGTCAACTCTCTGAAATAGGTAGACCTAAATTTCAGTTTGATCTTGATTTCAGTTTGACTTGCTTTTGTCAACTCAATTTACTTCTCTAGGCTTTTTAGTTTTCCTCTTTGCAAATTGTCCTTGCCTATAATGAGTAATTTGGTCTCTTGTTGAAAAGGATTTTGGTGACTCCAAAGTATTATTATTCTTCTTCATTGGAATACTCATATCTAAAAGTTTTGGCTGAAAAAGAGCCCAAGTGTTTCCCTGAGCATATTAAGAGCCTCCCCACAAATTCAGGCCTCAACATAAAGCATATGCAGAGCCCAGCAGCCTCTCAAAATAGTCGAGTGAGCCTGTGAAGTTTGTCGTCTTATTGTTCATTGTTTCCTGAGCGTGTCTGTAAGAGGCTGCTTTTCCAGCATTCCCTGCTAACATTTCTTTCTGCTGTCATGGCATCTTTCCACCCAGCATTTTGTTTATTGTGAGTCAGAAAAGCATCTACAATAGAGAACTTAGTTTATCCCACTAGAAACTTCAGGCCAAGAGCTGAAGTGCCAAGGAAATTCTGGAATGAGCAAAGCCTAGACATGAGTAGCTGCTAAACAACATCAATGTATATTTTATTATGTCCAAAGACTTAGGTGACTTCTACCTGCGCAATCAAGGAGTCAGGCTCTGCACAAGAGTGAAACTTGCAGAACCAAGAAGTAAACTAAATGCTAAAAATAGATTAATTCAAATAATACCACTAGATTAGGAATATATGTAAATCACTAAAATTTGAGTTTTATAGTCACTGTCAAAAGAATTTTTAATAGTAAAAACTGTTGAATTTTTCTCGATGAAAAAGAGAGGGCCAGGTCAATAAAGGTCACTGCAACAGCACTGTAAATAAAAGAAATAAAGAAAAAAGCACCATAGGCATTAGGTCTAGGAAAAGGTCAAATCTGTCCTATGAGCGTGTAGGGGATTAAAAAAAAAACCAAAAAGAATTCCAAAAGTGAGACTTTCGAAAGTGCCAGGATAAGAAATATTGTACATACGTTTGAAGGATTAGGTCACAAAAGTGCTCTAATAGTGAGAATGGAGAAGAAAAAAGGGTTTGAGGAAATAGAAAACAGAATCAATGGACAGTATATAAAAAGAGAAAGGCTGGGTACGGTAGTTCATGCCTGTAATTCCAGCACTTTGGGAGGCCAAGGTGGGAGCATCACTTGAACCCAGGAGTTTGAGACCAGCCTGGGAAACATAGTGAGACTTTGTCTGTAAATTTTTTTTTTTTAAATTAGCCAGGCATGGCGGCACGTGTCTGTAGTCCCAGCTACTTGGAAAGCTGAGGTGGGAGGATTACTTGAGCCGCAGGCTGCAGTGACCGTGATCACACTACTGCATTGCAGCCTAGGCGATAGGGTGAGATCCTGTCTCAAATTAAATAAATAAGTAAATAATAAAAAGAGAAAGATATGAAGAGAGAAAGGACAAAAAAAGAGATTTAAACACACATAAGTATACTGACGAGAAGTGTACATTCTTAGTGATTTTGCAGTGCTTTGGCTGCTGTGATTTACAAGATGCCTTGAACAATGATCATATCCTGGAATTTCATCTTCTATAATGTCTGTTTATGGAAGAAGGAGTTTGCTAAGTAAGCATGCAGGGTCCGCTTGGAGCATACTAACAAAGATATCATGATTTCTCAAAGTTAAAGTCCTTGAAAGATTAAGCCATAGCCGGGAGACACTTGTGTCTGCCAGAAACAAAGATGATGGGCTCCCTTGCTGGGATTACTATCCTAATTATCAGAGAACCATTGTTTCTTTCTGCTCCTGGGCATCAAATATGCTGACCCCCCTCAACTTCAAATAACCTCCCACCAATACTGAGAGCATTCTCTGGCTCCTACTTGCCTTCTCCAAAACCAAAGGCACTTGGCTGTCATCCAGTTCTTAGTATTACAGTCCTTGGCACATTTCCATCAGCACTGAACTTTAAAACACACACGCGCGCACACACACATACACAGGCAATTCAAAAGTTCAGTTCACAATTTTTTTGCATTAAAAAAAGAGAAGTCCTCAGTATTTTTTTAATGATCTCTTACCACTGAGATATCTTATAGGAAAAGCCTTCTTATGATGGATTTTTTAAAAATGGAAATTTTAAAGTAGTATCTTTGTGAGAGATCAAAAAACAACTCACTTTCAGGCAAACTGTGTTACTACAGAATTGGAGACTATAAGCACTACTGTCAGCCAAATTTCTTCTGAAATAGACCTTTATCTTAAAATTCTAAAAAATTTAAATTTATACAAGCGGTACATGTACTTATTTGCCTTGGCTTTAAATGGGACCTACCTTCATCTTTCTTCTTTCAAGCTAAATAACCTCCTTAATGAAAAAGAGATATGATTCTAGATATTTGTCTCTTGGGAATAGAATTGCATCCACAGTTGGGATATTTGCATTTTATACTTTTGATACTTTATTTACCACCCACTTTGTTTTCCCTCCTCTTAATACAGCTGTGTTCCCTCCACACCCAAATATGGCCTGAGTCCTGATTCACAAGAATAAACTAACTTCATTACGGCTGTTGTCTGGCCAACTCTTTCCTCCTCCACCAGGCTCTTTCCTTTCCAGGGACCCTGGGTCATGGCTGAAGCAGTGAGGAATAGTAAAAAGAGTGCTGGAAATCCGGAGCCTCAGATTTTAGTCTACTGATGAGACTGACTGGCTGTGTTTTCCAGTTAAGCTTGGTCACATCTGTGGGCCTCAGCTTTCTCAGCCATAGAATCATGAGGTTAGACTACTTATTATCTAACATGTCTTCCCTTTCTAAATTCAGTGATTTTAATACTGCTTTCTAGTTCCACTGTTTCTAGAAGAGGGGAGAAATAGTCCAAAAATCTGAAAGATGCCTTTCTGAACAGAGACTATGTAGCAAGAGACCTCTGTAATTAATTCATTATTCAACAAATGTTTGTTGAACACCGACTGTCCTCCTGGCACTATGCTAACTAGGCATTGAATGTTAATTGCACTTACTGTTGTTCATTCTCAAACTGTTATTTTTATTGAGGTAAAGTTCATATAACATAAAATTACCATTTTGAAGTAAACAATTCAGTGCGTTTTGTACATTCACAATGTTGTACATACCCACCTCTATCTGTTTTCAGTTTTTAATATTTTAAATCTTTTTTTTTTTTTTTTTTTTTTAGATGGAGTCTTACTCTGTCGGCTCACTGCAACCTCCACCTCCGGAGTTAAATTGATTCTCCTGCCTCAGCCTCCCGAGTAGTTGGGATTACAGGTGACTGACACCATGCCTGGCTAATCTTTGTATTTTTAGTAGAGACAGAGTTTTGCCATATTGGCCAGGCTGGTCTTGAATTGCTGACCTTGGGATCTCCCCGCCTCGGCCTCCCAAAGTGCCAGGATTACAGGCCTGAGCCACTGCACCCAGCCAATATTTTATTTTTTCTTGCTATGGAGTCTCACTCTATCACCCAGGTGGGAGTGCAGTGGCGTGATCTTGGCTCACTGCAACCTTTGCCTCCTGGGCTCAAATGATCCTCTATCCTCAGCCTCCTGAGTAGCTGGGACTACAGGCGTATGCCGTCATGTTTGGCTAACTGGCTAACACCACCTCTATCTGGTTCCAAAACATTTTCACCACTCTAAAAGGAAATCCCATACTTGCTAAGCCATCAATTCCCATTCTCCCCTCTCTCTGCCCCTGCTAACCACAAATATGCTTTCTGTCTCTGTGGGTTTACCTGTTATGGATATTTCATGTAGATGGATCCATATGATATGTGACCTTTTTTGTCTTTCTTCTTTCTCTTAACACAATGTTTTGAGAGTCATCCATATTGTAGCATGTTTCAGTAACTTTCTTCCTTTTTATGGCTGAATAATATTCCATGATATGTCTATATTACAATCTGTTTATCCATTCTTCTATTGATAAGACATCTGGCTGTTTCCACTTTTTTGCTATTGTGAATAGTGCTGCTGTGAACTTGTGTGTACACCAAACTCTTTTTAATATCTAGTCAAATATGGCTCAAATATAGTTTATGGCCAGAATGCTTATAAATACTTTTGGAAGCAGTTAACTATCTTCCTGAGCTGGATTCAATCAAGACCACTACACTGTTGTCTAATCTCTGACTTTGTTTATGTCTTTGTTTCTAGTTTTACTACTCAATAAATTGAGAAAGTATATAGAGTATCTCCTAATCCTTGCTGTGTTCCTGTAACCATATAAGTATAAAACTAAAATCTGACAAAGTCTTTATAGTCAATGTCACATTCAGTCACTTAAGGAACCATTAACATCAGAAAGAGAAAAGACCGTGTTTTACAAAATGTTTCCAACTGATCAATTACTTACTGGGAAGAAAAGTAGGGTGAAAGTGCCAGGCTATTCAGATCAGTTAGGGTAACAAAGATGTAAATATTTTTCTTCTTTGAATTGCAATGGTGGGGATCATTTCTCTTCTTCAGTATGTAATAATATAATAAAAACTGTTTTTTCCGCATTATTTTTGTTGTTGTGTCCAGCAGCCCTGTTGCAAAATCACTCTAAAGGTTGGTATAATTTTCAGAAAAAGCTTCATGCCAATTCCTGCTGCTCAATATCTAAGACATCTGTGATTCTATTCCAGTTTCTTTGCTTATCCATCCTAAATTATCTGTGTACTGCTCCCATTCTTAGGTTCATTGGCTCAATGTACATTTGCAAGAACTACAGTGGTTGGCCAAAACCAGCTGTCACATTAACACACATATACACACACACACATATTCAGTGTTCTCTTTTCTATTGTCTTCATCAATCTAAAGATTTTGGCTTCATGTGGTTTGCTACTTTAGAACAATTTCTTTTAAATAACTCTGAGTAAATTCTGACTTGGACTAGGTGCAGGCTTAAAAATGATAAAGAGAAATTTTGCAAACTGACAAAGAGGATTGCCTTTATGAGTCACTAAGACCTTTCTACTTTTCTAAAACAATAGACTCCATTATTTCTAGTATAGTACAATTCGCTGCTCTGGGTAGTATAAATTCTTTTTTCTTTTTTAAAATTATTATTATTATTATTATTTGAGACAGTGTCTTGCTTCGTTGCCCATGCTGGAGTGCAGTGGTGTGATCTCAGCTCACTGCAACCTCCTCTTCCTGGGTTCAAACGATTCTCGTGCCTCAGCCTCCTGAGTAGCTGGGATTACAGGTGCATGCCACCATCCCCGGCTAATTTCTCTATTTTTAGTAGAGACAGGGTTTCGCCGTGTTTCCCAGGCTGGTTTCAAACTCCAGAGCTCAAGCGATATGCTCGTCTTGGCCTCCCAAAGTGTTGGGATTACAGGCATGAGCCACCATTCCCAGTCTAGTGTTAATTCTTTCAGTCCAATCATAAATGCGTGCTTTTTACTTACACAAAGTGCTGCAGCTGCGACTCTCACTCAGTGGGGAAAAACAGTTAAATTAGTTCTTTGAATTGAGTTCAATTAAGACTTTATCTCAGATAGACAAAAATGGAACGATCATCTACGTATTAAATAGAGTCCAAGATCACTTAAGTTCGTAGTAAATTGCCAGCATACGGAGCTTTATATGGTATTTGTGCTTGTGAGAAGCCATGTACTCATGTAATTTTGAAATACTGAATCATCTTAAGTATACTAGGGTATCTCAATAACTGCAGAAATGTCATCCTGATATCTCTTATAAAGCAAAGAATCATCAAGAAATGTAAATTATTTCTTATTTGATCTGTTTTGCAAAGTTGAATTTTCACACTGGGTTTGTTTCAAAAGTGAAGTACTAATATCTTAAGTAAAACACATATGAGTTAGATGTCTTAAGAACTTGCTGCTGTAAGTGTGGTCTGAGGACCAGCTTCATCAGGACATGTTTGTTAGAAACGCGGGACCTCAGGCACTCCCCCACACCCCTGCTCCACCCACGCCAGAGCTACTGAATCAGAATCTGCATTAAGAAATATCAGGTGAGGCTGGGCCGGATGGCTCACGCCTGTAATCCCAGCACTTTGGGAGGCCCAGGTGGGTGGATCACTTGAGCCCAGGAGTTCGAGACTAGCCTGGCCAACATAGTGAAACCCTGTCTCTACAAAACATACAAAAATTACCTGGGCATGGTGGTGGGCACCAGTACTTCCAGCTACTCATAATGTTAGACAGGAGAATTGCTTGAACCTGGGAGATGGAGGTTGCAGTGAGTCGCGATCATGCCACTACACTCCAGCCTGGGTGGCAGAGAGAGACTCTGTCTCAAGGAAAAAAAGAAAAAGAAAAAAGATGAAAGTTTGGGGGCATACCTGCCGATGGTAACAAAAAAGACAATATAGTTCTATAATACTTTACCGTTTCAGATTGTTTTCCCTTGCTTGTTCTTGTGGTGATGAGGTAATGAGGCTGGGGGAGACAGAAAGAAGCAGGAAGAGCCTCTGAGAGGGGAGGGTTTGAGCCTGGCCGAGGAGACACAGTGAAAATTTGAAGAAACCTTTCCTTGGGATTCTGTCCAGGAGAGCTCTTTGGGGTGTTTGCCCAGCTTGGGAGCAACTGTGAACATAAGTCTGCATTCACAAAGGAAAGTGCTATCCCCAAGGGGCAATCCTATAAGACTTTGATCTTCATATTTAAGCCACCACTCTCTTAATTGACTTAGGACAGTGAAATTCCTTAAGAGAATATCTGTCTTTTCAAACAGAGGAATGAATATTTCAGAGTCTTTTAGTCCCTTTTTACTGTTTCTTCCTGGGTTACCCTAGAGAAAGACTTTCTAAAAAAAAAAAAAAGGAATTTTAAATGCTGGAATGGGTCACAAGGAAGGTTGTGAAATCAACATAACTGAAATATTTAAAAATAAAATAGCATCCAAGGCCTTTGAGATGGTTAGATAGACACTGTCTAAAAGCAGAATGACAGACCAAAACAGTGTTTAAGTACCTCCGCCCAGCAACTCACATAGATAAACGCAATGTTTATGTTTAAAATGAGGCTTTAGCGTCGAGTTCCTAAACATTCTACAGTTTCACGGAAGTGTCTTTCAAATTTTGTATTTGAATTAGTAGTTTGGTTTGCAAGAGCTACAGTGTAAGAACACTTAATAAAACAAGTATATTTGTACATTCAAGATGATTCTTATTAGAAATCAAGATTTCCTTTTATGTCTTTTTAAAAATCCAATTACTCTTTGTGTGTTTTTTATGTGTTTTAGGATTATAAATATAATTTATTTCTAAAGTATGAGTGTCATATGACAGAGAAGGATGGAATCTTAATGAATTATACATAAATAAGGAAAAATATTCTTAAATTTCTTTGCCGTTAAAGTTCTTTCTTACATTCATTTGTTTCAAGTTGTAGATGCTTTAATTTACCTATGGAAAGAGACTCAAGTTAATAAGTTACTCTTAAATTACAAAGTATGCAAATTTAGCAGACTTTGATCAAGGCTGTTTTATACGTTTTATAAACTTGATCCACTTTATGAGACTAAAAACAACTTATTATGGAAAACATATTTTTTACATATGTCAAATGCCTTCCTATAACTTTAAGAATATTCTGTAATGCATTCAGTCTGGTGGAGGTTTTTTTGTTTGTTTTTTTTTGAAGTGGGTTCTTGCTACGTTACCCAGGCTGGTCTTAAATACCTGTGCTCAACCCATCCTCCCATCTTAGCCTCCCAAATAACAGGGACTACAGGAGTGCACCATTGAGCCAAGCTTCGTCCTGATTTTTTGAATCAAATTAATTAAAATAGCAAACAACAATATACAATTAGTGACATTGCTATTTATTAAAATTAAATGTAAGGTGATTAAGTGTTAAAAGAAACGTCTTAGGCCAGTCATGGTGGCTCATGCCTGCATCCCAGCACTTTGGGAGGCTGAGGTGGGCAGATCACCTGAGGTCAGGAGTTCGAGACCAGCTTGGCCAATATGGTGAAACCCCGTCTCCCTACTAAAAATACAAAAATTAGCCAGTTGTGGTGCCAGACACCTGTAATCCCAGCTACTCAGGAGGCTGAGGCAGGAGAATCACTTGAACCTGAGAAGCGGAGGTTGCAGTGAGCCAAGATCGTGCCATTGCACTCCAGCCTGGGTGACAAAAAAACAAAAAAAACAAAAAAAAACAACTTCTTAAGATATCTTGCATGTCATATCTCCTAAAATTTTATAGTGTGTATTTGATAACATATTTAGAAAATGGTAAGAACTTTAGTGGCTAAAAATATTAAAATAGATGAGGTGATTCTATTTTTGTATGAGTAAGCAAATGTTGAGAATTCTGTTTGATAATATATACACTAATCAATTTATAATTCCATATATAACTATGTAGATATATATGTATAAAGATTTTTTAAAAACAGTCTCAGTTTGCACATGATGTTGACATACTACAGTCCCCGACAGGGAAGAGTGAATATTATTTTTATATATATATACAAAATGTCAATATATAGTATATATTTGTATGTATATTCGTCCTCCCCAAAACATACAGATACACACACCACAAATCTGCCAAAGTAAAGAAAAATTAATAGGCCCATGAATCCTGGACTATTTTTCAACAATACTTGCTTTAAAATAGAACTCATTCATCAATTAAAAAATTAAAACAAAACTATTAATCCAAGAAGTGCTCAGTGAGCATAAATCCCTGTTAACTATGTACAAAATGTGGGAATTCAAATTAGATGTAAAAGTATTTATTAAGGAAGGCTACCACTTTGAGTAGGTCTAGCATTTGACTTAAAATCATAAACTAATTATTTTGTATATCAAAAGAGTTCCAATTAGTGAATGTGCCAGTTGAACTTTCTTGGCCTGTTGTGACATTATCCATTTGCCTGACGTCTTTCTGAAAGCAGTTATTTTATTCATTCAGCTCTTATATTGGGCTAGGTTCTTATACACTGTTTTTGCTCCACAAAATAAAAGGGACATTTAGCACATGACCGGTCTTTGTTTCTTAATTTGAGGCACAAAGAAATTTAGTGTCTATAATCTCACCATTTAGATTTCACCCCTCTCTGTCCTCCTCTCATCATTTAGCAGTATTCTCAAGAAGAACCCACTGTTAAAAAATTTGGTGCATACAAATTCTTTTCCATTTTCTCCATTTACACAGCTAATCAATCTATATATACAGTTTTTACAAAAATGGATCAGGCTATCCATACTGATCTGTGACACGCTTTTCCCCCTTATACATCTGAACATCTTTCTATATCATCATACATAGATTTCCTCACTTTCAATGACTGCATTGCATCCCACTATGTGGCTGTATTGTAATTTACGCAGGCATCCTCCATTGATATTTAAATCGTTTTAGGTAGATTTATTTTTTCTTTTTCCTTTTTCTTTTTCTTTTTTTTTTGGACACGGTATTGCTCTGTCACCCAAGCTGGAGTGCAGTGGCCCGATCACAGGTCACTGCATCCTCAGCTTACCAGGCTCAAGCGATTCTCCCATCTCAGCCTCCTTAGTAGCTGGGACTACAGGCATGCACTACCATGCCCAGCTAATTTTGTATTTTTTATAGAGATGGGGTTTCACCACATTGCCCAGTTGGTCTGGAACTCCTGGGCTTAAGCAATCCTTCCGCCTCAGCCCCCCAAAATGCTGGGATTACAGTTTGTGAGCCCCCACACCCGGCCTTTTTTTTTTTTTTCTTTCACGCTACTGACAACACTGTTTGAGGGAGCATTATGTGGCTTTATGTGTTTGTGGTAACATTTATATAAGACAGATTCCTCCAGAGACAAGTTCTTGCTAAGGTCACCATGATCAGCATGTTAAAGCCAATGGGACATTTCTTATCTTTAACACATACTTGACCATCCTCTCTGTTCCTTGGAATCTTTTGCTTTTCCTCATACCATTTTTGCTGCTGCTTCTCAGTCTACTTTGCTCCCACCTCTTCCACAATGCAACTTCCTCCAGTTTTGCCTCAGCACTCTTCTCTTTGCATATTATATTCTAACTCTAGACAACCTCATCAATGCCTGAGGCTTCAGTTACCATGTAAACTAGAATGGCACATATATTTGTATCTTCATCCTAGACTGATATGCTTTGGTTGTGTCCCCACCCACATCTCATCTTGAATTGTAGCTCCCATAATCTGCATGTGCCATGAGAGGGACCTCATGGGAGGTAATTGAATTGTGGGGGTGGGTTTTTCCCATGCTGTTCTCATGATAGTGAATAAGTCTCAAGAGATCTGATGGTTTTATAAAGGGCAGTTCTACACATGCTGTCTTGCCCACCGCCATGGAAGATGTGCCTTTGCTTCTCCTTCACCTTCTGCCATGATTGTGAGGCCTTCTTAGCCATGTGGAAATGTGAGTCGATAAAATCTCTTTTTCTTTATAAATTACCCAGTCCCAGGTATGTCTTTATTAGCAGCATGAGAACAGACTAATACATACACGAAGACTCTGTATTCCACAACCATGAAGAGTGAAACACATCTGTTAACTTTTAAAATTACTTTTGATTTATTTTTCCACTCCATACCTCTCTTCATGACCCCTGACCCATAAATCCTCCTGCCACAAACTCATTATATCTAAAACTAAACTCATAATACCATCAAACCCAGTCCTCCTCAGTATTTCTATCTTAGTCAGTGGTACTGCCATTCAAACAGTTGTACAAGCAGAAATAAATACCCTTATAAAATTAATCACCCAGCATAGTTTTACCCCCTAAATATTTCTTTCTTTTCTTTTTTTTTTTTTTTTTGAGATGGAGTCTTGCTCTGTCACCCAGGCTGGAGTGCAGTGGTGTGATCTTGGCTCACTGCAAGTTCCGCCTCCCAGGTTCACACCATTCTCCTGCCTCAGCCTCCCGAGTAGCTGGGACTAGAGGCGCCTGCCACCATGCCTGGCTAATTTTTTTTTTTTGTATTTTTAGTAGAGACAGGGTTTCACCCTGTTAGCCAGGATGGTCTTGATCTCCTGACCTCGTGATCCTCCCGCCTCGGCCTCCCAAAGTGCTGGGATTACAGGCATGAGCCAGGGTGCCCGGCACCCCTAAATATTTCTTTGGTCCATCCACTTTCCCCATCTCCACTGCTACCCAACTAAGTCATGCTGTTACCATCACTCACCATTGTAATATCTCCCTAGTTGAGCTCTGTCACTCACTCTTATCTACTCTAATAGAGTTTCCATCTATAGCCAGATTGACTTTCCCACCTTACTTTCTGCTTTTCAGCCACACCAGCTTTCTTTCAATTCCTCCAATGTTCTCCCATGCTCCCTCCATCTGCAGAACATCATTGTTTACTTCAAGGTTCAAGTAATATCAATGAAAATACAGGCAAGGCTTCTGTTCTGAATGGTGCTTACTTCTAGTGGAGCAGGAGAAGACATACAAAAGACAAACACAAAAATAAATATGCAAGACAAGTATCAGATAGTGATCACTGTAAATTACTATGCTGAGAATATATTGAAGCTGATATAAGAGAAAATGATTGGCTGGGCGCGGTGGCTCACGCCTGTAATCCCAGCACTTTGGGAGGCCAATGCTGGCGGATCACGAGGTCAGGAGATTGAGACCATCCTGGCTAACACGGTGAAACCCTGTCTCTACTAAAAATACAAAAAATTAGCCGGGCGTGGTGGCAGGCGCCGGTAATCCCAGCTACTTGGGAGGCTGAGGCAGGAGAATGGTGTGAACCCGGGAGGCGGAGCTTGCAGTGAGCCGAGATCGCGCCACTGCACTCAAGCCTGGGCGACAGAGTGAGACTATGTCTCAAAAAAAAAAAAAAAAAAAAAGGAAAATGATTAACTGGCTCCTTATTAAGTTGGCAGAGGTGGGATTTCTTATAATTTGTTATAATACCTTATGAAAAAGTAGCCAGCCATGCAGAGATGATGGGGAAGAGCATTCAGACAAAGGGAACAGAAAATGCAGACTCTCATATGGGAATAAGCTTGGCTTGCTGGACCTGTGTAATAGGTGGATGTGGTGAGATCGAGGAAATGCTTCTATATGCTGTTCTTTCTGTCTGGAATGTATGTTTCCCCTCCTTTACACCCACTTTACTCCTACACTTTTCCCTTTTGCTCTGCTTATTCCTACTCATTCTTTGATCGCACTTCCACAGGGAATTCTTTCCTGACTCTGCAGACTTGATCAGTCCCCTCATGTGCATGTATTATGCATTTTCCTTCATAAAATACATCACAATTGTAGTTTAGTAACATCAGTCTCTTTGGTGATTTGATTCATTTTTCTATCTCCTTCATGAAAACTTGCTCCATGAGGGTCTGGACCAATCTCCTTGCTCAATATGGTTTTTCTGGTTTTTAACTTGATAAGTATTTGTTAAAGTGGGATTGTTAGGTCAAAGGTATGTGCCTTTTAAATTTCAATAGATATTGCCAAATTACTTTCTCCCAAATGTGTACTGCTTTACATTTCCATTAATCATTTATGAAAACACTCATTTCCTCTCATTCCCACCAGTCCTGTACATTGGCATTCTGTTTGATTTCACCACTTTAGTAAATCATCATTTGCATTTTTTCTTCTTGAGCACCTACATTTTGGAAAAATTTAATTATATTAGCTCAGGTTCATACCAGACATTTTAGGCCTAAATTAAATGTGTTCATTTGGGGAATGCTTTCCTCCTATCTAACTCTCCAGTTTGCATGTGACATACTGAATACTCCTTGTTTGGAAATTTCTGTACTGTAAACTATATGCTACTTTGGCAGTCATGCTCTATACAGCTAGGAGAGGTTAGGTGCCAGTGAAAGACAGGTGGGTTCTGGGCATCCAAATGAGAAGGATGCAATAAATTAAAAGGAGAATCAGAGAAAGGGATGAGTCAGAGTTAGGAATGAGCAGAGTCTTGTAAGACTGGAGCCAAGGTAGGATCTGATGGTATAAAAGATCTTGAGCAAAGTGTTCTGGAGATCTTGATAGCACCTTAAGAACTTTGTAGGGCCCTTATTTCTTCAGTGCCTAGGAGAATGTAGAGCACAGACATAAGATGGAATTAGAAAGAGAAAGTAGATTTGTTGGGCAGTAAGACAATATAGAACCCAGATCTGAAAAGCTTGGATTGAGGAAATTGGGCAAGTAAATCTAATACCAAGGACCACTAAGATCTTGCCCATTTGGACAAACTTGGACCTAGATATTCATAAATGTACCCTAGTAGATCCTCAGTCTTGAATAAGGTGGTGTTCTTGCAAAGAAATAGTACATTCTCTTTTAAGAAGGGACCTGGGAGGCATTGGGGGAAGGGTTCTGTTTTTAGCATCTTAGCCCATGAGTACAAAGCCATAGGGCCGTGGGTGGTGACGGTAGGAGATGTCAGCAAAGGTAGTCATTGCTGGGGACTTGGGCATAAGGCATGCACAATCATGGTTGTACTTATGGTCATAAGAAATAGAGATCTCAGATGCTGGAAAAGGAACCCAGAGCTGCAACAGTAGTAATTGAGTCTCTAGAACCCTAGGCTGGTAATGAACTTAATAATATTAAGTCCTAACAGACTGGGGGCAGGGAAGAAGTAGAGGGGGGCAGGATTTTTTTTTTTTAATTTGCTTAAGAACCGAGACAAGGCCTAAGCAAATTGTGGACCAATCTACAGAAAGCTGAGGGATGAAGGCAGAGAGAAATGAGGTGGAGTCTAACAATGGCCAAGCCTGGAGATTCATCATAGTCTGCCCCAATGTTTTCTATCACCTCAGCCTTCACTATGGGCTGGAGCAATTTTATAATTAATTTTTGCAGGATGTAACAGTTTCTTGTGCTGAGCTATGTATATGAAGAAATGATCTCCTTAGGAACATTCAGTCCTAGAATTCTGAAATGGGGTGAATGCTGAAAAGGGATAAAATGGGGCCCTCGAGTACTGAGGGTGTATGAAGTTTGGTTAGTCCTTTCATTTCCCCATTGTCTGGTGAATATTTCAGTGTACAGTTTCTAGTGCATTGTCCAGGCTGGTTTTCAATGCTTCATTTAATATGGATTTATTTTCCCTGGCAGAAGATACCTTACTATTAAATAAGTCTCACTACTAGGAAGTCAGATAGGCTCCCTACATTTTCCCATTTTGTTTCACCTCATTACTTGTAACTCATAATAGTAAATAATTCCTCTCCCAGCATGGTACTTTGAAATAAGCACTATCGTATTTTGACAAAGCTCGGTAAGATTTTCTATTGTGTTCCAGTCCCATATTTTACGTACAATCTCTCCTGATTCCAATTATTACAACCAATTTGAGTCAGCATAACATACTTCAGCCCTCACTATCTGTTCTACCTAGATGAATGTTTGTAAATGTCTCACCTTTAGAATATAATAAAAAGCCCTTTGAATATCTTTGGAATTATTGGTGTTGTAAATGAGGAAAAACATCTGTTTAACATGTTTTTATGCATGTTCAGAAATGGGAGAGTTCTAGTGAATTTTGACTCTTTAAAAAAATGCCAACAGCAATAACAACAATAAAAAATTTTTAAACATGCTCCCAGAAAATTAATTGGCCTGGCTGTCTTTTTTTTTTTTTTTTTTTTTTTTTTTTGGAGTGCAGTGGTACAATCTCAGCTCACTGCAGGGTTCAAGTGATTCTTGTGCCTCGGCCTTCTGAGTAGTTGGCACTACAGGCATGTACCACCATGCCCTGCTAATTTTTATATTTTTAGTAGAGACACAGTTTCACCATCTTGTCCATGCTGGTCTCAAATTCCTGACCTCAAGTGATCTGCCCGCCTCGGCCTCCCAGAGTGCTTGGATTATAGGCGTGAGCCACCACACCTGGCCAGCTGTCCTGCTTTTGCTGATGAAGACAAATATAATCTTCCTATTAGGCTTTCTATTCAAATTGAGCCAGTGTAATTTTCAGTGTATCTTAGTAGCAGCAAGAATATTTCACATATAGCTAATTTTTAAAGAGGGAATTGATAAATAATATTTTCCTACAAGAAAAAAAATCAGATCTCTAAATATGAGAACTCATTGTCAGGGCAAAAAAGCTAGCCAATTGCTGAACAAAAGCTGGCTGCTGTGTAGGCAGTTTAGTTGGCAGTCCTATCACTACCTGCTATGTGTATTTGTGTCCAGATGGCCAAAATGCCAAGCAAATCCTTAAAGCACAGGTGGTGTTGAGATGCTGATTATGCATGGGAGATTGTGGGTGAGCACCCACCTTCCACAGCAGGTAGGCTCTCTAAGTGAACCCTGGCAACCCATAGAGTCATTGCTATCCATGTGTGGGTGGTGATAGATGATGCTGAATTAGGGGATCCTTGGGTAAGGAACAAGGCAACTGAGTGAAGAGACACTTTCCTTCCCTGATCTGAGATAATGTTTCTCAAGGTGTGGTCTATGGACCACCTGAATTGTTATAATCTGGGTGCCTATTAAAATTGCTAGGTGAGTCCGGTCCTATTTCTGACTTAATCAATTTTTACAGATACAGTTCAGGAGTCTGCATTTCTTAGAAAGATCATTTTTTTGTTTGTTTGTTTGTTTGTTTTTTTGAGACAGGGTCTCACTCTGTCACCCAGGTTGGAGTGCAGTGTTGTGATCTTGGCTCAATGCAGCCTGGACCTCCCGGGCTCAAGTGATTCTCCTGCCTCAGCCCCTGGAGTAGCTGGGACTACAGGCACATGCCCCGACGCTTGGCTAATTTTTAAATTTTTGTAGAGAGGGGGTTTCATCATGTTGTCCATGCTGGTCTCAAACTCTTGGACTCAAGCGATCTACCCACCTCGGCCTCCCAAAGTGCTGGGATTACAAGCGTGAGCCACCGTGTACGGCCAAGATACACTTTTTTTTTTTTTTTTTTTGAGACGGAGTCTCGCACTGTCACCTGGACTGGAGTGCCGTGGTGCCATCTCCACTCACTGCAACCTCTGCCTCTCAGGTTCAAGTGATTCTCCTGCCTCAGCCTCCGGAGTAACTGGGATTACAGGCGACTGCCACCACACCCAGCTAATTTTTTTGTTTTTGTTTTTTGTTCGTCTGTTTTGTTTGTTTTGTTTTGTTTTGAGACGGAGTTTTGCTCTTGTTGCCCAGGTTGGAGCGCAATGGCACAATCTCGGCTCACCGCAACCTCTGCCTCCCGGGTTCAAGCAATTCTCCTGCCTCAGCCTCCCGAGTAGCTGGGATTACAGGCATGCGCCACCATGCCCAGCTAATATTTTTGTATCTTTAGTAGAGACAGGGTTTCTCCATGTTGGTCAGGCTGGTCTCAAACTCCTGCCCTCAGGTGATCCGCCCGCCTCAGCCTCCGAAAGCACTGGGATTACAGGCGTGAGCCACTGCACCTGGCCAATTTTTTTTGTACTTTTAGTAGAGACAGTTTTTCACTATGTTGGCTAGGCTGGTCTGAAACTCCTGACCTTGTGATCTGCCCGCCTCGGCCTCCCAAAGTGCTGAGATTACAGGCCCGAGCCACTGCACCTGGCCCAAGATACCTTTTTAAACAAGTTCTCAGGCTGATTCTTCTGAGCACTATATTTAAGAACCATTGATTTGACATTAATTGGATAACGCATGCAGACACATGCTTATGAAATTTAAAGAAAGCACAAAGGCCCATCTGTCCATTGGCACAGGATACCTAACTAGGTGCCTAATCACATAGCTTTCTCTGGCTACTGATGATCTTTCCCAAATAGTAAATTCCCTCAATATTTTCATATATACGATGCAACCTATGGCAACTACACAATTGGATTTTCTAGGACAGTTCCAACTTAATGTCGGTTCATTCTTTTCAATTAGAGAAAAATATTTTAATATTAAATCATGTATTTGGAAAATCTCATTTACCCCTGCTTTTTCCGTATCATCCAAGTATTAATAGTATCAAGAACACTCTATAAGGCTGAGTGCAGTGGCTCAGGCCTGTAATCCCAGCACTTTGGGAGGACAAGGAGGAAGGATCACTTGAGGTCAGGAGTTTGAAACCAGCCTGGGCACCATAGTGAGACTTTGTCTCTACTAAAAAAAAAAAAAAAAAAAAAAGAAATTAGTAGGATGTGGTGACTCATACCTGTAGTCCCAGCTACTTGGGAGGCTGAGGTGGGGGAAGATCAGTTGAGCCCAGGAGATTGAGGCTGTAGTGAACCATGATCATGCCACTGTACCCCAGGCTGGGCAACAGAATGAGTACCTGTCTAAAAAAAAAAAAAAAAAAGAACACCCTATATCTATATGGACTCTTCTCTAGATTGAGGTGTCACAGCAATTAGTGGAATTCCTGGTTTTCAGGTTTTAAGAAGTTGTTATAAATACATAATAGAAACAATAGTCTAAAAGCCAAAGCATTTTTTAGTTGCATGAAAGAGAATCAGAGAAAAAGAAGTGTTGTTTTGTGGATTGTTTTTAATCCAAAAACAAAATTTTGAATATCAAGAGTCAAGCTTAGTAAGTGGCAGTGACAAGATTCAAACCCAGATCTGTAATTGCAAAGGCTAAGCTCTTGAAGTCAACGTTCTGCCTGCATCTCTCTTTTGCTTGCTTTCTATCGCAGTGTGGTCTGTGCTAAGGTATATCAGACTCTTACTACTTTTTGCAGGGTTTTTTTTTTTTTCAATTTCTGTTTGTTTCAATTTCCAGGTTTTCCTGAAACATCTCTCACAAATCACTTACCTTCCCAGTAATTACCTCTATTTGCCTATCAATAATGAGGGCCCTGTGTTTTCTGGCCAACAGCATTTTCATTCTGTTTATATTGCCGATGGAACTGGAGTTTATTTTTGTTCCTTCTGGAGGGAAAAGTAAGTTCATGATTGAAATCTGAGCTGAAAATGGATCCCCCATTGGGTAAAATATCGATACTACTTTACTGCAATCCCATTTGGAATCTTCCTAGGTGTTCCATAGACCTAGTGCTATGGTCTGAATGTTGATGTTCCCCCAAAATTCATTTGTTGACATCCCAGCCCCCAAAGTGATCGTATTAGGAGGTAGGGACCTCTAGGAGGTGATTACATTGTGAAAGCACAGCCTTCATGATTGGGTTAGGGCCTTTATAAAAGAGACTACAGAGAACCAGCTAGTCCCTTCCAGTATGTGAGGACACAGGGAGAATGTGCCATCTATGAGAAGGTGAATCCTCACCAGAACCCGACCATGTTGGCACTCTGATCTGGGCCTTCCCAACCTCCAGAACTCTGAGAAGTAAATTTCTATTGTTTATAAGCTATCTAGTCTGTGGTCTTTTGTTATAGCAGCCCAAACAGACTAAGACATCTGGCTGTAGAAATTCTGGGATATTATTATAAACAATTTCATACCCTATGTGATGAAGCCTGTTCTAATTATTTGCCACTATAGATAACTACCTAAACAGTCAATGACTTAAAAAATACTTTATTCTCATATCTTCAATTTTGTGGATTTTAGGGGTTCGGCTGGGCAATTCTAACTTGGAGTCTCTTATGCAGTTCATATTAGATGTTGGCTGAGGCTGGAGTCATCCAAGAACACAATTGGCAGTACAAGAGAGGTTCTTCACTCATGTCTCGTACCTGGGCTGAGATGGCTTGAATAGCTGGGGGCGGCCTGGGCATATCTCTCCATGTGGTCTCTCCATGTGGCCTCTCCATGTGGCTAGGTTGGGTTTCCTTACAGCATGGAAATTTCAGGGTAGTGAGAGTCCATATATAGTAGCTGTCTTTCCCTGGAGTGAACATTCCAAGAGACCAAGGTGAAAACTGCAAGGCTTCTTCTGACCCTGCATTGGAAACCATGCAAAATCACTCTCACTGCATTCTGTTGATCCTGTGATAACTAATGGATTTTAAGAGAACAGACTACAAAGAGGAATGAATACTGGGAGGCATGGTTCATTAGGAAACTGCTATGGTTTGAATATGGCCCCCCAAGTCTATGTGTTAGAAATAAATCCCCAGTGCAGCTGTGTTGAAAGGTGGAACCTTTAAGAGGTGATTATATCATGAAGGCTCTGCCCTATGAATGGATTAATGTCATTATCGCAAAGGTGGGTTCATTATTGAGGGGAGTGGGCTCCTGACATAAGGGTAAGTTGGGGTCAATCTCTGCTCTTGCTAGTGCTCACACTTCTGCCTTTTGTCTTTTGCCCTGGGATGACCCTTGCGAGATGCTGGTGCCATGCTCTTAGACTTCCCAGCCTCTAGAACTGTGAGCCAAATAAACCTCTATTGTTTATAAATTACCCAGCCTGTGATATTCTGTTACAGCCTCAGTAAAAAGACTAAGATAGAGACCATTTTTAGAGAATAGCTACCACACAGTCTAGACCTATAACTGTTTTCCCTCAGGCCACCCCAACTGAAGGGAAAAGACAAGGATATGACTAAGACTTCTAATGCTAATAGAAGTAGCTTTTCAAGTTCACTCACATCCTTTGGCTGGTTTCCAGAATATGTCCCAAGTTTTTCTGCTTCAAATGTTAATGCTGTTTTCTGCCATCTGTTAACTTTATTTAGCAACTGCTTCTTCTGTTATCTCAGAATATGACCTTGATATTATTGCTGAGATCTGACCTTGCTATTTGAATGATATCAGTCTTACTGCTTCTCCTTGAGGTGTGACAGTCCTCTGATTTACTTGGAGGAGTCTTTCCTTCTGTATCAGTGTTACAGATATTTTATTTGATTCCCAAAAGTGTAGTTTAGTTTCCTCAAAAATCTTAGGATAATTTTATCTGTATTTTATTCAATTCCTCCAGGTCAAAGGGAATTTGGTGGCATCACTCAAAGACACATTCAGATTTATCTTTCAATTCCCCAGCTTGAACGAGCAGCCTCTGTTTCCTGGGGATTCCTCTCTTGACTCTATATATACTTCACTGCTTAACTCAAGATCTCTTTAAAGAGGTGCAGTGAGTGAGAATTATTGGGGGCCTGGGAGGCAGCAAATGTGCAACTTTGTTGATCCTAACTCATCATTCTGTGATGCTGGGCATTTTAGGGGTCTAAACTAAGATTGCTGAGTTTGAATCACATGAAAATGAAGGCACAGAGATAAGAAGATGAAGATTGAAAAGTTAGCTTCATTACTAATTTACACCCATAGTTTTAGATTTGTGGCTGAAAGAGATTGTAAACAACCGTCTGGCTTTTTCCCCAGAAATTGAACTTCCTACTGCAGAAAACTTCCTGCTAAGGTTATCACCTCTTGGAGAACAAACTGGAATGACAGAGTCGTGTGTCCAGGCTGGCTCCTCAAAAGATCCCAGAAGAGGTGACCCAAGCCCAGCCAAACATGTCCTTCAAAATTCACCCAGTCAGACAAGTCATTTCTCTCATGGGGTAGAGTAAGTGAAGAGTGGAAGGAGGCTGAAAGCGATCCTCTTCTACTCATCCCTTCATGGAAAACATTAGGAGAGGTGAATATATGTTTTTCTCTATTGAGTCCTAGGACATCTCTCTGCCCAGGGATGTTAGGGAAGAAGCACACAGCACTCTGAAATTCCCAACATTCGTGCCTCTCATTGCCAGGAGGGCTGTTGGCCTGTGGCGGCATGCCAGACATCCTGAATTAGGCATGCCATAAGTACGTTCACCTACCTCTGAATCTTTTTTTATACTGTTTCAAAAATACCATTGTAATTACCAAATAAAACCACACCTACATAAGTGAGGTAGAAAGATAAGGATAAACACAGCTTTGAATTTAGGGACAAGATCCAGAGTCTGATGAGACCCTTCACTATGACCTAGTAATTCACAGTTTTCTTCCCATCATGTTTCATTTGAAGAACTATTTGTTATTGTATAGTACAAATGAAGTAGGAGTAAGTTTCATATGTTTTTATCTAGATATATGAATAGGTATGTGCATGAATATGTATGTAAATTGCCTGTTCATGGCAGAATATGCATATGTAAATGTGTTGCCTGTGCTTTCCTGACATAAATATTTCATTGATTTCTGTTATGAGGTTTGAGACTGGAGGTTTGGACCCCTGTGTGTTGCCTTTGAGCTCTTTCTCACATGTAATTTGCACATTAAACATGTATGTATGCTTCTTTATAGCTCTATAATTGTCACATCTACATAATATATGTGCTGAATAGACAGCTTCTTTTCCTTTTGAATTAAAATTTCAAAAATACTAATCCACCTCTAGAAGCAAAAACACTTATCAAAGCATGCAATAAGATACTCATTAACACTGACAAATGAAAAACATGTTGTAATTATGGTGCACAATAAGTTCTGATGGTGGGCACAGAGAACTATGCAATGGGCTTTACAAGCCATAACACCACCTCAGCACTGTCTGACAAGCAGCCAGACCCTACCCTGGGTCTACTGTATTTACCCAACATCCCAGGAATTTTGTGCAAATTAGTTTCTGAGAAACATTTTTAAAAGATCGTGTGAGTAGATAAGGAGCAAAACATAAGATCTTTACCATCCCATTGTATTTTATGTTTAATAAACACTTACATAGTACTGATCAGATATTGTTCTAGGAACCTGAAATAGATGAGCTCATCTAGCCCTCATAGCAAATCTGTAAGTTAGAAACTACTATTATTCCCATATTGTCGGTTGGGATTGGGGGGATTGAGGCATAGCGAAGTTAAGCAGGTTGTCTAAGGTCAGCCAGCTGAGACTTGAATGCAGACAAGGCTGGTGCTAAAGGTCAGGCATACAGTCACTCCACCTCCCTCCCTCCAGCCTGAGCATGTGATACCCAACAGCATTCTAGTCCTAGTGATCCTACTGCTCCCTTAACCCTCTGGGCCTTCCAGTCTCCCTCTTTAAAAGAAGATTGATTTATAGCTATTTACTAAACCCATTCCAGTAGTGGGATGAGAACAAATGAAATGGACCTTGAGTTTCTCAAAGTTTTTACCCTGATTCAATATATAATTTTAATTGTCTGCAAGTATTTTTTTAATATCTTAAGATAAACCTATCAATTGGTTGAAAACTTATAAACAAATTCTAACTTTGTTATGCTATTTCAGTTGTTGCAAGTAAGATTTGAGGCAAATCGAATGAGTTGATGGATGTAACATGAAAAGGCTTTGATAGCTTCCAACAGTGAAGCTCTAACCCCCTGAGTATTTAGTCTTGCAAATTGCTTCCTCCATGTTCTAGCAGATGCCTTCTTAGTAGTCTAGTTCCTGAAATGAATCCATCTTCTCAGTTGTGTTCCTGGGTCCAGACCTTAAACCCTGGCCACAATTACGAACACTAATTGGTAGGCTCAGCAGAGAGGCTAAGGGTTGAATAAAAGAACAAAAGTAGGTTCTCTCTTTAGAACTGTGTGAATGAAAAGGGTGGGAAAGGTCAGCTTGCTGCTGCCTGCACTGAGTCCACTCTGGAAGAGAGGACTTCAGTCTGGCACATCTCCCAGCAAACAAAACAGAAAAGAAATCCCACAAGGCAAAATTTTCTCTTTGGATTTTGCCAGATGATACAGATCTTACAGAAAAGCACACAAAAAAGAAACCAATCTACCCCATAGTTTTTGGGCCAAAATGAGATTATATTTAGACAATGGCCCTGGGTCCTACAAATTGTCTGAGGAGCCCTTGCCCTGTGACTTTGCTTCACTGAGAGCTTACTGTTGAACCCAGCCAGCAACTCACTGCAGGATCCTAGGGTGGTCTGGCAGGCATAGGTCTAGGGCATTCTGTGCCCACCGTGCCAAGGACGAAAGGACAGGAAGGCAGGAGCAGGATGAATAAACAGACAGGAGGCTCTCAATGATTTCGATGGGAAAAAGATCACACACAGCTTTTCTTTTGAAGTGGCAGTGACATTATGAAATGAATAGTTTTTCCTCTCAGGACAAAATGGGAGCAATTTCCCTGGGGCATTTTTGCTCAGGTTTTGGACCGACAGGAATGCATGGTCTGGATTCAGGTGAAAGTAGAAAAGTACTTAAATGTCTAATGGATTCCAAGACTACACCTTTAGCTGGTCATCATTAGTTAAAAATCCGTATAGTTTGATTTCCGAAAATTTCCAAATGAAAATCGTGAATGGATTTTTCCTCTATCCAGAAGAGTTCTAGGTGTAAGAAGTTTGATATGTGTGGCCCATGGCAAAATATTTTAAAACAGCCCAAAGCCTTTCATCAAATGACCAAATTAAATGATCATATTGAGCACAGGGTCATTTATCTCAATCATGATATTCAGACACACAGAAACACAACGAAGATAACATCTCATATCTGGAGATTGTAACCAGAGAAACTCTCTAGTTTGTGATTGATTGTTTGTTTTTTGTTTTGTTTTTTGAGATGGAGTCTCCCTTTGTCACCCAAGGTGGAGTGCAGTGGCACGATCTTGACTCACTGCAACCTCCACCTCCTGGGTTCAAGCGATTCTCCTGCCTCAGCCTCCCAAATAGCTGGAACTACAGGCTAATTTTTTGTATTTTTTTTTAGTAGAGATGGGGTTTCACAATATTGGCCAGGCTGGTCTCGAACTCCTGACTGCAAGTGATCCGCCTGCTTTGGCCTCCCAAATTGCTGAGATTACAGGTGTGAGCCACCACCCCCACTGATTGTTTGTTTAAATTAAGCTCATCAAACACTTGAAACAAACATGATTCAAAGCACCATTAGGTGTTGGAGTAAATTTGAATAGGACCATAAACTCAAAGAGCATTCATGAATACTTTTTGATAATAAAATTGGAATTCCCCAGGGTTAATGATATATGCAGCAAAAGAATTGCCAAATCTTTTCTAAATCTAGGCTGGCGTTTTCTAAACCTGGACCCCCATTTTCCTTTGTAATTTATTTGTCTGGTCTTTACGCCTGGGTGAGTTTATCAGCTCTTTCCACCCAGATTCTCTATCCCTACACCAATTGAGAAACTCAAGAAAGGAAAGTTGAACCTTGGTTTAACTCTTAATGCCCTGGCGTGTTGAATCACTGTTACTGCTGAACACAAAGAATTTGCAGCCAGGTGTAGTGGCTCACGCCTATAATCCCAGCACGTTGAGAAACTGAGGTGAGAGGATTGCTTGAGCCCAGGAATTAAGCTCGCAGTGAGCTACGATCATATCACTGCACTCCATCCTGGGCAACAGAGCAAGAGTGAGATCCTGTCTCCAAAAAAGAAAGAAAGAAGGGGGAAGAAGGGGAAAGAAAAAAAGGGAGAAAGGGAGAAAGAAAGAAAGAGAGAGAGAGGGAGGGAGGGAAGGAAGGGAAAAGAGAGGGAGAGGGAGAAAGATCTCTGGCTAACTAAGGTATTTCACAAATATTCCAACTTTGGGGTTCTTATGTTTTATTATGTTGTACTATATTATACAGAAATACTGCAATCATATTGTAGTAGATATCATTTAATTGATCTGTATGAATGCCTATAATGTAGGACATAATTAGCAATACAAGGAATACACTTTAGTTGTTCCTTTAATTCTGAATACAAAGTTTACATAAATATAGCACAAAGGAATTTTCTGGAAGTGTTGGCAGCTAAGCAGCTGGACCAGTGTTATTTATTTATTTATTTTTTTGCCTCCAAAACTGTCTCTTCCTATAAGAATTCCATAGCATAACACAGGCATCACCAGAACCTTTGTTCAACAAACTGACATTAAAACTCTAATAAATAAAGTCAAAGAAAAGGGAGATGTGTTTCTGAAGCCAAGTGGTGAGACTAACATCCTAAAAAAATGTTGATTCTAGCAGATGTACTTCACCTTTCAAAATGATAAAATCTAGAAAGCTTTCATTTCTCTTGAGGATCACAACAATTTGGCTTTCGGACATATCACGGAGAGTGTATTCTCCAAAGGCACAAAAATAACTGTTTTAGTGAGTGCTGGCACATTATTTGAAGTAAGCTAGCAGTGTTTTCCTTTTCTGGAGAAAACAGCCTGAACCACACGCTGCCCCTACCGTCTCTGAGGAACTCATGCTTCTGAGGCCCTGCTGCAGAAACCTTTTTTTTTTTTCTTTTTTGAGACAGAGTCTCGCTCTGTCGCCCAGGCTGGAGTGCAGTGGTGTGCTCTCAGCTCACTGCAACCTCTGCCTCCCGGGTTCAAGTAATTCTCCTGCCTCAGCCTCCCGAGTAGCTGGGATTACAGGCATGCGCCACCATGCCCGGCTAATTTTTGTATTTTTAGTAGAGACTGGGTTTCACCATGTTGGCCAGGCTCGTCTCAAGCTCCTGAGCTCAGGCGATGTGCCCACCTTGGCCTCCCAAAGTGCTAGGATTACAGGTGTGAGCCACTGCAGCCAGCAACAGAAACTCTTTAATTCTTCAAGTCTCCTTCCTCCGCTATGGTAGTACTGTCTGGGGCAAATGGATCAGATGAGTGAGGAGGAGTCCTGGCCCTCTGGCTACAATTGTGGGGTGTGGCATCTCTATCAGTCCCACTGATATTTCATCCTCCTTCTAAATAAACAACAAGCATCACCATTTACAAAAAGTATATATTACTTCAAGGGCTACTGAGATTCATTCCTCTGACAAATACTAGCCTGTTGATCTTGCTCAGGACTCCCTCACTGTAAAGCCCATTCCCCCAAACCCCCCCACCCTACCCCCTGCACAGTGTATTCTAGGCAATTGCAGTTAGTAGGTTAACTAGGAGGCTGTTCAGACTGAATGACCCAGAGTCCTAGAAAGACATTAAAGATCTAGATTTATGCTGTCCAATAGAAATGCAAGTCACATATGCACAGTGGTCCCCCTTATCCACAGTTTCTGTGATTTCAGTTACCCACAGGTAACTGTGGTCTGAAAATATTAAATGGTAAATTTTGGAAGCAATTCATAAATTTTAAGTTGTGCACTGTTTGGAGTAGCGATGAAATCTCATGCTGTCCTGCTCTGTCCTACCCAGAATATGAATTATCCCTTTGTCCAGTGTCTCCAAGCTGTCCACACTCCCAGCCTGTTAGTCACTTGGTAGTCATCTCGGTTATGATGTTGGCAGTCCTGGTATCCAGTGCTTGTGTTCAAGAAACCCTTAATTTACTTAATAGTGGCCCTAAAGCTCAAGAGGAGTGATCCTGGTAATTCAGAAAAGCCCAAGAGAATTCACAAAGGGCTTCCTTTCAGTGAAAAGGTGAAAGTTCTTGACTTAAGAAAAAAAATTGGCTGCGCAGGGTGGCTCAAACCTGTAATCCCAGCAATTTGGGAGGCTGAGGCGTGTGGATCACCTGAGGTCAGGAGTTCGAGACCAGCCTGGCCAACATGGTAAAACCCCTTCTCTACTAAAAATACAAAAATGAGCAGGGCGTGGTGGCGAGCACCTGTAATCCCAGGAATTTGACAGGCTGAGGTGTGTGGATCACCTGAGGTCAGGAGTTCGAGACCAGCCTGGCCAACATGGTAAAACCCCTTCTCTACTAAAAATACAAAAATGAGCAGGGCGTGGTGGCGAGCACCTGTAATCCCAGCTACTCGGGAGGCTGAGGCAGGACAATTGCTGGAACCCGAGAGGTGGAGGTTGCAGTGAGCCAAGATTGTGCCATTGCATTCCAGTCTGGGCAACAAGAGTGAAACTCCATCTCAAAAATAAATAAATAAAAGAAAATAAAAGAAAAAAATCAGCCAGTGCAGTGGCTCATGCGTGTAATCCCAGCACTTTGAGAGGCCAAGGTGGCCAGACCACTTGAAGTCAGGAGTTTGAGACCAGCCTGGCCAACATAGGAAACCCCATCTCTAATAAAAATACAAATATTAGCCAGGCGTGATGGCGGGCACCTGTAATCTCAGCTACTTGGGAGGTTGAGCAGGAGGATCGCTTGAACCCAGGAGGTGGAGGTTGCAGTGAGCCGACATCACCCCACTGCACTCCAGGCTGGGCAACAGCATGAGACTCTGTCTCAACATAAAAAAAGAAAAAAAGAAAAAAAATTCATATGCTGAAGTTGCTAAAATCTGCAGTTAGAATGAGTCTTTTATCCGTGAATTGTGAAGAAGGAAAAATAACTTTGTGCTAGTTTTGCTGTCACATCTCAAACTGCAAAAGTTACAGCCACAGTGTATGACAAGAGCTTAGTTAAGATATAAAACTCATTAAATTTATGGGTGGAGGACAGGAACAGAAACATGTTCCGATTGATGGCACTCAGGTTTGGTACTATGTATGGTTTCAGGCAGTCACTGCGGGTCTTGGAATGTATTCCCTTGGATAAGGGGGACTGCTGTAATTTAAAATTTTCTAGTAACCTTGTTTAAAGGTTTTTAAAACAACAGGTAAAGTTAATTTTAATAGATTATTCTTAACCTAATATAGTCCAAATAATCTATGGATCTTATTCAAAATGTCACCAATTGTCCCACCAATTAATTTTCTCTGGTCCAAGATCCGGACTACCAGACTAGAGTTTCCTTTAGTCTGGAACCATTTATCGGTCTTTGATTTTCCTGACCTTGACATTTCTTAAGAGTCTTGCTCAATTATTTTGTAGATATATGATAATTTGGGTTTGTGTGAGTTTTCTCGTGATTAGATTGAAGTTACGTATTTTGGGCTGAAAAACTACAGAAGTGCTGTTGTCTCTTTCTTGGAGTAACTGATTTGTGGAGAGATACTTTAAGACATTGTAGGCAAATGGCTTACTATACTTTTGTCCTCGAATTTTAGCATCTGCTGATGAGTCTTGCCTGAAACAATTATTACTGCAGTGTTCGCCAAATGGTCATTTTCTATTTTTACCATTGCTTCTACATTTATTAGTTAAAATTCTGTTGTAAGGGAGAACTTTTGCTTCTTCCTCATTTGTTTATTTATAATAGTTTGAACTCAAATTCTTACTTTATTCAATGGGTTGTAAATCATTCCTAAGATTATATGTTTTGTTGCTCAAATCGTCCCAGATTAGCCATTTGGAGACCCTTAAAGTTGGTTCATGTGTCCCTTCAAGATGCCCTTATCCAAGAGCACTTCCTAAGTTTTTGGCACTACACGTTATTCTAGGCTCATCTTGTATTTTCTTTGCCCAGACCTGGAACCAGCCATTGATAAAGAACACCAGTTCCATTTGATAGAGAATGGCGTTTAGAAGACAACCATTGAACAGTAGGTGTGCTCATTACCGTGAGATATTACTGTTCCCAGAACCTTTCTGTGAACAGATCCAGATAGCATATGTACATATGTATGCATGTATGTATGTATATGCACACACACACTCATATTTATATCTATATTTATTTCTCTATATTTCTATATAAGTGGAAAACCATGAATTCACAACGCCTTCAATTCCAATCAACACCATAGGGTTCACTAGTTTTCTCCTTTTCCATATCTATAGCTCTCTTCAACAATAATAAACTTGGATCCTGTTATTTGTAATATATTACTTTTTTTTTTTGAGATGGAGGCTTGCTGTGTCACCAGGCTGAAGTGCAGTGGCATGATCTCAGCTCACTGGAACCTCCACCTCCCGGGTTCAAGTGATTCTCCTGCCTCAACCTCCTGAGTAGCTGAAATTACAGGTGCTCACCACTATGCCTGGCTAATTTTTGTATTTTTAGTAGAGATGGGGTTTCACCATGTTGTCCAGGCAGGTCTCGAACTCCTGACCTCAGGTGATCGCCCATCTCAGCCTCCTAAAGTAGTGGGATTACAGGGATGAGCCATCGCGCCTGGTTTGTAATATATTAGGTCTTTGATCATTGCCCTGAAGGTAATCATCCTCTCACAGGCCATCACCAACCCCTTCTTTGCATGGATGCCCTCTGCACTCAATACACTTGAGCTGCGACATGTTGTCAGTGTTGTCTGTGAACAGGATGCCCCCCGACATCCTACTTAGGCTCTGACACTTTGTACCTGGCTGCCACTCTACTCTCTTATCCCTTATCTAAGCCCATAGCCACATGGAGGAGAGTAGATAATTAAACATAGTCAGGGTTCAGTTAGCAAGGAAGAAGAGGAAAGTAGATTTTGGATAGGCAGCCAACAGTGCCTACTACAAACATCCATTACCATTTTGGTATCAGTAACGACTGTCTTTTGGGCAACTTTGCAGCTGTTCAAACTGTCCTTGTGGTTTGAGTGAGGTCGGATCCATCTTTGGCTCCCATGAGGGCCAGTTAAACATATTTCAAGCCCTTGACACTGTGGCTGGTTCGAGAATGGGCATAGGACCTAAGTCAGGCCAATGAGAGCCTTGCCTAAAATTGCTAAAAGGATTATGTAGAAATTGAATCTCTTTCTACTAGTATTACCAAACCTGGGGCTGCTAATAATCATCTTGCCACCACATCAGAAAATGAATCCAACATAAAGGAAAGCAGATCTGTGACTTGGAGAAAAAGACAGATTCCATGCATTATCATGTAAGCACCTTGATCCAGCCATGCCTGAAGCTAGATATACTCCTTGGCTTTAGCTATATGAACCAATAACTTCTTTTTGCTTAAACCAATTTGAAATGTATTTCTGACTCTTTTAATCAAAAGAATAACTGATACAGCTGGACCTTAGATGGCTTTTATATTCTTGGGGAGGCTTAGGTGCTGTAATTCTTAGCCTAATATAGTGGGATGAGGCAAAGATAATAACTATGAACTTTAAGTGAGAACTTCATGAAAAAGTTGAAGGGTCAGTAATGGTTAAAAAACATTTCCTTGGACCCTGATACATTTTTACATCGCATGCCAGGCTTGCTTAACTAGTCTGCCTCCTTTCCATATCTGAAAAATGGTGACAACAACACTGAAACTTTCAAACTACTCCTCCCAAAGATCAGGCAAGGAATTCTTAGCACATGTTTTAAAACAACTTCAATTCCTCAAGAGATGCAACTGTGTTCTTTATCGTATTTTCCTATGCTGCACTTCTATTCATCCCCTAGCTTGCAGCCAAGAAAAAGAACTGTTATTAAACACTTGAACATATGGCATATATCACTTTTTGGAAAATAAACTTATTCAAGAAAGAGCTTTGGAGGCCACATGTGGGCATCTCAAGATAGTGATCCAAAAGGAAGTCAGAAGCCTCAAATGAACGAAATAAGTGTTTTAGTCCAAAGACAATGATTTGGTTCTCTAGGCTTGTTTTAGTCACCTGTTTGGTACCGGGACGGAGGTCACTCTTCCAGTTGTTCACTGCAGCATCTTGCAAAGAAAAGCGTTAACAAAGAAAAGTGAGGCAAAGAGAAACAGTCAGCAGGACTCAACCGGCAACTGTGTGTGACCAGAAATGTGGGACATGAAGCAGCTTTTCTTACAGCTGTGCATGTCACATTGTCTCTTTAAACCTAAAAACTTGGAATTTCAGGAGACTTCTTTCTGTTCTTTATTCTTTTTTCCTTTCAAATGACAGATTTCTCCTTTCCTTTGTCCCTTATGATTTCCAGTCCCCACTGTGTGTCTGCCCCGCCCTTGGTTTGAGGATGTGGTGCTGTGATCCAGCCATGTGGCAGAACCACACGGTTGCTACTAAACTGCCACTCACTCCCCAGGGGAAAAGACTTAGCTATAATCCTGTAATCTTTTCTTCAAACAATGACTCCATTTCACTTGAAGTAGACAAAAATGAATGGCTTTTGTCATTTGGAATCTGAGCACATATGGATGATTTTTAAGTTAAAAAAAAAACTAACTGTAAAGATGGCAACAGTATTTTTCTGTGTTGAGGACAAATGTGATCTCATTATACTAAAAACATGTTGGAATGCTCTACTTACTCTTATTTCCTTATCCTGATGAAGCTGCAAAGAAGACTGAGCTTACTCTTGCCTCACGTTCATCAGATAAGGTAGATATTATAGGAGCTGGGATATAGGTGGAGTAGCTCTAGCCATATAGCATTTTTTAAGATCTGACAAAAAGAAGGAAGCTAAAGCTTCAGTATATGGCTGTATAAGATGATTGGCAATTCATTTTTCATTATCATAAAAAGAATACGTTTAGTAAATAAATTTAGATTCCTTTAAAAGACAGCCTGTCTAAACTTTCTTCTGTAAACTACAAGCCCAATAGCACAAACCTAGGGAAACTCACCCTGCCCTGGATAAAAGAGAAGCTTCATGGCTCAACTTTTTACTTGAATTTCACACTTATAAAGTGACCTGTCAAAGGTATAAATTGACTTTATACCTCCAGTGAGATCTTTGGTCTTTTAAGAAAAAGAAAAGGATCACCTGGTTTCTTTCCTCCATAAGTTCTTAGATAGCCAATTACCAAACCTAACAGACACTACTTCCTAAGCAATTGTAGTGTTTGTTTCCTCTTTTACCTCCCCATCTGTTCAAAGTCCTATAATTTCTCACCTGAATGACTGCAAAAGTTACCTAACTAATTTCCTTAACCAAATCTTCCGCCCTGCCATAAGATGCTTAAATTTTATCAGTGTCTCCAAGGTGCCTCCAGTGCACTGCAGAACTCAGTCTTTTGAATCTGTCCCTGCTAATCCCTCCTGCCTCAACTCTGTCACTTTTCCCATTTGATGCTCCAAGATGCCAAATCACTTGGGGATTCTCTTACTGTCCCGTGTAGGTCTTTCTTTCATTTGAACCTTTGCATATGCTGTTACCTCCTCCAGTAACCCACTCTGCCAATTCGTAGCTGGTTAAATAACTGCTCCTGGAATTTCGAAACTTAGCTCAGATACCAGACATCTTTTGTGACTTCCCATCTGCATCCAAGCAAGGAACATTTGCCTATTTGCCCCCTATGCTGTCCTCCATCATAGCACTAATATTATTATCTTTTACTTGTTTGTCTTACCTATACACCTGGGAAGAGTTGGGCCTTTCATTTCCACATTTCCATCACCTACCATGGTTCTCAACTTATAGTTGGTGCCCAAATGTTGAATGAATTAATGAACAATGTAGAATGTGGAGAACTGATTGTGGTTATATAAAGTTTAAGCATTTGGGGGGCTTTCTTTTCTTTTCTTTCTGTAGTGATGCGATCTTGGCTCACTGCAACTTCCACCTCCCAGGTTCAAGCAATTCTCGTGCCTCAGCCACCCAAATAGCTGGGATTGCATGCGTGCGCCACCACGCCTAGGTAATTTTTGTATTTGTAGTAGAAATGGGGTTTCACCATGTTGGCCAGGCTGGTCTTGAACTCCTGACCACAAGTGATCCATGCAACTTGGCCTGCCAAAGTGCTGGGATTACAGGTGTGGGCCACAGCACTTGGCAGGAGTTTGATTTTCAATTGACAATGGCTCTGACCAACTCTAGGTCCTTGTGTGAATTTATTGAGTTGGACATTTTTGGTTAGGTTGTTAGAAACTTTGAAATATATATTGAATCTCTGTTCCAGTTAACTGTAACAGCACTAAATTCTTCAACACAGAACACTGTAAGGCAAACACATAAATTCACCATAGGGAGCCAATAAAAGGTGTTAGAAACAGGAGGAAAGTTACTGATAAAATGTGACAAGGTTTTCAAACAGAGGCAATATTGTTAATTTAAATTGCAGAGACCTTATTCACACTCACCAAAATACAAAGGAAAAAGATTGCAACTCATTTTGGAATATTTGGAAGATGAAACAGTCCTTGAACTCCCTGTACCTGAGTCAGAGTACATAGTCTAGCAACACTTATCAAAATTTATGCTCTACCACTAAGGAAATTGAACTTTATATCCTAGTAAGGCTGGTTTCCTTAGTCTTTTCTAAATTCATTATTTTTAGTACAGATTCCACATCCTTACTCATGTATCCTCTGATTTAGAATATTCTATGTCCTATCTTTAGTCTAATCAACTTTAGTTCTTCTATGTTCTTTATTCTCAGCCTAAATCCTGCCTTCAAAGAAGCCTCCCCTAACTACCTGGCCCATATGAACTGTGCCTTTTCTGATTTTCTACCACACACACATAGACGCTACTCACATGGCTCCTCTTGTACCCTGACTCCAACACTCCTTTATGCCTGTTGCGGTCTACAATCGAATGACAACTTTTCATTGTCCTCACATCTCTCATCTTCCCTCTGTACCTGGTGTAAGTGACCTCCATGGTTGATCATTAGAATCATTCCTTTGACTATATTTTCAACTCTTGCTTATAATACGTGCTTAACAAAACCCTGATCCAAGCAGTTTCAACTTTCTGCCTATGGTGCAACCGCCTTTACATAGCTGAGCATGACTGACTGAAAGAAAATGTCACCATGACACCTGGTCTCATTTTGAATACATGATCACTAGCCTCGAGTGGGTTCTGCTTGACAATCTTTTCTTAGGTCCCTATTCCATTCACTCTTCCATTCTCCTAGACATCTATATCATGTTGTCTTGTGATTGTTTATTGGCTTGATCCCCAGTTATTTGAGAGTTTTTGCAAGTTATAAATGACTTGTGGGCAGGAGCCCATTGGCCCATGCCCCTGTTATATCCTTAATAACGCTAAGCACATGAGTGGTGCCCATGTAAATAGGCCAAGATCCTCTAATAGATTCCCTATCCCACTCTCAGTATATGGCAAGGAATTTCTGGAGACTAGGAAGTTTGACTAAGTGTAGAAGGCCCCAAAGTTATTTGAAATTTACCCTGATAGAGAATGCTGACAGTGAGGGTGGGGGGAAAGAAACAAATGAGGCTCCTTTGTATTCAGTGGGGGATAGCCAATCAAGGCAGCAAAAAGCTAATTGTTGGGAGGACCAGCTCTAGAGTCAGGTTGCCTGGGTTTTTCAGTTGGCATCGCTGGCAGCTGGCTTAGGGGATAATAAAATTGGTTGAAGTGAATTGCATTTTGAAAAAGCATGTAGGCAATTGGCCCTACTTTGGCAGTGGTGGAATTACTTTCATTTTACATCAAGGTAATCTGTTTTACAAACACAAATACAACTTCTGGGGAGGACAGTGATTTCTACAACTGGCCAGTCAAAACCTTGGGAAGGTGACACAGCTGGTGACCTGAACCAAGAAGGGCTTTGGTGCTGTTTGAGTTCAGGGTAGAACAGTCATCTATGTTCATCTGATATGTCCTCCTCTTAACATTCTACCTCTTGTTGAGTTTTGTGCTAGGCACGAAAGAATATATAAGCCAAGTATAAGACATTGTCCTGTCTTCAAAAAGCTTAGCCTGGCTATGTAAGAGATTCTCAAAGGCACGTACTCTAAGTTGGGGACATGCTGCACAGTCAGGTGTTAGGTTGTGCGAGGTAGTAAGTGTTCAGAGAAGAAGGCAAACAGAATAGTTAGAAGCACAGGAACCTGGCCTAGTTAGCTGATGGGCTAATTTACTTTTCTGTGTTATCTGAGTACTGCCAAGGAATCCCGAGTTAATACATTTGTGTGCCTAGGTGTGGGAGGGGGCAAGATGATCGGCAGAGCCCAGTCCGTGATATTACTTCTGTAACTGTTTTGAAGTTTGTGTGTGAATGTCTGCAAAATTTAATCAAAGTATTTGATCTAGAGATCTAATATTTTGGTAAACACTTGCTAGGGTAGCTTTCTGCTTTAAAAAGTAACATAGGAACTTAAGGATCCATCAATGTCATGTGCATATAAAATTCTTACCATTTTCCTCACTGCCAGACACACATACAAATGCTGGACTATTCCATATATTCCCCAGGGAAATCTTGATGATGTCATGCATTTAAAGGTAAACCTTAGCTCTGGCTCTATAAGAAAACACATATAGCACAGATGGGTAACATGAGGGAAATAGATGAACTGGGACCAGTTGCCCAAGGACATACTCACCAACATTCACATTTCCTTTTGCTGCTCTCCATTGCTGTGGCCCTTAGAGCTGGCTTGGATGGAGGATGAATAGTATTCTGATATGACAGTCTCTAAAATCCCTGCCCACAAGGAAAGGGAGAGAGTAAGTTGTAGCTCAGGAGGTAACCAAGTTTAATAATGAATTTATTTTTAATTGTTCATTCTTTTTAAAAATTCAGTCACTGACTCTTTAGTCTCTTTAATGTTTAAATGTTATATTAGTTTGGGCAGAGACAGAAGGCAAGAGTGACATCAATAATTAAAAATGAACTGTAAGGAGAGGCAGGAATGAAACACATTGTCCTTAGAACAGCATTTCTAACAAAGGCATGCCTGGGCTGCAGTTTCTCACTGAAGTCACCTATTTCAAGAAGTTCCTGCCTGCCACCCCCGAATTAACTCTGCCAGGACCTGATGTAAACCAGTCCACATTACACTCTATGAGATTTCTTTTGAAAAGTAAAAAAAATTTCCTCTGTTCAAGGGAAGCATTCCTAGACTATAATACTGGATGAGGGAAAAGCCAATACCCAGTTAACATCAGCATATTTTGGCAAGAATCTGAGATCTGCATCCAGTTTGAATTAATTGGGATGGCTAGTAAGTGTTATTTTACCCTTCTTTGTCAAAGTTGGTCCCAGCAGTTACTAGTTCACTATAGTTTACATCATGTATTGCTAGTAAAAATAATAGCTAAGTTTTATTGAGCTCTTATTATGCACTGGTTGCTTGCTGAGCAAGCAGTCTAATTTGTACTGTTAATGTCAGTGAATGGCAGGTTTAACGAGGTTGACCGGAGATTGGTTGTGGATCTTCTAATCAAGGAGGGTTGAGTAAAGTGAAAATCCCAAGAAAGTGATGCACATATACCTTAAAACATGTAAATGTATATTTATCTGCCAACATTTTGATGTTTAGCCAAGATCTTTTCTTCTAGTATAGATTTGCTGAGTGGAGTTCTGCTTTGTTTTTTATTTTGTTTTGTTTTTGCCTTTCATAAGCCACACCCATAATTAGCAGTCAAAAATTTCCACATTTCCTTTCTTGAAAGAGCAGCAGCAACTTTAGTACACTTGGGATGCATCTTGATTGCAAAAGCTTTCTAGATTTTTACTATTGTTTCCATGATCTTTTCCATTCATCTAATTCACACAATTACTTTTCAATGATTTGCTTTTTCTGAAGTTTTTTGAGACTGAGGTTAGCTCTACCACCCAGGCTGGCATGCAGTGGCACGATCTCAGCTCACTGCAAACTCTGTCTCCCGGGTTCAAGTGATTCTCGTGCCTCAGCCTCCCAAGTAGCTGGGATTACAGGCACCTGCCACCATGCCTGGCTAATTTTTGTATTTTTAGTAGAGTCGGGGTTTCAAGATGTTGGCCAGGCTGGTCTCGAACTCCTGACCTCAGGTGATCCACCTGCCTTGGCCTCCCAAAGTGCCGAGATTACAGGCATAAGCCACTGTGCCTGGCCCTTTTCTGAGTTTTTCTAAAGCAGTTCAGGCTATTTTTTATACGTTTGCATGCATTTTCATCTCTTTAATTAAATGAACTAATTATAATAACAAGTACAATGGGCATAAACAGTTTTAAGAATAAACACAATTGGCTGCTCTGCCTAGGGAGTAGCCATCCTTCATTCCTTTAATTTGTTCATAACAATAACAACAACAAAAATAATAAACACAATGACTTATTGAGAATTTGAATTTAATTGGTAGAAGCAGAAATGTGCACACATACAAGAGAGTAGACTACTAGTCTCAAGCAGTCAGTAATTCTGCATTTATTCCCAAGAACATTGAGAAGGCCAGTTTCGTTTTCTTTCTTTCTTTCTTTCTTTCTTTCTTTCTTTCTTTCTTTCTTTCTTTCTCTTTCTTTCTCTCTCTCTCTCTCTCTTTCTGTTTCTTTCTTTCCTTCTTTTTCTTTTTTTTGGTTGTTTTTTGCTTTGAGACAGGGTCTAACTCTGTCACCCAGGCTGAAGTGCAGTGGCACCATCACAGCTCACTGCAGTCTCAACCTCCTGGGTTCAAGTTATCCTCATACCTCAACTTCCCTAGTAGCTGACACTACATGGGAGAGCCACCACACTCTGCTAATTTTGTGTGTGTGCGTGTGTGTGTGTGGAAATGAGTTAACCCCCATATGTCCAGGCTGGTCTTGAACTCATGGGCTCAAGCGATCCACCTACCTTAGAGCTGGAATTACAGGCGTGAGCCACCGCGCCCAGCCACAGCTAGTTATTTAACCTCTCTAAACCTTAGTTTCTTCAAAATGAGAGAAATAATGTTCCCTACTTTCAGTGTTGCTATATTGGGATCAAGTGAAATCACTTAGGTAAGCACTGGCACATGGAAGGAGCTCAACAAACAGCACTTTTGAAAGAAATAAGAGCCAATCCATTTCTGTCCTTTGTTCACTATTATCAACAGTGCCATTTTTCTTACCTGAGAAGCCTTCCCTGCTCATGGTTTGGCTTAATCCTCACTTTTACCTTCATTTGGCTGTTACTCTATATTAATTCTTCCTTTTTTTTGAGACAGGGTCCCTCTTTGTCACCCAGGCTGGAAAGCAGTGGCATGCTCTCAGTTCACTGCATCCTCCACCTCCTGGGCTCAAGCAATCCTACTGCCTCAGCCTCCCAAGTAGCTGGGACTACCGGCCCGTGGCACCACACCTGGCTAATTGCTGTATTTTTTGTAGATACGGGTTTCGCCATGTTGCCCAGGCTGGTCTTGAACTCCTGGGCTCAAGCAATCCCCTGGCCTGGGCCTCCAAAAATGCTGGGATTACAGTCATGAACCACCACACCCAGCCTGATTATTTCCTTCTCATAACTTGCTATGCCACATCGTAGGCAATTTGACTCAATAAATATCTAATTCTCACTCTAAACAAGACTGTAGTCAAAACTTTGAGATATAACAACAAATATGACACAGACTCTGTCTTAAATAATTTCCAGTCTAGTTAGTGATATAAAAGAGTACACCAATTCTATTATATGATGTATAAAAGCAGATGAAATTAATCTATGCTATGTCAGAATAATGATGACCTTTTAAAGCAATGACAAAGAGGAAAATTAAAGGAAGCCTCTGAAGGGCTGTGTGACTGATCTTCATGGTTATAATATAGATGTGTTCAATTTATTTTTTAAAAATCAAGCTATTGACTTATGATTTATTCACTTTTCTGTGTGTACATTATATATCAATAAAAGTCTTTACCAAAAAAATCAAAAGAGACCAGGCATGGTGGCTCATATCTGTAATTCCAGCACTTTGGGAGGCCAAGGCAGGAGAATTGCTTGAGCCTAGGATCTAGAGAATAGCCTGGGCAAAACGGTGAGACTCCATCTCTACAAAATGAAAAATAAAAAAATTAGTCAGGCATGGTGGCCTGCGCCTGTCCTAGTTACTTGGGAGGCTGAGGTGGGAAGATCACTTGAGCCCAGGAGGTTGAGGCTGCAGTGAGCTGTGATTGCGTCACTGCACTACTCCAGCCTGGACAACAGAACAAGACCCCATCTCAAAAAAAAAAAAAAAAAAAAGAAAAAGAAAAAAGAAAGAAAGAAAAGAACAAGAAAAAGAAAGAAAAGAAAAGAATTAGCTCTTTAGTGAAAAATAAAAGATGAGCATGAGAGGAGGGGCCAAGATGGCCAAACAGGAACAACTCCGGTCTGCAGCTCCCAGCGAGACCAATGCAGGAGCTCAACTCAATCAGACTTCATTAGAACTCGCCTGTAAAAGTCAAATACCTGTCCACGCCTTTCAACTCCAGAGAAGATATATCCAAGCTTTCTGAACATGCACAGTGCTCCTCCTTTCAGATGCTCTGCTTCTCTCAAAATGGACACTGACCAGGATCTTCAGAGAATTCCTCCATAGAGGTATCTCCCATCAATTCTCACTGCAGTTTAGTGGGAAGCAACATATGGCAGAACACACTTTATAATTTTTCAGCATGCCCTTCCTGCAAGGTTTCACATAACACTTTAGACTTTAGGAGCTGGTCTGAGTTGGGAAGTTCGAAACAATAAGAAACTGGTTTGGAACCTGAATGGCAAAAATGTCTGAGGTTTATGGAAATCCAAAGAAACAGGCAATGATATTGGTCTTCTAAAGACTTCTAAACCTGGAATGTGGTCAATAGAAGCTACATAAAGGCAAAATGTTACCATTTCTATATTCATACATAGCATAAGTATCCCTTGTGTTTATATTTGCTTTTATATTTGGAAAACAATAAATGACAAAGAAATCATCTCAATAAAAAACAGGCAACCTACAGAACAGGAGAAAATATTTGCAAACTATGCACCTGACAAAGGTCAGATATCCAGCATCTCTAAGGAACACAAACAAATTTACAAGAAAAAAACAAACAGCCCCATTAAAAAGTGGGCAAAAGACATGACACTTTTCAAAAGAAGACATATATGCTACCAACAAGCATATAAAAAAAGTCTCGACATCACCAGTCATTAGAGAAATGTAAGTCAAAACCACAATGAGATACCATCTCACTCCAAAATTGCTTTTATTAAAAAGTCAAACCATAACCAATGCTGGCAAGGTTGGAGGTAAAAGAGAATGCTTATACACTGCTAGTGGGAATGCAAATTAGTTCAACCATTGTGGAAAGCAGTGTGGCAATACCTCAAATAACTAAAAACAAAACTAACATTCAACCCAGCAACTCCATTGTTGGGTATATACCCAAAGGAATATAAATCATTCTGCCATAAAGACACGTGCACATGTATGCTCGTTGCAGCACTATTCACAATAGCAAAGACATTGATTCAACTGAAATGGCTGTCAACAATAGACTGGATTTAAAAAAAAAAGTGGTACTTATATACTGTGGAATACTACGCAGCCATGAAAAAGAATGAGCACATGTCCTTTGCAGCAACATAGATGGAGCTGAAGGCCATTATCCTTAGCAAACTAACACGGGAACAGAAAACCAATTACCACATGTTCTCACTTATAAGTGGGAGTTACATGATAAGAACTATGAACACAAAGAAGGAAACAACAGATACTGGGGGCTACTTCAGGGGAGAGGGTGGGAGGAGAGAAAGAATCAGGAAGAATACTTATTGGGTACTATGCTTATTACTGGGTGATAAAATAATCTGTATATCAAATCCCCATGACACGAGTATATCTGCATAACAAACTTTGCACATGTACCTCTGAACCTTAAGTAAAAGTTAAAAGAAATAAACTATTAAAAAATAGGCTGGGCACAGTGGCTCACGCCTGTAATTCCAGCACTTTGGGAGGCCAAGGCAGGTGAATCACCTGAGGTCAGGAGTTCAAGACCAGCCTGGCCAACATGGTGAAACCCCGTCTCTACTAAAAATACAAAAATTAGCCAGGCATGGTGGCGAACACCTGTAATCCCAGCTACTTGGGAGGCTGAGGCAGGAGAATCATTTGAACCTGGGAGGTGGGGGTTGCAGTGAGCCGAGATTGCACCACTCCACTCCAGCCTGGGCAATAAGAGTGATTCCATCTCAAATAAAAAAGAAAGACAATACATACTTAGCGTAATAGGTTTGTGGAATTGAATTTATGGTTGCAGTCATGAATAATGAAACTCGAATTGTAAAATATTTTTTAATGATTTTTTTGATGATTATTTTGCAAATTAGTTACTATAGAGATCAAAATTTCTGGTAACTATTTACTGAACACCATAAGAAAAAAAATATGGTATACTTTAATCAAACCAAAGTACTAGGGTTTGATAAAGCTTAATCAAATTTTTTTTTTTTTAGATGAATTCTCGCTCTTGTCCCCCAGGCTGGAGTGCAGTGGCACGATCTTGGCTCGCTGCAACATCTGCCTCCCAGGCTCAAGCGATTCTCCTGCCTCAGCCTCCTGAGTAGCTGGGATTACAGGTGCGTACCACCACACCCAGCTAATTTTTTGTGTTTTAAGTAGAGACGGGGTTTCACCATGTTGGCCAGGCTGGTCTCGAATTCCTGACTTGAGGTGATCTGCCCACTTCGGCCTCCCAAAGTGCTGGGATTACAGGCGTGAGCCACCACGCCCGGCCTCAAATTTTTAAATAACTGTGTACCTTAGATTTTTTATTTAAAGTTATTCTCTTTAATAAACAAAATTTTCAGTTACCTAAATTCTTGCATATTAAATCTGTGAAACCGGTTTGTGATGTGTGGATTCATCTCACAGAGTTAAATTCTAGGGATATCTGGATGTAAGAGTTAAGATTGTTTCCCAAAGAAGCTCTTCATTCAACCAACACGTATTTAAGTATCTTCTGTATGTCAGGCACATTAAGGAACTCAAAGAATTTGGAAAATGTTTCTTAAGTAAATTGATGGGGTTTCAAATTGTAGACATTAGCAACAAAGATGTGGATGGGTACCTTTAATGACAGTTGTCAGATCATGGGATAATTTAAAGTGGTCTCACAATCAACTTGGTTCAATGTTCTATAAACGTAGTGCTTGGGCTTTTTATTGTTTTTCTGAAACTAGCTTTAGCACCTGGGTTTTATATGAAGCCAGAAACTGACTTGCTAAAATACCCTCTGAAAAGCAGTGTGGGTATTGGGTTTACAAAACAACCTTGAATTATTTTTTAATTACTGAAAGGTCGTGGGTTTTATTTCCTGTGCTCTGGACAAATGCTGCCCAAAAGAACATTTTGCAGTGATAGAAATATTCATTCTGGGCTGGGTGCGGTGGCTCACGCCTGTAATCCCAGCACTTTGGGAGGCTGAGGCTGATGGATCATAAGGTCAGGAGTTCGAGACCAGCCTGACCAACATGGTGAAACCCCGTCTCTACTAAAAATATAAAAATTAGCTGGGCATAGTGGTGCGCACCTGTAATCCCAGCTACTCAGGAGGCTGAGGCAGGAGAATCGCTTGAACCCGGGAGGTGGAGGTTGCAGTGAACTGAGATTGTGCCATTGCACTCCAGCCTGGGTGACAGAGCGAGACTGTCTCAAAAAAAAAAAAAAAAAGAAAAGTTCATTCCAAGCTATCTACACAATAGCCACTAGCCACATGTGACTGCTAAGCACTTGAAATGTAGCTGGGGTGACTGCATAACTCAATTTTGTTTAAATTTAATTAATTTTGATTTAAAATTTAAATAGTCACATGTGGGTATTGACTACCATAATGGATAGAAAGCACAGTCCAAGATATTAGTAATTATCTTTCCCAAGGGTGCTTGATCCTCCCAACAGCACAATTTAATGCTGAATACATGTTTTGTACAAAGAATACTGACATTTTATGTCAATTATTTGGCTGAAGTTTCTCAGGAACGTGGTGGGGAGAATAAGGACTCCTGTATCATTAATTCAGTTAGATTCCATATGTATTTATTGGCCACTTACTAAGTGTCAAACTCTGCTAGTGTAGGGAGTACGTTGGGGAAGATGGTCTTTGTTTTGGAGAAACTCATAGGCAATTGGGTTTCATTTAAGAATTATTAATATATTTTTATTTTCCCCATAGAGTACTATATAGCTTACAATTATGTTGATAGTGAAATGACTAGATGTTCTTTCATTTGCACATTGCTTCAACTAATGTTTATTGAAGACTCTTTTTGAATTTAAGCTCCTTAAGAGCAGAAAAAAATACCTTTCATCTCTCTCTCCCCACATATGAAGTCCAGTATACAAAGGAGTCAAATAATATTTATTGAAATAAAAAAGAATGAATAAATAAAAGAATGCCAGGCAGGTACTAGATGTTATGATTTCAATATGATGGCTTCCATTGGCAAGTTCACAGTTTAACCACAAGATTAAACATATGTTATCTACCTAGTATAACACTGTATTTCCCAGAATGTGTTCCATGGAAACTCTAGCCTTGAGGAATAATCTAAGAAAAGATAAGTCCATAGTCAAATTAAGTATGTGGAAATTTATGTGTAGATTTGCAATTCACTCCAGGATATTCAAGCCTCTGAGAAGTCCTGAAGTAAAGAAACTTAATTAACCTACTATTTGCCAAATTAATTTTATTTGCTCTGTTTGCATAATATCCACTAACATGTCACAGAGCTAATGTTCTGAAAAAACACACTTCAGACATCTACCATAGAGAAATGATAATTATTGTCTATTATTATGAATGCAGGGTATATTTAACATTCAAATTCAATCAATGTTATTGACCATAACAACAGACAAAAGAAAAACAATATGATCATCTTAATATGTATAAAATAAACAATAAAGATTGCAGGATGTGAGATTAGTACATAAAAATTATACTTCTATACACTAGCATTGAAAATCAGAAATGGGGGCTGGGCATAGTGGCTCATGCTTATAATCCCGGCACTTTGGGAGGCCGAGGCGGGCAGATCATGAGGTCAGGAGATCGAGACCATCCTGGCTAACACGGAGAAACCCTGTCTCTACTAAAAATACAAAAAATTAGCCAGGTGTGATGGTGGGCGCCTGTAGTCCCAGCTACTCGGGAGGCTGAGGCAGGAGAATGGCATGCATCCGGGAGGCGGAGCTTGCAGTGAGCTGAGATCATGCCACTGCACTCCAGCCTGGGCGACAGAGTGAGACTCCATCTCAAAAAAAAAAAAGAGAAGAAAATCGGAAATGGAAATAAATGAAAATTATATCACTTACAATAGCATCAAAAATATAAAATGCGTAAGAATAAATCTGCAAATTACAGAATGTTGTAAGATAAAGAAAAAACATAAATGGAGAGATATACCACGCTCATGGATCAAAAGTCAATATTGAAAAGACATTAATTCTCCCAAATTTGACCTATAGATTCAAAGCAATCTCAATCAAAATCTCAGCAGCAGTTTTTATAGAAGTTGACAAGTCAATTCCAAAATTCTAAAGGAGGCTGGACATTGTGGGTCACATCTATAACCCCAGCACTTTGGGAGGCCGAGGCAGGAGGATTGTTTGAGCCTAGGAGAACGAGACCAGCCTGGACAACATAGCAAGACCCAGCCCCTCAAATAAATAAATTTTTAAAAAAATTAGCGAGGCATGGTGGCTCATGCCTGTAGTCCTTGCTACTCAGCAGGCTGAGGCAAGAGGATCGCTGAGCTCAGAAGTTAGAGGCTGCAGAGAGCAATGATCTTGTGAGAGCATGTCTTTAAAAATAAAATTCTAAAGGAAATGCAGACAACAGTAACACAGGGTACTGAGGGCAGCAGGGAGGAGAAGTTAAAGTTTTTGTGTGCAATTCAACTCAAGTTGTTATCAGCTTAAATTAGACTGTTATAATTACAAGATATTTTATGTAAATCCCAAGTTAATCCCCAACAACATATCTATAAAAGTAACACAAGAGAAAAAGAGAAAGGAATCAAAGCATATCGATACAAAAAATCAACAAAACACAAAAGGATGACAGCAAGAGAGGAAGACAGACACACACACAAAAAAACTACAAGACTAACAGGAAACAATTAACAAAATGGCAACAGTAAATCTTTCCCTGTCAATGAGTACTTTAAATGTCAATGGAATAACTATCCAATCAAAAGACATAAAGTGGCTGAATGGATTTAAAAAAAAATACCCAACTCTATGCTATCTACAAGGAACTCACTTTGGATTTAAGGATACATATAAGCCTGGGCGACAGAGCAAGACTCCGTCTCAAAATAAATAAATAAATAAATACATGTACACCCAACATCGGAGTACCTAAATATGTAAAGCAAATATTGACAACATATTAATAATAGTAGGAGACCTTAATACTTTACTTGCAGTAATGGATAGGACATCCAGATAGAAGATCATTAAGGAAACAGAGAACTTGAACAACATTATAGACCAAAGGGGCCTAACAGACATATATAAAACATTCCATCCATCAGCAACAGAATATACATTCTTCTCAAGTGCACACGGAATTTCCTTCAGGAAAGATCACATTAGGTCACAAAAAAATGTCTTCACAAACTTAGGAAGACTGAGATATCATATATCTTTTGTGATCACAATGGTATGAAACTAGAAATCAATAACAGGAGGAAAACTGAAAAATGTACTAATGTGGAAATTAAACAATATACTCTTAAATAACCACTGGGTCAAAGAAGAAATCCAAAAGGAAATTAGAAAATACCTTAAGATAAGTGAAAATGAAAACACAACATACAAAAACTTATGGGATACAGCAAAAGCAATACTAAGAACAAAGTTTATTGTGATAAATGTCTACATTAAAAAGAAGAAAGATCTCAAATAAAGATGTCAAATAAAAAACCTATTTTTACACCTCAGGGAGTTAGAAAATGAATAAACCAAGCCCAAAGTTAGCAGAAAGAAGAAAATAGGAAAGATTAGGGCAGAATTAAGCATAATTGAATTTTTTTTTTTTTTTTTGACACAGAGCCTTGCTCTGTCACCCAGGCTGGAGTGCAATGGTGCCATCTCATTCACTACAACCTCCAGCTCTCAGGTTCAAGTGATTCTCCTGCCTCAGCCTCCCAAGTAGCTGGGATTACAGCCACGCGCCACCAAGCCTGGCTAATTTTTGTATTTTTAGTAGAGACGGGGTTTCACCATGTTGGCCAGGCTGGTCTCGAACTCCTGACCTCAGGTGATCTGCCTGCCTCAGCCTCCCAAAGTGCTGGGATTACAGATGTGAGCCACCACACCTGGCCGGAATTGAAAACTGGAAAAACAAAAAACAAAAAAATCTACAAAACCACTGAGTTGTTTTTTGAAGAGATAAACAAAATTGACAAACTCTTAGCTAGACCAATTAAGAAAAAAGATAAGGAGAATCAAGTAAATCAGAAATGAAAGAGTAGACATTACAATCGATACCACAGAAATAAAAAGGATCATAAGAGACTACTATGAACAATTATATACCAACAAACTGAATAACCTAGAGGAAACAGATAAATTTCTGGAAACATATAACCTACTAAAACTAGAAGATATAGAAAGACAGAGAAAGACTAGAAGACATAAAAAGACACAGAAAATCTGAACAGACATATAAGTAGTGTGAAAATTGAATCAATAATCAAAAACCTCCCCCAACCAGGAACAGATGACTTAACTGATACCAAATATTTAAAGAATATATTCTTTATGTTATATATATATGGAGAGAGAGAGAGAGAGAGAGAGAGAGAGAGAGAGAGAACAGATGGCTTAACTGATACCAAATATTTAAATACCAAAGATTTAAAGAAGCATTAATGGCAATCCTTCTTAAATTCTTACAAAAAATTGAATAAGAGGAAACACCTTAAAACTTGTTTCATGAGGCCATGAAACAAAGCCTGATACTAAAGCCAGACAAGACAATACACGAAAACTACAGGCCAATATCCTTGATAAATAGAAATGCAAAAATTTTCAACAAAATAGCAAACCAACTCCAACAGTACATTCAAGGTATCATATGCCATGACCAAGTGGGATTTATCCCTGGGATGAAAGGATGGTTTGACACACAAAAATCAATTAATGTGATTGATATGGTTGGCTATGTCCCCACCCAAATCTCCTCTTGAATTGTAGCTCCCATAATTCCCTCATGTTGTGAGAGCAAGCCAGTAAGAGATAACTGAATCATGGGGGCAGTTTCCCCCATACTGTTCTCATGGTAGTGAATAAGTCTCATGAGATCTGATGGTTTTATAAGGGGAAACCCCTTTCGCTTGGCTCTCATTCTCTTCTCTTGTCTGCCGCCATGTGAGGTGTGTCTTTTGCCTTCCACCATAATGTGAGGCCTCCCCAGCCATGTAGAACTGTGAGTCCATTAAACCTCTTTCTTTGTAAATTGCCCAGTCTCAGGTATGTGTTTATCAGAAGCATGAGTGAAAATGGACTAATACGGTGATATACCACATGAACACAGTAAAGGGTCAAAATTCCATGAGTATCTCAATACATGCACAAAGATCATTTGACAAAATTAAGCACTCTTTCATGATCAAAACTCTTAACAAACTAGGAATAGAAGGAAAGTATCTGAACATAATGAAGGCCATATATTAAAAGACCACAGCTAAGATTATCTCAATGGTGAAAGCTAAAATCTTTTCCTCCAAGATCAAGAACAAAACAAGGATGCCTATTCTTATCACTTCTTTTCTTTCGTTTTTTTTTCTTTTTTTTTCTTTTTTTTTTTTTTGAGACAGGGTATCACTCTTTCACTCAGGCTGGAGTTCAGTGGCACAATCATGGTTCACTGTAACCTCAGCCTCCCAGGCTCAAGCAGTTTTCTCACCACAGCCTCCTGAGTAGCTGGGACTACAGGCGCATGCCCCCACATCTGGCTAATTTTTGTATTTTTTGTAGAGGCAAGGTTTCACCATGTTACCCAGGCTGGTGTCGAACTTCTGGGCTCAAGCCATCTGCCCTCCTCAGCCTCCCAAAGTGCTGGGATTATAGGCATGAGCCACTGCAGTTGGGCTAGTTCTTTTCTTTTTTCTTTCTTTGTTTTCTTTCTTTCTTTTTTTTTTTTTTTTATTGAGATGGAGTCTCGCTCTGTTGCCCAGGCTGGAATGCAGTGGCACAATATTGGCTCACTGCAATCTCCACCTCCCAGAGTCAAGCAATTCTCCTACCTCAGACCCCCAAGTAGCTGAGATTATAGGTGGGCACCACCATGCCTGGCTAATTTTTTATTTTTAGTAGAGATGGGGTTTCACCTTGTTGGCCAGGCTGGTCTTGAACTCCTAACCTCAAGTGATCTGCCCACCTCAGCCTCCCAAAGTGCTGGGATTACAGGCACGAGCCACAGTGCTTGGCCTAGTTCTTTTCAACATAGTCCTTGAAGTCCTAGCCAGAGCAATCAGACAAGAAAAAGAAATAAAAACATCCAAGTTGGAAAGAAAGAAGTAAAATTGTCCCTGCTTGCAGACTACATAATATTTTATATACATAGAGAAAGAGAAGGAGAGAAAACCCCAAGACCCCATAAACAAAAATGATTAGAACCAATAACCTAATTAAGTAAATTTGCCCGATACGAAATCAACATAGAAAAATCAGATGCACTTTAATACACTAACAATGAACTATCTGAAAAGGAAATTAGGAAAACAATCTCATATATAAAGCACCAAAAAAATAAAATATTAATGAATAAACTCAGCTAAGGAACTGAAAGATTTGTATACCGAAAACTACAAAATACTAATTAAAGACATTAAGAAAAATATAAACAAAACAAAAGACATCCTGTGTTTATGGCTTGAAAGACAATATTGTTAAAACGTTCATACTATGCAAAGTGATCTACAGATTCAATGAAGTTCCTGTTAAAATCCCAACAGCATTCTTTGCAAAATTAGAAAAAAAGATTTATAATTCATATGGAACCACAAAAGACCACAAACAGTCAAATCAATTTTGAGGAAAAACAAAGCTGGAGGCATCAGACTTCCTGATTTCAAAATATATTATAAATCTATTATCATCACAACAGTATGGTACTGGCATAAAGACAAACATATAGACCAATGGGACAGAAAAGAGAGCCCACAAATAAACCCACATATACAGTAAACTGGTTTTCAATAAGGGTGCCAAGAACAGGCAATGGAGAAAGAATAGTCTATTCAGTGAATGTTGTTTTAAAAACTGGGTGTTCACATGCAAAAGAATGAAATTGGACTCTTACTCCATACCCAAAAATCTACTGAAAATGGATGAAAGATATAAATGTAAGACTTGAAACTCCAAAACTACTAGAAAAAAAAAGGAAGAATAGCAGAAAAGCTTCATGACATTGGTCTTGGCAATGATTTCATAGAAACGATACCAAAGCACAGACAACAAAAGCAAAAGTAAACAAATAGGACTAAATCAAACTAAAGTTTTTGCGCAGCAAAGAAACTATCAACATAGTGAAAAGGCAACTTCAGAATGGTTTTTGCTAGCCATATATCTGATAAGGAGTTTATCTCCAAAATATGTACAGAACTCATGCAACTGAGTAGTAAAAAAAAAAAAAAAAAAAAAAACCATCAGATTTAAAAATGGGCTAAGGACTTGAACAGACACTTATCCAAAGAAGGCATACAAATGGCCAACAGGTATATGAAAAAATGCTCAAGGTCACAAGTCATCAGGGAAATGCAAGTCAAAACCACAATGAGATATTAACTCACGCTTGTCAAGATGGCTATTCTGAAAACAAAACAAAACAAAATACAACGGCAAGGGGTAGTACTGAACGCCTGTAATCCTCCACTTTGGGAGGCCGGAGTTGAGGGTCACTTGAGCTCAGGAGTTTGAGAACAGCCTGGGCAACATAGTGAGACCCCGTCTCTGTAAAATAAATAAACAAACAAACAAATAAATAAAAGACTGTAAGTGCTGGCAAGGATGTGGAGAAATTAGAACTCTTGCACATTGTTGGTGGGAGTGCAAAATGGTGCAGCCCCTGTAGAAAACAGTATGTAGATTCCTCAAGAAATTAAAAAATAGAACTGCTATATGATCCAGTAATCCCACTTCTGGGTATTAATCTAAAACAATTGAAATGAAATTCTTGAAGAGATATGCTTTATTGCAGCCAAAAACCAGAGAAAAAACATGTTCATATTTATTGCAGCACTATCCACAATATCCAAGATATGGACACAACCTAAATATTCACTGACAGATACATGGATGAAGATAATGTGTTATAGGCTGGGTGCAGTGGCTCACACCTGTAATCCCAACACTTTGGGAGGCCAAGGCAGGCAGATCACTTGAGCCAAGGAGTTTGAGATCAGCCTGGGCAACATGGTGACACCCCATCTCTACAAAAAATACAAAAATCAGTTGGGTGTGATGGCATAAGCCTGTAGTCCCAGCTACTTGCAGGGGCTGAGGTGGGAGGATTGTTTGAGCCCATTAGATGGAGGCTGCCATGAGCTGTAATTGTGCCACGGCACTCCAGCCTGTATAACAGAGTGAGACCCTGTCTCCAAAAAAGAAAGAAAAATATAATGTGCTATATACATACAATGGCATACTATTCAGCCTTAAAAAATGAAGGAAATTGTGCAATATGTGATAATATCAGTGAACCTTGAGGACATTATGTTAAATGAAATAACTAAGTCGGTCAAAGAAAGACAAATACTGCATATTTCCACTTATATGAGCTATCTAAAATAGTCAAATTCATAGCATCAAAGAATAAAATGGTGGTTGTTAGGGGCTGAGGAGAGGGAGAATTGAGGAGTTACTGATCATTAGGCATAATGCAAAACAATAGATTAAGCAAAAGAATAAGGCTTAGAGATCTATATATTATATCTACAGTCAACAATACATTTAAAACTTTGTTCTGAGGGTATATCTCACGCTGTGTTCTTACCACAATAAAGTAACATTTTAAAAATGGTTTAATTAAATAAAAGCAAAAATTGAAAAAAGGAAATGCAAAGGACCAATAATAGCCCAAATAAACCAACCAAAAAATCTTTGAAAAAAAGGAACAAAGTTGAAGGATTTGCAATACCTGATGGTAAGATTTATTGTAAAGCTACAGCAATCAAGACAACGCAGTATTGACATAAAGATATTTTTAATAAATCAGTGGAACAGAATATAGAGTTTAGAAATAGACTGATATTTATATGTGTGGTCAGTTGACTTTTGACAAAGATGCAAAAGCATATTTAAGAAAACAAAAGTCTTTTCAACAAATGGTACTGGAACAACTGAACATCCATATGCAAAACAATGAACTTTAATTCATAACTTATACCATATATGAAAATTAATCCAAAATGGATAATAGGCCCAGAGGTAAAACTTAAAATGATAAAAATTTTTAGAGAAATACCAGAAAATGTTTGTAATCTTGAGTTAGGCAAACTGTGATCTAAAGCATGATTCATAAAGGAAAAAATAAATTAGATTTTACCAAAGTTAAAAAATTCTGCTTTTTAAAAGACACTCTTGAGAGAGTGAAAAGACAAGCCACAGACTGGTAAAAAATATTTGCAAATCACAAGTTTTAAAAAAAGACTTGAACCCGGAATGTAAAAAAAGCTCTCGGAACTATATTTTCAGAGACAATCTTGCTCTGTCGCCCAGGCTGGAGTGCAGTGGTGCGATCACAGCTCACTGCAGCTTCAACCTCCTGTGCTCAAGTGATCTTCCTGCCTCAGCCTCCTGAGCAAGTGAGACAACAGGCATGCACCACCATGCTGGCTAATTTTTAATTTTTTTATTGTGATGGGGTCTTGCCACGTTGCTCAGGCTGGTCTCAAACTCCTGGGTTCAAGTGATCCTCCCGCCTTGGCTTCCCAAAGTGGGATTATAGGCATGAGCCACCGTGTCTGGCCACGACTATTTTAATAACCAAAAAAACCCCAATTTTTTAAATGGCTAAAACATTAAATAAAAACTTCATAAAAGATATGTATGGATAGTAAATAAGCACATGAAAGATGCCCAACATAATTTTTCATGGGGGTAATGTGAGTTAACACCACAATGAGGACCCACTACACAAATTTTAGAATGTCCATAATTAAAAAGCTGATGATATCAAATGTTGTGAGGCTCTGGAGTAACTGAAAGTCCCATATGCTACTGGAATGTGTAGTCGCCACTTTGGAAAGAAGCTTGACAATTTCCTAAAAAGCCATTCTAGTCTGAAGAGACAGAGTAGGCATTTTTTTCCCCTATTCTTCCCATTTTTGTTCAGCAAACCTCCCTGAACAATGCATATGAAACAAACATGAAAAGACTCTGAAAGGTGGGAAGAAGACAGACTGACTAAAGACCTTGGCTCTGATGTGGCAGTGAGTTTCCTGGGGTTTTAAAAATTGCTTTATATATTCCAGATTGGATGCTGGAGAAGCCAGTAACACAGAAATGCCAATACGTGCAGATTTTAAAAAGCCTTAAGAAAAGCTTTTTCTCACTAGCTATGATGGCTAATTTTATGTGTCAACTTGAATGGGCTAAGGGATGCCCAGATAGCTGGTAAAACATTATTTCTGGGTGTGTCTGTGGGAGTGTTTCTGGGAGAGATGCGCATTTGAATCAGTAGACTGAGTAAAGATCTGCCCTCACCAAAGTGAGTGAGCACCACCACATCCATTGAGGGCCTGAACGGAACAACAAAAAGGGAGAAGAATGGTGAATTCACTGTCTGTTCCCGAGCTGGGATATCCATCTTCTCAGTCTTTGGACATTAGCACTCTTGGTTCTTGGGCCTTTGGACTTGGACCAGGAGGTTCACCAACAGCTTCCACAGCTCTTGGGCATTCAGACTCAGACTGGGGCTTTCAACACTGGCTCCACTAGTTCTCAGGCTTTGGACTTGGACTGGAACCGTAACACTGGCTTTCCTGGGTCTCCAGCTTGCAGATGTCAGGCTGTGGGACTGCCAAGGCCAGCTCGGTCAGGGAGACCCTAACCCAGCGGTGCCAGAGGAATTAAAGACACACACACACAAATATAGAGGTGTGAAGTGGGAAATCAGGGGTCTCACAGCCTTCAGAGCTGAGAGCCCTGAACAGAGATTTACCCATGTATTTATTAACAGCAAACCAGTCATTAGCATTGTTTCTATAGATATTAAGTTAACTAAAAGTATCCCTTATGGGAAATGAAGGGATGGGCTGAATTAAAGGAATAGGTTGGGCTAGTTAACTGCAATAGGAGCATGTCCTTAAGGCACAGATTGCTGATGCTATTGTTTGTGGCTTAAGAATGCCTTTAAGCAGTTTTCTGCCCTGGGCAGGCCAGGTGTTCCTTGCCCTCATTCCAATAAACCCACAACCTTCCAGCGTGGGCTTTAGGGCCATTATGAATATGTTACAGTGCTGCAGAGATTTTGTTTATGGCCAGTTTTGGGGCCAGTTTACGGCCAGATTTTGGGGGGGCCTGCTCCCAACATGTCCCCCTTCTTTGATTTGCAAATTGATAAACACAAAGGCAGCTTTGTCACAGTGAGCTACTTCTTGCAGGAGTCAGGATCCACATCTGCAGTCTATGCAAAGACAAACAACACAGATCAAAAGCACAATTATCATTGAAATCCCAGAGCTTCCAAGTGTTTTTATCCATTTTCACCTCCTTTAAGCACTCCAGTTCCTGGCATTAAGGTCAGGTGTGCCTGGGATGTTTTAAGTGTTTGTTCTTTTAATTTTAAATCCTTCTGTTAAGCTCCTAGAGCAAGCCATATCATTTGAGGTTGAGGTGCCACTATACTGCCATGGTTCCAGATAAAAGGAACTTCTGACGTACTTCTTCTTATATCTACCATCTGACCATTTTGTTCAGATCATCTGAACATAGTGTGGCTGTGGCACACAGACTGAGAAGTGCAATTTAAGCTAAACATCCCCTTAGGGGACCAATTAATAATGATTTCATAGGAATCATTGTGCAGCACCTCTGCCTGTTCTGCAATGTAATCTTCCTAAACGAGTACATTCATTTTTTCTAGCCAGGTTCAATTTTGTTTACAAATAGGTTTTTGAGGGCGGTATGCCTCAATTATAGAGGCAGATTTATTATGGCAAATACTGAAATCAGAAAGCATGTATAACTATGTCATAGAGTGATTGCATCCAGGCATTATTACCAGCCAAGATTGATAAATATGCCCAATAAGTGTAATTGTTCTCTGTATCAGCCCTTGTTGAAGGAATACTCATGGCAGTGGTGATAACCGCTGCCATAGCTACCATTAAATTACTCGTTTTGACTGGTTGTCCTGCTTTCCCCAGGTTTTCTTCCACCATCTGTGATAGCTTCTTGATCTGTCCCCAGGTAGGTGGCTGTGTTCAGCGGGTGTTGCTCGTGACAATTGGGGTCCTCCTCAGTGTCAGTCTTGACATGGCTGCAATTGAGGTGTCCTTGGGATCCTCCCGGAATCTCTTCCTTGGCATCTGGCTCATGATAAGGTTTCAGGTGTCTTGATGGTATCCAAATCGGCTGTTGATTTTGGCCTGGAGAAACACAAGCATAACCTCTACCCCAAGTTATTATTTTACCTATTTCCCAACTTTTTGTTATCGGATCTCTCCACCAAATCAGTTGTTCTGCTTCTGTCTTTGCAGCTGGTTTTTGTAGATACTGTTCAGCTGCTGATAACATCTGGCCTTTGGGCAGGCTCAAAAAATTTAAAGTTAATAATACTAGATTCAGTTGCATCTGCGGTGTTGCATATTCTCTGTCTCCCCCTTTCTGCTTTTGCAACTGCTGTTTTAGGGAGAGATTCATTCTTTCCACTATGGCTTGTCCTTGAGAATTGCATGGGATACCAGTAATGTGTTTAATATTCCACGTAGAGAAAAATGTAGCTAGAGCTTGGCTAGTATAGCCTGGGGCATTATCTGTTTTAATAGAAGCTGGAATGCCCATCACCACAAAACACTGCAAAAGATGACATTTAACACAGGTAGAAGACTCTCTTGTTTGGCATGTAGCCTAAACAAAGTGAGAAAAGGTGTCCACACATACATGTACATAAGCTAGTCTCCCAAATGAGGGAACATGTGTGACATCCATTTGCCAAAGAGAGTTAGGTTCCAATCCTCAAGGATTAACTCCTCTTGTAAAAGATGAGGAATGTACCATTTGGCAAGTTGAGCATCGCTGGATAATAGCTTTAGCTTCTTTCCAGGTAATGCTGTATCTGTGTTTGCGACCAGAGGCATTAGCATGGGTTAAATTATGAAAATGTCTAGCATTAGATATTGCATTAGCAACTAGGTGATCAGCCATTTGATTCCCTTCAATCAAAGGTCCTGGAAGAGGTGTATGAGCCCTGATGTGAGTGATGTAAAAAGGGTGCATTCTACTTCTAACTGCTGTTTGCAATTGGGTAAATAAAGTCACCAGTTGTTCATCTGTATGAAATCATAACTGAGCATTTTCAATTAACTGTGTGGAATGAACCACTTATGAAGAATCAGAAATCACATTAATAGGCATATCAAAAGCAGTCAATACCTCAGTTACCACTACAAGCTCCGTTTTTTGAGCTGAAGTATAGGATGTCTGGAAAACTTTACTTTTTGAGCTAAAATAAGGAGCTTTACCATTACTAGACCCATCTGTAAAAACATTCTCAGCACCTTCAATTGGTTTAAACTTAGTTATTTTGGGGAGAATCCAATTAGTTAATTTCAAAAACTGAAACAGCTTCATTTTAGGAAAATGATTATCGAGAATACCCACAAAGTCAGCTAAATGGGTTTGCCAAGTAAGACTATTTATAAAAGCTTGCTGTATTTGTGCCTTCGTGAGAGGGATAATAATTTTTCCAGGATCATATCCATGTAATTTAACAATCCAAGTTCTGCCAATCCCTATCATAGTAGCGATTTGATCTAAATAAGGAGTTAGAGTCCGTGAATTAGTATGTGGAAGAAAAAGCCACTCTACTAAGTCCTGTTCTTGGACAATAACACCAGTAGGTGAATACTGAGTTGAAAAAATTAGCAAATGTAGAGTCTTCTCTGGATCTATTCTATTTATTTGAGCTTTATGGACTTGCTTCTCAATTAGTTGTAACTCTGCCTCAGCCTCCTTTGTTAATTGCCGAGGACTAATGAGACTAGGATTTCCTCTAAGGACAGAAAACAGATTACTCATGGCATAGGTAGGAATGCCTAGAGCAGGTCATATCCAATTAATGTCCCCTAGTAATTTTTGAAAGTCATTTAATGTTTTTAATTGATCCCTACGTATGGTTACTTTCTGTGGCACAATGGTAGTGTCATTTACTAAGATCCCCAAGTCGGAGTAAGGAGTAGTAGTCTGAATTTTGTCAGGAGCTATAATTAAACCAGTGTGAGAAATCGAATTTTGCAAGTGACCATAACATTGGAGTAATATTTCTCAAGTGGGGGCAGAACAAAGCATATCATCCATATAGTGAATAATGTAACACTGTGAAAATTTTTTACGTCTAGGTTCAATTGCTTGCCCCACATACGTCTGGCAAATTGTTGGACTGTTTAACATGCCCTGTGGCAACACTTTCCGATGATAATGCTTAGCAGGCTGCAGGTTGTTTACTGCAGGAATTGTAAATGCAAACCGTTCGCAGTCTTGCTCAGTTAAAGGGATAGTAAAGAAACAGTCTTTTAAATCTATGACTATTAAAGGCCAATTTTTTGGAATTATAGCACTAGAAGGCAATCCCAGCTATAATACTCCCATAGGTTGTATAACTGAATTGATGGCTCTTAAGTCAGTTAACATTCTCCATTTACCTGATTTTTTCTTAATTATGAAAACTGGAGAATTCCAAGGGGAAAATGTTGGAGCTATGTGCCCATTTTTTAATTGTTCAGTAACTAACGTCTCTAAAGCCTCCAGTTTCTCTTTACTTAGTGGCCATTGTTCTATCCAAATTGGCTTATCTGTTAACCATTTTAAAGATATAGGTTCTGGAGGCTTAACAATGGCCACCATCAAAAATCATATCCTAATCTTTGGCAGGAAGTTTGTCTTTCTGCTTGAAGTGGTTCTTGCAAAGCTTGTGATTTTTTTTTTCTAGTCCCATACCAGGGACATACCTCATTTCATGCATCGTATGTTGACTTTGAGGGCTATGTAATTGTTCTGGAATTAGAACTTGTGCTCCCCATCATTGTAATAAATCTCTTCCCCATAAATTTATAGGTGCAGAACATTTTGGACATATTTCAGGCTCAACAGTTTTCTTGTTTCCCCTATCTGATGGCCTGACTCGCTGATTTTTTCTACATTCATTTTTAGTATGACCATGCTTCCCACAGTTAAAACAAGCTCCAGGAAACGGAGTATTTCCTTTATCCACAATCAGCCCTGCCATTGCCAGTGCCAGCAAGGTAGCTTTATGCAGATTACCTCTGATATCATCACAGGCCTTGATATAATCAACTAAATGTGCTTTCCCTCTAATAGGTTGCAGAGCAGCCTGGCAATCAGGATTAGCATTGTCGAAAGCTAATAACTGCAACTCTATATCCTGAGCAGCTGAATCTGCAATCATCTTTTTAAGAGACTCCCGTAACCGAGCTATAAAATCAACGTATGGTTCTCTTGGTCCCTGTTTTATAGCACTAAAGGAAGGGTATTGTTCCCCACCTGAAGTGAGTTTTTCCCAAGCTCTAATGCACACTCCTCTAAGCTGTTCTATAGCATCTTCCTGCATGACCAGTTGTGCATCTAAACCAGCCCAGCTGCCAACCCCCAAAAGTTGGTCTGCAGTTATATTAATTTGAGGTTGGGCCTGGGCATTGTGAGCAGCCTGAATGGAAGCTTCATCTGCCCACCAAGTTTTAAATTGTAAGAAATCAGCAGAAGTTAGACAAGATTGAGTAAGAGCGTCCCAGTCAGTAGGAATCATCCAACTGGAAACAGCAGCATTCTTTAACAGTCCCACTACAAAAGGCGAACCTGGTCCATACTGACTTATAGCTTGTTTAAATTCTTTGAGTAAGTTAAAAGGAAAAGGCTCAAATGTAGCTGAAATATTTCCCTGTTGATCTGGGGGGTGTATTCTAACAGGGACTGCCAAGTGTCTTAATCACCCTCTTGTCTAGCTGCTGAATTCCTGCCTGAATAGAAATAAGAGCGGTTGCTTGAGGTGCTGCTCGAACAGTCACTAGGGCAACTACTTTTCGCCCAATGTCCTCTGGAAAAGAAAGATCTGGAGGGTCTTTTTCTTCAAAAAATAAGGAGGGGGTCCAGAAGGGTAGGGGTGAACCTCTCCCTCCTTTGCTGCTTTAGCTTTAGCTGGCAAATAAACCTGGTCTGTAACCTCTTCTGTTACTTCATTATACTCTCATTCCTCCTCCTCATCAGTGTGAAAAAGTTCCAAGGTGAAACGAACCAGACTCCACACTTGTCCCATTGTTACCCTGATGCTTCTGAGCTCCCCTTCTTCCTCACCACGGGGATTGCTTTAAGAGTACTCGGGGGTCCTCCAGCTAGTTTTCCATTCCAACCGTTGCTCTGGTGACCCTTCAACCTGGATTCAAGCCCCCACGATGGACTTCACTTGCCAAGACCAGCTCAGTTGGGGAGACCCTAACCCAGTGGTGCCAGAGGAATTAAAGACACACACACAGAAATATAGAGGTGTGAAGAGGGAAATCAGGGGTCTTACAGCCTTCAGAGCTGAGAGCCCTGAACAGAGATTTACCCACGTATTTATTAACAGCAAACCAGTCATTAGCATTGTTTCTATAGATATTAAGTTAACTAAAAGTATCCCTTATGGGAAATGAAGGGATGGGCCAAATTAAAGGAATAGGTTGGGCTAGTTAACTGCAGCAGGAGCATGTCCTTAAGGCACAGATTGCTGATGCTATTGTTTGTGGCTGAAGAATGCCTTTAAGTGGCTTTCCACCCTGGGCAGGCCAGGTGTTCCTTGCCCTCATTCCAGTAAACCCACAACCTTCCAGCGTGGGAGTTAGGGCCATTATGAACATGTTACAGTGCTGCAGAGATTTTGTTTATGGCCAGTTTTGGGGCCAGTTTATGGCCAGATTTTGGGGGGCCTGCTTCCAACAGGACTTCTTAGACTCCATAATCGTGTGAGTCAATCCCTCATAATAAATCTCTTTCTGTATATCTCTACGTATCCCACTGGTTCTATTTCCCTGAAGAACCCTGACTACTACACTTGCAAAAGGATCAGGAAGGGGGAATCTTGCTAAGACAGAAAATTTTTAGGCAATAACTGCTCTATTGCAGCCAAACACCACAAAAAAACAAAAACCAACCAAACAAAAAACAAACGACGACAAAACTGTGGCCCTACCCCCACTCCTGCCAACAAAGGCTGCATGGAGAGCCTAGACTTGTACCCTTGCCAGATTATAGTGCACTGCCCCAATGCCACTGCTGGGGTGATCCCAGAGGCCAAATGCAGAACTGAGACCTTCATCCCCACTAGGGTAGAAAGAAGTCACCTTTTCCCCTGGAATATCAATAGAGATCACCTGGGGCTCCTGGATGTTTACCTCCACACAGCAGTAACGAAGTGTCCCTCTCCCCTTCCACTGTTATATCAGAGAATGTCTGGTGGAGAGTTAGGACTTTTGCCATATCCCAGTGCTAAAAGGGACCCCTCTCCCATGGTGTCTGTGGAGGCCACAGTGATGGGCCAGAGCTCTCACCCCTGCCCAGCAGTAATAAGGCTGAATGGAGAACATGTAATTCTATCTATATTTGCCAGTAACAAGGCATTAGCCATCCCCTCCCCTGCTGAAATGGTATGAGAGGAAGTCAGCTAAACAGACAACTTAAATAAAATCTGGAGTCTTATATGTTTATATTTCCTCATTTTTTAGTAAAAAGAAGAAACAGGAAAAATTCAAACTGAATTTTTGAAAAAAATCAATAGCTACCATATCAAGATGACAGGATATTAGAATTATCTGACAAATATTTTATAGTAGACATCATAAAAATGCCTTAACAAGCGATTATAAATATGCTTGAAACAAGTGGAAAAAATAGCATCTCAACCAAAAATTAGAAAGTCTTAGCAAAGAAATAGAAGACATAAAGAAGAATACTTGAAACATTTAGAACTAAACAATATAATAACCATAATTAAAAACTCATTGAACAGGCTTAACAGCAGAATAGAAAGGACAGAGGAAAGAATCAGTGAACTTGAAGATAGAATAATAGAAATCACCCAAACTGAACAACAGAGAGAAAATAGACTAAAAGAAAAGTGAGTTTCAGGAACCTGTGGGAGTATAACAAAAGATCCAACACTCATACCATTGATGACTCAGAGAGAGGAGAAGGAGGACAGGCTGAAAAAGTACTCAAAGAAATATGGTTGAAAACTGCCCACATTTGACAAAAGAAAAACCTACAGATTCAAGAAGCTGAATGAACCCAGAACGGGATAAACCCAAAGACATCCACACCAAAACACAGTAGAGTCAAGCTTCCAAAAAGTAAAGACGAAACAAAAACAAAAACTTGCAATATCTGGTGGAGTATAGGACTACAAGATAATTTTGATATACTTCTAACCCAGAAGGAAAATTGTGAAAGAGTAATGCCTTGGGAACCTTTATATAAGTCTCCATATTTTCATTCCAAGTTTCTAATATAGTCTCCAGGCATGGGATAGAGATATGACAAGTAGAATCGTTCATCATAGGTGAGCACTTGCTTAGAAGCAAGACTCTGTCTAGATGGGACAAATTCTTTTTTTTTAATTGAGAAAGTAAAGAAACAAAAGAATGACTACTCTATAGGCAGAGCAGCCTAGATGGGACAAATTCTCAAAGTCTCTTCCAATAATTTGTACTCACTGGAGAAGGAATCAAAGACTATGGAATAGAATGGACCTGATTGCATTACATGAACCCGTGCATATGACAATACCTTCTGAAACAGACCTTCTAGGTAGTGCTAGTTGGCATCACACTTCAAGCCACAATTAGTTTCTACCATTGAAATATAAACTAGAAAAACAGCCTTTTAAATAATAAAGTTATACCATATCATGGTATACGTACAGGAGGTCATAACTACCAATTGCTTAATGCTTATTGTGTAGGTGGGAATTGCTTAAATATAGCATTATAAATGCTGGGATTTTTTTAAAAATAAAGATGGGGTCTTGCTATGCTGCCCAGGTTGGTCTCAAACTCCTAGCCTCAAGTGATCCTCCTGCTTTGGCCTCCCAAGGTGCTGGGATTACAGGTGTGAGCCACTGCATCTGATTTTTTTTTTTAAATCCCACTTAGAGTAACTGATAACAGGGAGATAATTTAATTCTCTGAAGGAAAATTCTTATCGTTACCTGTTCTGGCTTTATCTATATAAAGAAGTCAAAGCCTTTTCCCTTTCTGTGGCTTTGGGCTGGGGTTCCTTCAGCTTTGAGCAGATGCTTAATCATGAATGACTGCTTTCAAATCCCATCATTAATTCTGCGATTTTGCTGCAAGCAAAGGTGGAGCTTTAGGGAGCTATCTTGTTCTCTTTTTGCTTTGGACAATGCTTCTAGGTCTTCATTTATCTGTAAAACATGGACTATGGTCATGCCCTCCCATGCTTCATAGCTTGTGGTGATAATAGTAATATCATGTATTTTACATAGAGCATTTATACATATTTATTGTCCTCATATTACTTTAACATAGAGATTTTGTCATTTGTCCAAGTAACACATTAAACTCAATGGCAGAACCAAAATATGAGCCAAGATTTCTTCAATTTCACTGTTTTTTCTCATCACAGTCCTAATTTTAAGGACATTTCAAGTAGGAATAATGGAGAAAATGAGGTAGCTTAGTGAACAAGGTAATGATGTTTTTTCTAGTGACAAAGAAAATTTAAGTGAGAAGGAAATACAAAGTGCTGCCCACTCTTCAGCTTTGTCTCATGCCATTCTCCCCATGTGCTTTTTCTACTCCAGCCCCACTAGCCTTCTTCTATACCTGGAGTAGATTACATTTTTTCCCCCACTTCCGGACTTTCACAGAAAATCTCCTTTTGACTTGGACCATTTCTTTACCCACGCAGTTTCCCTCCCCTGATTATTAAGGTTTTCAATGACCTGTCTCTGCTTCTCAATCCAAATAAGACCCATGTCTGACTTAGGTCAAGTGTTCCCCAAAGCAGAGCCTGAGACAAAGGCTTTCTTGTGACTATATAGCAAGAGCGAGAACAGGGGAGTGAAAGAGGAAGAAAGATGAGCCAACATAAGGATACATTATTGAGTTGACCTCTGCTATGGGCTACTAGTTGCTTGATCACCCAGGACCTTCTGAGAATCTTATGAAATATATCCCAGAGCCTTTTGGCCATTTATCCATTTGCTCTTATAGGGCATTTGGTTAAAAGAGGTTTGGCTGTCAGCTCAATGTTATATGAGGTTTAAAGTTCCCTAGATGACACACTTTTTTTTTTTAATATAGTACAACCTTGAAAACAGATGAAGCTGTTGGTCTCTGGGCACTCCCTCACCTTTGAGCCCCTGAAATACAGCCAAAGCTCTAGCAAATGGGTAGAATCAAGATCTACAAGCTCCATACTCCTTGTATTTATCATAGCAATCCTTATAATCCGTATAATTATCATAGCCCCTACCATTCAAGCATTACACCCACCACATAACGCAATGCTTCATCTTCCATTTGCATCTCATCGCAGTCACTCAGGTAAGAGTCTTAGTAACTGTGATGCTACTGCACACCAAGGTTTATAAACACCCTCCCTACTGCTATCTTTTTGGTGAGTTATCTAGCTCCAAATTCCTATTCTGAGGGTCGACTTTCTACAGCCACACCTGATTACAATGGTCTCATCCTGGGTTGACCTCAAAGCAGAGTCTCTGAAACAAAGACTTATATGAGTAAGAAGCAGTGGGGTATTGATGAATGTTTAGCAACCTGTTCTTCAGGAAAAAATGCAGGCATGTATGTACATGTACAAAAGTTTATTATAAATTTTACTGACATAGATTATGTATAGTGCATAATTTCCAAATAACAAAATGTATATTGCTTTTTATGGTAAATTCTATATAGCTGATTGATGTTCACAGAATGCTTTCATTGATTTTTGCTGGTCTTGTATTCATAGCTAACCTATGTTTGTGATTGACAGCAAGTACAATTACAATATAAATGTTGATTCATCTACACTAATAAGATGAAAGTGAAAATAGGATGATGTGTGTTGACTTTACTCGTTCATCAATGATGTTTGTTTTTTTCTGAGTCAAATAATAGTTTAGACATGCTTTTTTGTGCTATTCATAACTGCTATAGACATAACATACCTTGAAGTTTAATCTATTTTATTAACATTTTTTCTATCATTTTCTTAAGCTTAGACAATCCACAAAACAATTAGATCCTAATTTGTAGCATTTGCCTATTTTTGTGATGTAAATACTTCCACCATGGCTAATGTCAAGCTATTAATGTGGTGTTACTGAATGTGGACTTGGGAAGAGATGCAACATAGCCCACCATTAAAAAGCATCTCCACCAAACAGACACAATAGATGTAAATAGCTTCAAGAGTACAGATAATGGAGTAAAAGAATTAGGAAGTGATGAATCTTAAGTTTTTATTACTGTAGTTTTAATATAATTTATGAATTTTATTTATTTATTGTAAGACTAGTCAAATGCAGTATGAGAAGGGGAGAAAGAGTAGAAAAAGGAGCTTAATCTGTAACTGAAAGCGAACAATCAATTGAGATAACTCACTACCTTCGGCCAGCTGACTTCAAAAAGAAGTAAGCATTTATGCAGTGGCTCCTCCTAGGGTATTAGCTCTTCCATGCTCTGAGTTGCATGTGTGCAAGTGGATTTCCTCTGGGATAGGAGCCTGGGAACTGGAGGCTTGAGGTGAAGTCAGATTGCACTTGTGGGAAACTGGTGGAAGCTGGCAGTAGATCTGGTTGCCATAGCATCCCTGGAATTGGAAAAGAGGCCAAAGGGATTTGAAGTGGCAGGCAGGAATCTGATAAAGCCCTCTTGGACTGTCCACAGCACCCAGTTATGTTTTCCCACAACATTTATCACAGTTTGTAATTATGTATTTATTTATATCAGTATTTTATTTATATACCCACTCCTCTATTTGACTGCAAGTTCTATGCTGTCAGGACTGTGTGTCTTTGCCCCTTTCTGTTCCCAGGGCCTGGCACTTGCACCTTGCACATAATAGGTGACAACAGTCAATAACAACATGAGTGGGAGGTGACAGGCATTCTTCAATGCCTTCTAGCCTCCCCTTCCTCCCACAACTATGCTCCATCCTGATTAACAGCAGTAAAATAGAAAGTGTTCGCACATGGTCGACATTACTAACGCTGGGGGGAATAGGAAGATGCATCCACATCTTTTTTCTCTTCTCTGCCCATTTTCTGGGGGCTCCTCTCATTAATTGAAAAGTAATTAATCTTTCCTCCCCCAGTTCGCTCTTTGGCCAACTGTTCCACTTCCACAGCCTGTAACGTGCTCCTCCCAACAACAGTCGAATTACCTCCCGCCCAGAGGGACTGAAGTTCCCTTCTTTCCGTTTTCTTCTCTCTCCCACAAGATTCTGCTTGTGGAAATGAGCAGAGATTCATTTCTCCACTGATGTGAATTATGACACCTCCACCAGAAGGAAAAAGCACTGATGGTTAATTTGGGTTTTAATTGTCTTTTCCCATTTTCATAAAAAATGCCAAGTGTATGGGAGAGAACTTGACACATACCAGTTCTACCAATAAATACCAATTCTGTTTCATTTTGCCAGTGTTTCTCAAACTTCAGCCACTCCTGTATAATTTTCACATATTTATATCCATTAGATCTATTATTTACCTCCGAGTTTTCTTTAAATCACCTTTATTTTTACCTAAATAGGTTTATTAAAACATTAAAATGTATATACCTACCACAAATAAAACTTTTTGAATCACCTGTCTAAATAGGGAATAATTGCAAAACATATATAACAAAACAATTTATTAATTAAATACTAATTTGAGAAATACCTGATAAATGCCTATCTTAAGGGTGATTTCTGCTCTCACTTTGTTTTAAAAAAAAGTAGATTAGCAACTGTTGGAAAGATTTTTAAAAATATGAGCCTTGGGGCGCAGTGGCTCACACCTATAATCCCAGCACTTTGGGAGGCCAAGGTGGGTGGATCGCGTGAGTCCACGGGTTCGAGACCAGCCTGGGTGACATGGCGAAACCCAGTCTCTACAAAACAAGAAGAACAACAACAACATATAAGCCTTGAAGAGCTTTTTCTCCCTGACATAATCAGAAGGATTAAAATAGAATAAAAAAGGGAATGATTTTCTCATACAGTTGTCCATGCTTTTCAAGGTTGTCTCTGTACTCCCCCAAGCTGTCTCGTGTGCATCTCCTAGAGTCTGGGAAGCACTGGCCTACATTCTTGCTGTCCACAGGGGTGGACATTTGGGAAGGCAGTGATCAGTTTGTACTCTGGTGCTCATTTGCAGGAGAGAACTCCAACTTTAAATTTTAATCTTCTGCTCCCTTTAATGAACATATTATTTGATTATCTCAGTTTCAGTGTTGGAGAGGTCTTATGGTAAACCATAAAAACTACTGGGAGAGAAGTAGGGGAGGCCCACATAAATTCAGGTTGCGTAAATTGAACAGATGCTCAACCTTCCCAGCTTCAGTTGTGTTGTCTATAAATCAGGTAGCATGATCAGTGGGAGAAAAAGAGGTGAAATCACAGATAGGGGATGAAGAAACTGGGCCTCACCTGTATTCTGCTTGATCTATATCAAAGCCTTTAAAACAGCTGCATATAACCATGGCAAAGTGCCACACTGGGAACACCACCTATCTAGTTATTGTAGCAGAAAAACTTCAGGGAATGCTGAACCAAATTCTTCCTAAACTGTGACAGGCATACTTCTGCAAATTGATTTGAGGTGTTAGACATATGCAAACATTTTATTTAATTTATTGTTTTTATTTTTCAAGACAGGGTCTCGCTTTGTCACCTAGGCTGGAGTGCAGTGGTGTGATGTAATCACGGCTCACTGCATCCTCAACCTCCTAGGCTCAAGTGATCCTCCCACCACATTTCCCCAAGCAGCTGGAACCACAGGCACATGCCAGCACTCCAGCTAATTTTTTTACTTTTTGTAGAGAGGGGGATTTGCCATGTTGGCCAGGCTGGTCTTGAACTCCTGAGCTCCAGTGATCCTTCTGCCTCAGCTTCCCAAAGTGCTTGGATTATAGGCATGAGCCACCGCACCTGGCCTCAGACATTTCAAACTGTAATACTTCCGCATCTATGTTTACGATTGCCTTCTTAGTTATGGAATAGACAAAGTTTCTTTTTTAAATAAATGTATTTAAGTAAAAAAGGTGGATTAGTTTGAAAAAAAAAAAACACTGAAATTATGAAGTAGGTATGACATATGTATATCACTGAATCTGTCAGGTAGAACCCAACTGGCTGAAACTTAGGGAATATCAACTTGATCTTTAAGATTCTTTTGCTCAAAGTAGTAAAATTTTGTGCCATGTTTTCTCTAAAAGCATTATAAGGAGTAAGAGGCTCATCTATTTTCTAGGGATGCTGTGAAAAATAATAAATAAGAATAGCAGGGGAGGGCAGGGAGTATTTTCTGTACTTTCTAATCAATTTGGCTATGAACTTAAAACTGCTCTAAAGTCTATTCAAAAACCAACAAAAAACAAAAATAAAGTAAAAAATGGTAAAGTATTTCATGGTACAGGCACAGAAAACTTACAGTACTCTCTATTGCAAAGTTATATGAATGGTGACAAGTTGTGTGTTTTGACCTCTAAACATGTGATCTTAATGTCTCGCCTTTTATTATACAATTGAAAACTTATCCATCTGAGGTCATATAAGTTATGTAATTTATTAATGAGGAATTTTGTGCAGTATTACGCTATTTTTTTTTTTTTGAGACAGAGTCTTGCTCTGTTGCCCAGGCTAGAGTACAGTGGCATGACCTCAGCTCACTGCAAACTCCGCCTCCCGGGTTCACGCGATTCTCCTGCCTCGGCCTCCCGAGTAGCTGGGACTACAGGCATCTGTAACCACGCCCGGCTAATTTTTTGTATTTTTAGTAGAGACGGGGTTTCACCATGTTAGCCAGGATGGTCTTGATCTCCTGACCTTGTGATCCGCCCACCTTGGCCTCCCAAAGTGCTGGGATTACAGGCATGAGCCACCACACCCGGCCAGTATTACACTATTGTCTTGTGTACTTTATACATTTATCCCTGTCAATGTGGCCTATATTAGATTGTAAACCCACGAAGGGGAGAAGACCTAGCTGATGAAGTTGCTCTTTTCTTTTCCTTTTTGAGACAGAGTATCTCTCTATTGCCCAGGCTGGAGTGCATTGGCACAATCTCGACTCACTGCAACCTCTGCCTCCCAGGTTCAAGCAATTCTCCTGCCTCAGCTTCCCAAGTGGCTGGGATTACAGGTGTGCACCACCACACTTGACTAATTTTTGTATTTTTAGTAAAGATAGGGTTTCACCATGTTGCCCAGGCTGGTCTCAAACTCCTGGCCTCAAGAGATCTTCCCGTTTCAGTCTCCCAATTACAGACGTGAACCACTGTGCCCAGCCTAAATTGCTCTTTTCTGTAGCTGAACAAAATGTTCTGGTGTAAAAATGATGGTAGTAACATTGTATTTTTGAGGAATGTGAACCAAGATCATAAATATATAAATTTGTTACCTATGGGAATTTTATCTAGAAGCTGCAACGGTGGTATATTATAAAGTCATAAAAGGCAATAATTCAACATATTTTTTCTGAGCCCCAATACAGTTTTAGCCTTTACTCGTGTACAGAACTGACTTCATGGGCCCTGTACTTAGTTGAATGTCTATCATGAAAGTTTTAATTACTTTGTCTTTGAACTTATGTTGTATAAAGTGAAGTCTGATCTGACAGTGGGGCATGCACATGAGCAGAGGAGAAATGCACAACACATGTTCACTGTTTCTTTCTATCTTTTTTTTTTGAGACAGAATCTTGCTCCGTCACCCAGGTTGGAATGCAATGGTGTGGCTCACTGCAACCTCTGCCTCCTGGGTTCAAGTGATTCTCCTGTCTCAGCGTCCCAAGTAGCTGGGATACAGGCACCTGCCACCACGCCTGGCTAATTTTTAGTAGAGTTGGGGTCTCACCATGTTGGCCAGGCTGGTCTCAAACTCCTGACCTCAGGTGATCCGCCCGCCTCAGCCTCCCAAAGTGCTGAGATTACAGGTGTGAGCCACCGCATCTGGCCTTCATTGTTTCTTGATGCCCCATTTGCATATGGTGTTTCCAATACCAGATGAACACAGAATTCTGGTGAACCTGCAGTGAGACTCAAAACAAGTGGATGCTAAGTGTTACATCGTAGCCCAAGTGGAGGTGCCGACAGGCCTCAAGAGGCTAGGCTTTCTACTTGAACCGGAACTTGTTTAGAATGCAGAAAGAAGGCAGTGGCATTCTAAGAAACATGAAGACCAAAGAACGTTTTATATCCTTTCAAACTCATATTACTACCCTGGATTAGCCAGCCATTTACATTGAAAAGGACAGAAGGAAAGGCAAGATAGGGCAACCCACAGTTTCTTTTACTTTTTGATCTTCCTTTCTCATCAGTCAGCCAAAGATAGAGTGTTGGTAGAAGGTACTCATATCAAGAAGTGAAATAAAAAGATTGAGTTAGTTTTGTGCAGCATTTCCATTGTTCTGGTAAGAACAAAATACATATGTGTGTACAAGCTACAAAATAAAAATTGTGTCATTTCTGATTCCACACACAAGTTAATGCTTTTATGTTTGCAATGAAAACTGGCATTGAAAAATGTAAAAATGAACAGTAAGATTCAAGCTAACAATTAAAAAAGAATTTTACTTAGAACAACAATAAATTGCAAATAAAAACCATCACAGGTCAAAAGAGAGATCACAGAAGAAAGGGAAAATCCTTTAAATTTTAATGCCTTTTACACCATTTTATTCCCTGCTTTTTGAACAAAGCATTCCACAAATTATGTAGCCTGCCCTGTTTGCAGGAATGGTCTATAAATGTTGGCGGGATGGGGAGGGTTGTTTGTGTGTTTGTTTTGAGACAGAGTCTTACTCTGTTGCCCAGACTGGAGTGTAGTGGCATGATCTCAGCTCACTGCAACCTCCGCCTCCAGGATTCAAGCGCTTCTCTTTCCTCAGCCTCCCGAACATCTGGGACTACAGGTGTGTACCACCACGATCAGCTGATTGTTGTAATTTTTGTAGGGATGGGGTTTTCACCATGTTGGCCAAGCTGGTCTTGAACTCCTGGCCTCATGTGATCCACCCATCTCGGTCTTCCAAAAGTGCTGGGATTACAGGAGTGAGCCACTGTGCCTGGCCTATAAATCTGGTGTTAACTAAATGTAGAAAGATAGACTATTGTGGTTTCTAAAGATACTTTTTGGTCCAAATATTCTCCAATTCCATGTACCTTACATAGGTCTCATGGATCCTTAAAAAGATCGGCTAAGCCTGCTTTACTGAGTAAAATGTTAGAGGCCTTCTCTGAGCATCTCTGCCCCAAGGTAAAGTTTATCACTATCCCTCTGTGCTGCTGCTATACCCTCCACTCAGTTTTATTGTTGTGCTTAGCACATGTTATCGTTAATCTGTTTATAGATGTAGCTCCCCTTTTAGGCTGTGGGCATCACAAGACTGGCTCAGAGTAGATATTTAATAAATATTTGTTAATAAATCATTCAAATTGGCTAGGTATGGTGGCTCACACCTGTAATTCTAGCACTTTGGGAGGCCAAGGCAGGAGAATCCCTTGAGCCCAGGAGTTTGAGATCAGACTGGGCAACATGGTGAGACCTGCCTCTACAAAAAAAAAAAAAAAAAAAAAATTACCCATGCATGGTGATGCACACCTGTTGTCCCAGATACTTGAGGGGCCTAGGTGGGAGGATCACTTGAGCCCAGGAGATCGAGACTGCAGTGAACTGTGTTTGTGCCACTGCACTCCAGTCTGGGTGACAGAGCAAACCCCTGTCTCAAAAATAAATAAGTAAATTAAATTAAGAACTGAAAAAAAATCAATAAATAAGTTATTCAAATTACTTTTAAATTCCTTGTGAATAGAAAAGATTCATAAATGTCCAAGAATAGATTAATTTTCCCCTAAATTATCTGTCCATTTCCTTTGGAAGACCTCTGCACCGGCACAATACCAAAGGTAGTGTTGGAGTTGGGATTTGGGTTCTTAATGTCTCTGAACCCTGGGTTCTTCTCACTCTATGGCACTGCTTGCAATCAGAGAAGAGCCAAGTGGAAAAGCAAGAGCTTGTGCATCGTGATTATACCCATGTGTGAGAGTTTTAGTTATGCCTCAGGGGCCTAAAGGTAGAGTGATTCCAGTGACCAGCAGCTTCATCTGCCTTCCAGATTGCACTGTATATAAAACAGAGGGTCATTTGTCACTTAGTGACCCTTAAGCCCCATGCAACATTGAGTTGAGAGCCAAACCTACTTCAACTAAATGCCCTACATTTGGAGATGCTCATTGATTAAAGTTTCGTTAGCTGCAACAAACTTAGATGAATTATGCACATTGTATGACCTACATGGGAAAATGCAAATGGCAGTGGCGACAAAGCCAATGCAGAGCAATCCTAGGGCTGCTGAGAGCAGTCACCATGCCCTCACCTCTTGAAGAGACTTTAGGACTTTTGGTTTTTTTGGTTGTTTTTGTTGTTGTTGTTGTTGTTGTTGTTGTTGTTGTTTTTGAGACAGAGTCTCACTTTGTCACCCAGACTGGAGTGCAGTGGCACGGTCTTGGCTCACTGCAACCCCTGCCTCCTGGGTTCAAGCAATTCTCCTGTCTCAGCCTTCCGAGTAGCTGGGACTACAGATGTGCACCACCATGCTCGGCTAATTTTTGTATTTTAGTAGAGACAGGGTTTCACCGTGTTGGCCAGGCTGGTCTCGAACTCCTGACCTTAGGTGATCCACCTGCATTGGCCTCCCAAAGTGCTGGGATTACAGGGGTGAGCCACCTCACCTGGGCAATTTTAGGACTTTTGGACTTAATAATAATTGAGTAGAAATTTCTTGAATGTATTATCACCAAATAGATCAGGGGTCCCCAACCCCAGGGCCCTGGACTGGCATCAGTCCATGGCCTGTTAGGAACCAGGTGGCACAAAGGGAGGTGAGGGGTAAGCTAGTATTACCACCCGAGCTCTGCCTCTTGTCAGATCAGTGGCAGTGTTAGATTCTCACAGGATCACACACCCTATTGTGAACTGCCATGCGAGGGATCTAGGTTGTGCACCCCTTATGAGAATCTAATGCCTGATGATCTGAGGTGGAACAGTTTTATTCCAAAACCATCTCCTCACCCCCACCCCACCACCATCCATGGAAAAATTGTCTTCCATGAAACCAGTCACTGGTGCCAAAAAGGTTGGGGACCGCTGATACAGATGATATGCTTTCCAGATGGCCTAAACCCATAGTGGCAAGGATAAAAGCTGAATGAGCTCTCAATGAGAATGAGAGGAAAGGGATGGGATTAGGAAAACCATCAAGTCCACATCTAAGAGAAAATAAAGTTATGATCCAAGTCAGTCAGTCGAAAAACCAAGTCATTCAGCCTAAATCATTTTTGACTTGACACAGAAATAATTGGACTAGGCGGGGTGGTTCATGCCTGTAATCCCAGAACTTTGGGAGGCTGAGGTGGGTGGATCACTTGAGTCCAAGAATTCAAAACCAGTGTGAGCAACATGGCAAAACCTCATCTCTACAAAAAATACAAAAATTAGCCAGGTGTGGTGGTGCACACCTGTAGTCCCAGCTACTTGGGAATGAGCTGAGATCATGCCATTGCCACTGCACTCCAGCCTGGGTGACAAAGCAAAATTCTGTCTAAACAACAACAAAACAAATTCCCCCATCTATGTGTGGTAGAAATGGGTAAATCCTAACACTTTGCAGGGAACTCTGATTCCTATGTGTACCTATTTTAATGAGATACAAATCATAACCCCTTCTTGGAATTCTGTAACCCCTGGAATACAGGGACTCATCCATCTCTCCCTCTCACTTTTTCTTGTTCCCTTATGCCTCATTGTTGAATTTGCCCCCTTAGCTTAAATATATTTAGATAGAAGCAATAACTGGGCTTATTGTTGTGAAGTAATTGTATATATTCCTTTAATAATAAAATATCTAGTTTTGACCATTATAAAAAGGAATATCATGGTCTTGATAAATAATAAAACACCCATCTAATCAACAGTAAATTTTATTCTCAGTGCTTCTTTTAAGGCAAGAGCTTTGGGTGTACTAACAGGCTCAAGTCAAGTAAAGCCAAGGAAGTTCCATCATTGTAGCAGATAATTATCCCCCTGGCAAAATCCCAGGTCTCACACCAGTGTTGACTTGGCAAATTAGCCTGGATGTTTCAAGTGCTTATTAATTGTATGTCTTTTTAAAAATTGCTTGCTTAGTGCATTTTAGCTGATAACTTGCAGGCATAGGTTTAAGGGCACAGCAAGAGAAATGGTGGCCATTAATAATGGTAACACTTGGATCATCTTAACACATAAGGGGACTGTGTGTGTATGTGTGTGTGTGTGTGAGAGAGTTAGAGAGAGAGAGAGAGAGAGAGAGAGAGTGAGAGAGAGAGAGAAACATGCCACCACGCCAACATTCCATTGTTCATGAATGGACCAGTGCCTTCACAGCAGCTGTGAGCAAGGTGAAAGAACACCAGACTTGCTCTAAGAAGACCTGGGTTCTCGTTCTACCACTGCCACAAGATGTTGGTGACCCTGTCAAGCCCTGGGACTTCTCTGAGACTCTGTTTGATGTAACGAAGAGCTTGAATAAAATGGTGTTGGAGTTTCTGCCAGCATACAATATTCTAGTATATAATTCCAAGATTATTAAAGAGGCTCATAGTTTCTTTCTATCTTTCTCTAGCTCATCCCACTCCAGTAGAAGGTTTGCATTTCCCTAAGACAGCTCCCTTCATCATTATGCTCCTGCCTATCCTTGCTCCTGCACACCAAATTGGCTCTTCTAATTTCTTATATATACAGATTATATCATAATCTGGTTTATTTCTGAGCCAAGAAGCAAGTTGCAAAAACCCCTCATCTCCAGTTCAGTCAGACTTGAGGAATTATGATACACTCCCTAAGAGCCAGGATGTGGTGCCCTGTGCCAAGCACTGGATGCTTTGCTATGCTCCAAGTTGCAGGTCCCTCCATATTCTCATGCTCTGATAACTGGCTTTTAAGTTTCTTCTCCTGACTCCTCCTCTCTACCCTAGGCCAAATCACTGGGCTTCAGGCTTCTCCCTATATATTGTTCCACTTTCTTATTATTAAAGTTCTACATGATCATGAAAGGAGATTTGAAAATTAAGAAACAGAGAAGAAACAATATATAATAATTCCACTACCCAGACAACCACCTTAAACTTTTCGGGTACATCTGTGATAAATTGTTGCAGCACCTCCCTGTAGCCGTACCCTCGAATATTCTTCTCTGACTCTGGGTTTGGCCAATGGGACAACAGCAAAGATATCACAGCAGACTTTTAAAATGGTTATGATTGGGCTTGCCCTTTCTTGCTGCTCTTGGAATATACTGCCACCATGTAAACAAGCCTCTGAAAGCCTGTTGAATGAAGAGAGATACGTGACCCCATCACATCAGCCAACACCTCAGGTGATGGCAGCTCAGGTGATCACCTGAGGTGATCAGGCAAAGCCTCAGGTGATGGTAGCTGAACACAGACATGTGAGTGAACCTAATCGAGACCAGCAGAACCACAGCTAAGCCCAACACAGAGTGCCAACCCACTGAATCCTGAGCTAAGTAAATGATATTGTTTAAACCACTAAGCTAAATACATAGTATTGCTTATACCACTAAGCCTTCTCTTTTCTTTTTCTTTTTCTTTTTCTTTCTTTTTTTTTTTTTTTGAGAAGGAGTCTCGCTTTGTCACCCAGGCTGGAGTGCAGTGGTGGGATCTTGGCTCACTTCAACCTCCACCTCCCAGGTTCAAGTGATCCTCCTGCCTCAGCCTCCCAAGTAGCTGGGACTACAGGCGCATGCCACCACGCCCAGCTAATTTTTGTTTTGTTTTGTTTTTTGAGATGGAGTCTCACACTGTCGCCCAGGCTGGAGTGCAATGGAGTGATCTTGGCTCACTGCAATTTCCGCCTCCCAGGTTCAAACGATTCTCCTGCCTCAGCCTCCTGAGTAGCTGGGATTACAAGTGCCCACCACCACACCCGGCTAATTTTTTGCATTTTTAGTAGAGATGGGGTTTCACTATGTTCGCCAGGCTGGTCTCGAATTCCTAACTTCAGGTGATCCACCCACCTTGGCCTCCCAAAGTGCTGGGATTATAGGCATGAGCCACCATGCCTGGCCTAATTTTTGTATTTTTAGTAGAGATGGGGTTTCACCATGTTGGCCAGGCTGGTCTTGAACTCCCGACCTCTGCCTGCTTCAGCCTCCCAAAGTGCTGGGATTACGGGCTTAAGCCACCACATGCCTGGCCCCCACTAAGCTTTTATGTAGCAAAAGCTAATTGGTACAATAATCCTTTAGCCTTTTTATATATAACAAAATCAACATTATACTGTATCTACTATTCTTTTTTTATTCCACAGCCAGTGACTGATGAATCTATATACTATTCTATAGCCAGCTCTTTTTCACATGACATTTTCTCAAGTATTTAATACTATTTTCCTCCTTATTTTAAGTTCCACTAGTGTGAGGATTTATATCTGTTTTGTTCAATGCTGTATTCCTGGCACATAGAACACTGCTGCAAACAGTGTTCAATAAATAAACAGACTCAATAAATATTTCTTAAATGAATGATTAGAGGACATATTTTTTTGATGGCTAAATAGTGTAATATAGAGATACTATCTATGCCCCATTCTAAGTTCTTGTTTCTGTAAGTTTGGCATCTCAGCTTCCCACTAGGACTGGAACTCAAGTGAGCTCTTCTACTACCCAAGAACTGAACCTCTGCTCCTAAATCCCAGCTAGGAGATAGGGCTTTGCAAAGCAGTCTTCAAAATTTAGTTCAAATAGCATCTCCTGTGAGGCATGCTTGTCCCTCATGAGGGTTTGCATATTGTGTTAGACGTCTATCATGGCATATGTCAAGTCAGAGCATGTAATTTACAATCTATGTCTTCTGTTGTCTTGTGAACTTCTAAGGATAAGAGTTGAGCTCCCAGAGTGCCTGGAACTTAGTGAACATTCAACCCAGTGCCTGTGGATAACTGAAAAAATTAACCATGCACTGCAAAGGACTCCTCTGACAGCAGCCCATATATAAGTTTTTGGTTGTTCTTGTTTTAAGAACTATATCTTTATTAGAAACAATACTTATAATAGAGATTACTGGCCAGGCATGGCAGCTCAGGCCTGTAATCCTAGCACTTTGGGAGGCTGAGGCAGGCAGATCACTTGAGGTCAGGAATTCGAGACTAGCCTGGCCAACATGGTGAAACCCTGTCTCTACTAAAAAGACAAAAATTAGCCAGTTGTGGTGGCACGCACCTGTAGTCCTAGCTACTCTGGGGGCTGAGGCATGAGAATCGCTTGAACCCAGGAGGCAGAGGTTGCAGTGAGCCAAGATCATGCCACTGCACTCCAGCCTGGGCTGCAGAGTGAGACTCCATCTAAAAAAAAGAAAAAAAATAGAGATTACAATAATATCGTGATGAAGCGTATTTATATCCAGAAGAAAAAGTCATAATTAGGAAAAATCACCAAGGAAAAATTTCTTACATGGCTTTAATTCTATTTGGATCTTTTTAGAGGCATGAGGAAATGAAGAAAGTAGGAAAATGGGAAACAGAAATGGGACATAGAGAGAAATAACACTCTAGTGTACAGTTTGTGAAGGTCCATTATCTACCACAGAGATAAGGGAAGCAATATCAGGTTTACAAGTTGGTTTAAACTAATTAAAACATATAGATTAAAGCATGAACTTAGGGAGTCTCTGAATCCGCTGTGATTCAGGGGGCTGCCTGATAAAAAATTTAACAAGAAAGCATGAACTTAGACTAATGTCAAATAAAGAAGGAATATTAGGTCTGCCAAAGATTCTAGCTCAATTTATGTTTCTCTGTTGAAAGAAATGCTATGCCTTTGTGAAAATTGCCATTCTGTAAAAGTACTACTGAAGAATAGGACTCTGCTAAGGAATGTTAAAACTTGTGTTATTCACACATTCACATGTGAAATTCCAACACATTACTCTGATCGCTGTAATAAACCTATATGATTGGTTTAGACAAGCAGTCAGGCCTTGTTATATAATAAGAGTGTATGCATAAATTTTCATTAATTAGTATGATGCTGTTCTTTCCTTTTAAAGGATGTTGGCTTAAGTTCTAACTTCAACCAAACATAATCCACATACATGAACATTTTAATCTAATCATCATATATATTTCTATTTCCAGCAACATTGCTGGTCATTCCATAACTACCAGAGGGCAGGAATAACATCTATTTTAACTCTCTCTCTTTTTTTTTTTGAGATGAAGTTTCGCTCTTGTTGCCCAGGCTGGCATGCAATGGTGTGATCTGCAACCTCTGTCTCCTGGGTTCAAGTGATTCACCTGACTCAGCCTCCCGAATAGCTGGGACTACGGGTGCTTGCCACCAAGACCAGCTAATTTTTGTGTTTTTAGTAGAGATGAGGTTTCACCATGTTGGCCAGGCTGGTCTCGAACTCCTGACCCCAAGTGATCCACCCACCTTGGCCTCCCAAAGTGCTTGAATTACAGACATGAGCCACCGTGCCCGGCCCATTTTAACTCTCTCAGACTTATGAAAAGTCAGCTCTGTCAAGCCTTTGTTTCCAGCCAGGTGTTTTAACTGTTCTAGAACAGTTTAGGGGAGCTGCTCTACTCATCCCTCACCCTAGATTCAGGCAAGCAGCTCTGATGGTATCTGATTTGTTTAAACTTCCTTGTAAGATTTCATTCAACAAAGATAAAAACAGGTTTTTATGTCCCAGTGCTATTAAGAGCAAGGCCTTCCAATCCCCACCCCTCCTATTCTCACCTATGGTTGTGGTCCCATAACTGCAGACTGAACCTGAAACCCTGACTGTCCACAAAAATGAAGCAGAGAGAGGCTGGGTCAGAGCAGGTGGCAGGGAGGCCAGGATAGCACCCCTTGGCTGTCCATTCAGTACTAAGAATTGGAAATCACCGAGAAGCATTTGTACGGCAGACACAGGCTGTTAGTTTCCTCTAAAATATCCAGTGAAACAACAGGGATTACAACAGCATTGTCAGGTAGCATATTTATATCCCAGAAAAGTCTGAGTTACAAAATAACAACAAGGAGGAAATGCCTCTTCTTCCTTGCTAACAAAATTCCAATTTAGTTCAGGGCTTCAGTGATCCCAAACCTAGGCCAAATAATGATGATTGGTCAATGTCAATCATGATCATTCTTTCTCAGCCTTTTAAAAAATAGATTTTACTTTTTAGAGTAGTTTTAGGTTCACAGCAAAACTGAGCAAAGGTAGAGAGCATTCTTATACACTCCTTCTCCTCAAACATATCACATCCCACACCACAGCGGTACATTTGTTCCAACTGATGAACCTACATTAACACATCCTTATCACCCACAGTCCATAGTTTACATTAATGTTCACTCTTGGTGTTATAAATTCTATAGGTTTTGACAAATGTACAATGTCATGTATCCACCATTGCAGTATCATACAGAGTATTTCACTGTCCTAAGAATTCTGTGTCCTGCTTATTTAACCCTCCCTCCTCACAACCCCTGACAATCACTAATCTTTTTACTATTTCCATGATTTTGCCTTTTCCAGAATGTTATATAGTTGGTAACGAACAGGATGTAGACTTTTTAGAATGGTTTCTTTCACTTAGTAATATCTGTTTAAGTTTCTCCCATGTCTTTTCCTGGCTTAAGAGTTCATTTATTGTGGCACTGAATAATAAATATTTCATTGTCTGGATGTACCACAGTTTATTTATTTATCCATTTACCTACTAAAGGACATCTTAATTGCTTCCAAGTTTTGGCAGTTATGAATAAAGCTGCTATACACATTTGCATGCAGGTGTTTGTGTAGACAAAAGATTTCAGTTCATTTGAATAAATACCAAGGAGTGTGACCGCTGAATTGGATGACTCAGCTTTTAAGAAATTGCCAAACTGTCTTCCAAAGTGACTGTACCATTTTGCATTCCCATCAGCTGTGAATGAGAGTTCCCATTGTTCCATATCCTTGCTGGCATTTGGTATTGTTAGTGTTTGGTGTTTTGATTGTTTAAATAGAAGTGTAGGGACATCTTATTGTTCTAATTGGCATATCCCTAATGATATATGATGTTGTTTATCTTTTCATATGCTTACTTGCCATCTGTATACCTTCTTTGGTGAGGTGTCTATTCAAGTATTTTGCCCAGTTTAAAAATCAAATTGTTCATTTTCTTATTGCTGAGTTTTACAAGTTTTTTGTATATCTTGGATAACATATACAAGTTATGTTCTTCCTTTATCAGATACATCTTTTGCAAATATTTTCTCCCAGTCTGTGGCTTCTCTTCTTATTCTCTTTGCTTTCACAAAGCAGAAGTTTTTAATTTGAACGAAGTTCAGCTTATCAATTATTTCTTTCATGGATCATGTCGTTAGTGTTGCATCTAAAAAGTCACCGCCATACCCAAGGTCATCTATATTTTTTCCTATGTTATCTTCTAGGAGCTTGAAACTTTTGTGTTTCACATCTAAGTATGGTGCCAATTTTGAGTTAACTGTTGTAAAGGGTATAAGGTCTGTGTCTATATTTATCTATTGCATACAGATGTCCAGTTGTTCCAGCACTATTTGTTGAAAAGACTACCTGTTCTTTATTGTATTGCCTTTCCTTCTTTGTCAAAAATCAGTTGACTATATTTACATGGGACTATTTATGGGCTCTCAATTCTGTTCCATGATCTATTTGTCTGTTCTTTCACTAATATCACACTGTCTTGATTGTTATAGCTGTATAGTAAGTATTGAAATTGGGTAATGTCAGTCCACTGACTGTTCTTCTCCTTTAATACTGTGTTGGCTATTCTGGGTCTTTTGCCTCTCTGTATGAACTTTGTAATCAGTTTATCAATAGTCGTAAAATAATTTGTTGGGATTTTGATTAGGAATGCATGGAACCTATAAATCAAGTTGGAAAGAACTGACATCTGTTGAGTCTTTCTATCCATGAAAATGGAATATCTCTCTATTTAGATCTTCTTTGATCTGTTTCATCAGCGTTTTGTAATTTTCCTCATAATACTGTACACATTTTGTTAGATTTATACCTAGGTACTTAATTTTTTGTGGTGCTAATGTAAATAATATTGTGTTTTTAACTTCAAATTCTACTTGTTCATTACTATTGAGTTACTTGTTCATATCCTATATTCATTTCATGTATAGGAAAACAATTGACTTTTGCATATAAACTTTGTATCCTGTAACCTTGATATAATTACTTATTAGTTCCAGGAGTATTTTTGTCAATTCTCTCAGATTTTCCACAGATGGTGATATCACCTGCAAACGAAGACTGTGTTATTTTTTGCCAGTATGTATACCTTTTATTGCCCCTTCTTGTCTTACTGCATTAGGTAGGACTTCCAGTGTTGAAAAGGAGTGGCGAAAACATATATCTTTGTCTCGTTCCTGATCTTATCAGGAAACCTTCTAATATCTCACTGTTAAGAACGATGTTAGCTGTAGGGTTTTTGTAGATAATGTTCTTTGTCCAGTTGGGAAGTTTTCCTTGATTCTTAGTTTGCTGAGAGTTTTTATCATGAGTGGGTGTTAGATTTTGTCAAACGTTTTACATCATTGTGATTTTTCTTCTTTAGCCTGTTGATATGATGGATTACATTAATTGATTTTCACATGCTTTCTCTGCATTTTTAATGGCTGGGTGTGGGCCTTGTGACCCAGTCTATTCAACAAGGTCTTAAATAAAGTCCGCTGGGTATGTGTAAGTGGATATGTTCTGGGAAAGATTTCACTTTCTTGATAAACAGGAGGGAATACAACTAGCACTTGGCCTCTCTCTTTAATTTGGTCTTGAATGTGGATACAATCGCTGGAGATACAGCAGCTATCTTGCCATTATGAGGGAGGAAAAGGCTAGAAGAATTGCAGAGACATTAGCTGTAAAATCACTGCGGTGTTGTTAGCAAATATCTACCTCTAGACATCTTGCTGTATGAGAAAAATAAACCCCATTTTGTTTAAGCCACTGTAGTTGGGTTTTATGTTAAATGTAGCCACACTTGTTTTCAACAAATACGTCTGTCATTTCCACAATAAGACACATGGAAGTCATCAAAGAAGAGCATGTTATTGCTTTGGTTCTGCAAGTGGTGCTCTCATGCCTAAGCTTAGGTAAGACTGACTAGGAAAGTGTAGTTGGCAGGGGCTGGAAGGGAGGGTTGTTGAGTGACACGAACAGAGCATCTGATTGCTAGGAAACCTCCCAGTAAGACCAGTTCCGAATAGGGAGATCAACACATGGCCAAGGGCAAGACCCACATCCCAGGGAGAAGGTGGAAAAGTATTCGAGAAATGGCAAAATATAGTGATGAAGCAACATAATGTAGTACAAAGTAGATGACTCTAGGGGCCAAAGAAATGGGAAACTGAGTCCTAATTCTGCCACTTCTTCTTGGATGTATGACTTGGTGAAATTATTCCACTACTATTGGCCTCAGATATCTCTTCTATAATATGGGGAGAAAAATTGTCTGCCTCATAAAGTCAGTGTAAAAATTAAAAGCAATAATGTACTATATTTAAAGCCCACAGTCATACACCTTTGTTCCATTGCCCTTTTCACATACTCAAAGTCAAAGTAAGGTTAGCAAAGAGATCAAGGCAACATCTGTCAGAAAGACATAAATTGGAGTGAAGCTTAGGTGGTAGTGAGTTACACTGATAGAAGCTCTGTGAATTAGAGGTCTTTTAAAGTCAGCAATCAGGCTGGGTGCGGTGGCTCATGCCTGTAATCCCAACATGTTGGGAGGGCAAGTTGGGTGGAACACTTGAGGTCAGGAGTTCGAAACCAGCCTGGCCAACGTGGTGAAATCCTATCTCTATTAAAAATACAAAAACTAGCCGGGCAAGGTGGCAGATGCCTGTAATCCCAGCTACTCGGGAGGCTGAGGCAGAAGAATTGTTTGAACCCAGAGGGGGAGGTTGCAGTGAGCCGAGATAGTGCCACTGCACTCCAGCCTGGGTGACAGAGTGAGACTCTGTCTCAAAGAAAAAAAAAAGTCAGCAATCAAAAGTATCTACCTGGATTTGACCACCCTTAAATGGGTCAAGGCTAGGGAGCAAAAAACCCCTCCAAACCTAATTGAATAAAGAAGTCAAGATATTAATATTCCCAGGCAGAAATACAGAATTACTGGCATCTTCTTTGTACTGCTGGCAATAATAACCTGAATGTTTACAGTAAATATTTGTTGAACTAACAATATGTTAGAACACTAAATCTCTTTAGGTGTCCCTATAACAATATTTACTTGGCTTATAAAATCATTTTAGTATTTGCTTCCAGTTATAACTGGAGGGAATTTTTCTAGCTTCCACCCAAGAAGAGGTCTAAAATGAATTAAAGAACAAACACCTTGAGAGTGTTGAACCAATCTGATATGATAGTTCATCACAACCAAAGTAAATTAAAATTATATTAGTTTAGGAAGAAGCAAAATACAAAGATTTATGTAGTTTAACTTATGAGGTTATGTGGATTATACTAATTGAAGTTGGTATTAGGGGCACGTTTGGTGAAAATTGCAAATATTTCTATACAGTAGGAAAGATTTCCCATGACTGGATTTCCTTCCAAAGTTAGATCTATTCATTCCTTAATCCAACAAGCAACTAGTGAGAATCTTCCACGTGCCAAGCATAGAACTGAAAGTATCTGGAGTATTAAAAAAACCCACAACACTACCATTCTAGTACCTATTCTTCCAGTGCAATGGGTCCCAAACTCTGTATGTGCAAGAACTACATAGGTAGCTTTTAAAAAATGCATACTTCTGGCCGGGCGCGGTGGCTAATGCCTGTAATTCCAGCACTTTAGGAGGCCAAGGTGAGTGGATCGCCTGAGGTCAGGAATTTGAGACCAGCTTGGCCAAAATGGTGAAACCCTGTCTCTACTAAAAATACAAAAATCAGCCGGGTGTGGTGACTCACACCTGTAATCTCAGCTACTCGGGAGGTGGAGACAGGAGAATCGCTTGAACCTGGGAGGCAGAGGTTGCAGTGAGCCAACATTGCACCACTGCACTCCAGCCTGGGCGACAGAGCAAGACTCCATCTCAAAAAAAAAAAATGCATATTTCTTGGGCTTACCATATAAATGCTGAGGGTGAGGCTAATAATCTGCATTCTCATAAAGCACTTTAGATGATTCAAATGCATATGGATGTGAACCACACTGTAAAGCACATTATTCTACAGCTAGAACTTATAAACTAGTCTGAAATATTTAAAATATGTGTGTGTGTGTGTGTGTGCGCGCGCGCATGTGTGTGTGTGTATGACATCTAGATAACATAAACATGTTCAAGGTAATGCAAAATAATGAGTTTCTTTGCTTGGAAATTAGGGGGGTGTATGAAGTGGGAGGAAGAGAGGAGTTTTATCAAGAAAGACTTTGCTGAATAGTTAAGGTTGAACTCCAAGATGAATAGGAGCCTGGATACTTGCCAAGAGATCAGCAGGAGACAGCTACACCTGGGAAGAAGAGTTAGCTAAGGTTGAGGAAAAGGGAAACCAGTTAACATATTGCCTTGAATCCTGAAGAGTTTAGCTCTGATTCAACAGAAGCTTAAGAAAACAACTGGCATAATGACAATGTGAGCTGAGATTTCTTATCCTAGAGCCTCCAATTGGGGTGTTCTGGAGTGAGAAGAGATTCAAAGTGTCAGGGACATTCGAACCAGAGCAACTCCATCTTGAATAGGGGCTGGGTAAAATAAGGCTGGGACCTACTTGGCTGCATTCCCAGGAGGGTAGGAATTCTTAGTCCCAGGATGAGATAGGAGGTCAGTATAAGATACAGGTCACAAAGACCTTGCTGATAAAACAGCATGCAGTAAAGAAGTCGACCAAATCCCACCGAAACCAAGATGGTGATGCAAGTGACCTCTGGTGGTTCTCACTGCTCATTATACGCTAATTATAATGTATTAGCATGCTAAAAGACACACCCACCAGTGTCATGACAGTTTACAAATGCTGTAGCAATATCAGGAAGTTATCCTATATGGTCTAAAAAGGGGAAGAACCCTCAGTTCTGGGAATTGCCCACCCCTTTTCCAGAAAACTCATGAATAATCCACCTCTTGTTTAGTATATAATAAAGAAGTAACAATAAGTATAAGCAGCTGAGCAGCCCATGCCCTTGCTCAACCTATGGAGTAGACATTCTTTTGTTTCTTTACTTTCTTAATAAACCAGCTTTCACTTTATGGATTTGCCTTGAATTCTTTCTTGCATGAGACCTAAGAACCCTCTCCTGGAGGCTGCTTTGGGACTCCTTTCTGGTAACAAAAGCAGGAAGCTGTATCTATAATCCAGACCAAGGCAAGATGGTCTAGAACATGTGAAAACAAGGAAGAAAAGCTAAGAGGCTTACAAAAGAGATAGAGTCGAGCACAATTCCAAGGTGTGAGCTTTGGTAAATGAGAGGAGAATGATACCATTTGCCATATTGGGGAAAGTCATGAGGGGGCTGTTGATGCCAGGACCATAAGTGGCAATAGGTCAAGTATACAGGGTGACAGACCAGGATGAAGGGTGCCAAGGCAGAGGTAGGAAACCAAAATATGCTGGTCTGGGGAGCAGATGGACCTGGGGTTTCCTAGGAAGCTGTGATCATAGGAAACTAGAGCTAGACAAGTAAACAGTCCCAATAACAAAACAGAATAATTCCATAAGTTGAGGCAAAGCAGTGACTGAGACTGAGCAGAAGCCCACAGTAATCAAGGACAGTCAAGAATTGCAGATAAAAAATATGACTAGAAAGAAAGAGATCCTGATTCTGGTGGTAATTCTGTTTTATCCAAAAGTTCCCTACATATTTCCTATTGAGATAGAAGCAGTCCGAGGGTGTGGCTTGCAAGCAGAAGCAGGGAGTGGTGTAGGGAGAAAGTGGAGGACTGAAATGGAACCAGGGAGCATGCCCACACTTGGAGAGCAAGAGGCCTGGGAATGTAAAATATGCTGCTCTGGCCTGAGTGTGGTAATGTCCTAACTCCTTTGGTGTGGTAATGTCCATTTCACTGACTTAGCAACTGATAGTCAGCCAAAGACAGGGGTAATGATGAAAGCTAAGAAACAACCACTTCTTTCCAATATACCAGCCAGTCACTCCAGAGGCACCAGAAACACTGGGCTCTCAGTGGACATTCTCCGTGAAGGCAGATTTCAACATTAGGCATCAGTTTCCTCATCTGCAAGGTAGCAGTTAAGAATAGATCGAGACCACGGTGAAACCCCGTCTCTACTAAAAATACAAAAAATTAGCCGGGCGTGGTGGCGGGCGCTTGTAGTCCCAGCTACTCGGGAGGCTGAGGCAGGAGAATGGCGTGAACCCGGGAGGCGGAGCTTGCAGTGAGCCGAGATCGCGCCACTGCACTCCAGCCTGGGCGACAGAGCGAGACTCCGTCTCAAAAAAAAAAAAAAAAAAAAAAAAAAAAAAAAAAAGAATAATACCTAACTGATACGGTGGTAGTATTAAATATATCATATATAAACCACTTAATTTCCTGGCTTGCCCACAGTTAGCACTCAAGGTAAATTATTTATTAGTATTGTCATTATTAACCTTGGCCTGGTGTTTTCTTTAGGACCTAAGCAATCATAGGCCACTACTTGGGGTCTTTCTGATACTTTTGTTAAAATTCTAGGGCTGGACACGGTGGCTCATGCCTGTAATCCTAGCACTTTGAAAGGCTGAGGTGGGAGGATTGCTTGAGCCTAGGAGTTTCAGACTAGCCTGAGCAACATAGTGAGACCTCATCTCTACAAAAAAAAAATTTTAAAGTTAGCCAGGCACAGTGGCTTGTGCTTATAGTCCCAGATACTGGGAAAGACAAGATGGGAAGATCGCCTGAGCCTGTGATATTGAGGCTGTAGTGAGCCAAGGTTGCGCCACTGCATTCCAGCCTGCGAAACAGAGGGAGACCCTATCTCAAAAAGCAAAACAAAGCAAAACAAAACTCTGTTAGCTGTCAATTTAATTTTGGGATGTCTTTCCAATAAACAGTGCTAAGTAGCTGAGACCACAGTTGTGTGCCACCACGCCCAGCTAATATTATTTTTTAATATTATTTTTATAGAGACTGGGTCTTGCTATGTTGCCCAATCTGGTCTTGAACTTAAGGGCTCAAGGCATCCTCCTGCCTCAGCCTCTCAAAGAGCTGGGAACTACAAGCATGAGCCACTGTGCCCAGCCCTGGCTAATTAAAAAATTTGATCCTTCTGGCTGGGCATGGTGGCTCATGCCTGTAATCCCAGCACTTTGGGAGGCCGAGCCGGGCGGATCACAAGGTCAGGAGATCAAGACCATCCTGGCTAACATGGTGAAATTCCGTCTCTACTGAAAATACTAAAAATTAGCTGGGTGTGGTGGCAGGCGCCTGTAGTCCCAGCTACTCAAGAGGCTGAGGCAGGAGAATGGCGTGAATCCTGGAGGTGGAGGTTGCAGTGAGCCAAAATCACGCCACTGCATTCCAGCCTGGGTGACAGAGTGAGACTCTGTCTCAAAAAAAAAAAAAATTTGATCCTCCTGCCTCAGCCTCCCAAAGTACTGGGATTACAGGTATAAGCCTATCTAGCCTGAACTCCCACTTTTAATCATTATCAGTGCAATAGAGATTTAAGAAAAAAATTATACATATATATATATACACATATAATTATATATGTATTTTTCTTTTTGCTTTGGGGGCTTGCTTCTTTCTCATGGATTTCAATTCAATATTTTGAATGGTTTCTTTAAGAGTCTTAACAGGCCAGGTGTGGTAGCTCACACCTGTAATCCCAGCACTTTGGGAGACTGAGGCGGGTGGATTACTTGAGGTTGGGAATTCGAGACCAGCCTGGCCAACCTGGTGAAACCCTGTCTCTACTAAAAATACAAAAATTAGCCAGGCGTGGTGGCGCACACCTGTAATCCCAGATACTAAGGAGTCTGAGGCAGGAGGATCACTTGAGCCCAGGAGGCAGAGGTTGCAGTGAGCCAAGATTGTGCCACTGTACTCCAGCCTGGGCAACAGAGTGAGACTCTGTCTCAAAAAAAAAAAAAAAAAAAAAAGAGTCTTAACAAAGACCTCGTACCCTAAACTCAACAGAACAAAGCAAAGAGGCAATGAGAATTGGAGCTAAGACAGGACTGTCTGGCCCCTATTGTCAGCACTTTTCTAGTACTGTATAGATAGATGCATGAGGTTAGTGGAGGTCACTCTCTTGAGAGAGGATGAGCTCTGCAGATGTTTGTGACTAGTGATTACAGTGCAGGCAAAGGGCTTGATCCTTTGAGAGAGATCTTTTAGTTCTACTAATTAATTGCCCAGCCCTCCCCAGCTTCCTTCCATCAGTGAACTTTTCTTTGATCTTAATTGTGTATGGAAAATGATTGCAACTAGAATGACAGAATGCAATAAACATTTGTTAGTAAAATTAATCTGATAAAATCAAAATGATCTAAGTAACACTCAGTAGCTCTGGACAATTTAATTTATTCTATGCAGAAATGTAATCTTTGGCATCTATTGTCTATTTTTGGATATAAGTATGAATTGAGGGGTCAGGAAAAAAAAACTTGCACAACCAAAATTCCACCTCAATATTTGGACACCTGACAAAGCTGCCCCCTAACCAGTAATTATGTAACTGCACAACTTACATAATTGAATCAATTATGCCTTATTCTCCAAAACCTAAAAAGCATAGAAAATGCAAATGTGAGAACTGGTGACATTTTTAAGAACTTTTAAAAAATTGCATAACATATTTTAAAATGAACAATTTCTTTGGCTGAAATAACAGCAAATACAATCTTTAGAGCAGTGTATATGCTATAATTATTTCAATAGCTTTAAAATAACTTGGCATTGCTCCATAAGTAGAGGCATTATTGTTTAATTGCAGATGAGTCACTTCCCAATCCCAAGCAATTAATCAGTGTTTCCTAAACTTGTCTGAAATGGGAACCACCTGGAATTTTTGTTAAACATACAAATTCCAGGGCTCACCCAAGACCTACTGAATTGGAATTTCTAGGGAAGGCATATGGGAATCTGTATGTTCAACAAGTATCTAGGTGGATCTTATTATCAGGCAGATTGGGAAACACCATTTGGATTTCTTTGACAGTGGCATTAGCTTCGTGGTTACTATTACACTGAGTGACCAGAATGAAGTTTCGTCATTGGAAGAACCAGGACATTAGGAAGCACTCTTGACTATGAACCAATGCATGTTCTATTTTATGTAAATATATCTTCCTGTTATTTGAAACAATTACTTTGTGTTCTCCCTTTATCCATTCAGGTACTGCAGAAAATTTTATTCCTTGAGGCTGGGCGTGGTGGCTCACACTGGTAATCCCAGCACTTTGGGAGGCCGAGGTGGGCGGATCACCTGAGGTGGGGAGTACGAGACCAGCCTGGCCAACATGGTGAAACCCCATCTCTACTAAAAATACAAATTAGCTGGGCGTAGTGGCACATGCCTGTAATCCCAGCTTCTTGGGAGGTTGAGGCATGAGGATTGCTTGAACCCAGGAGGTGAAGGTTGCAGTGAGCTGAGATCACACAACTACACTACACTCCAGCCTGGGTAACAGAGTGACTTTATCTCAAAAAAAAAATATATATATATATATTCCTTCAATAATAGGTCCAAGATTAAATCCATTACCACCTTGAAAAAAGAACATAAGGAAGAAGGAAAACTCTCTTATCATGCATGAGGCATGATCCTGATGGTTGGTTTACATAAATTATTTTCCTTAATCTTAACAATTAACTCAGGCCGGGTGAGGTGGCTCATGCCTGTAATCCCAGCACTTTGGGAGGCTGAGGCAGGTGGATCACTTGAGGTCAGGAGTTCAAGTCCAGCCTGGCCAACATGGTGAAACCCTGCCTATACTAAAAATACAAAAATTAACCAAGCGTGGTGGTGGGCGCCTGTAATCGCAGCTAGTCAGGAGGCTGAGGCAGGAGAATAGCTTAAACCTGGGAGGCAAAGGTTGCAGTGAGCACAGATCATGCCACTGTACTCCTGCCTGGGCGACAGAGCGAGACTCTGTCTCAAAAATAAAAATAAAAATAAAAAAATTAACTCATGGCATAAGTATTTATTTCCATTTTACACATGTAGAAACTGAGACTTGAAGAAGTTAATAAATTTTCCCTAGATCACTCAGTAAGCAAGAGAGACAGGACTTTAATCCACCAAGCACATGATCTTACAAGGATACTAGCCTTAAGAGTATAAATTGTAAGTCGAGGAATTCAAATTCACCGAACAGAATAATTATGGGATCATGCGTTTGAGAAATTTTTTTCTCTGGAAGCCAAACAAAAAAAAAAAAAAGGGAAGAAGAAGAAGGTGGCCAGGTGCAGCAGTGGCTCATGCCTGTAGACCAAGGCTGCAGTGAGCTATGATGCCACCACTGCACTCCAGCCTGGGTGACAGAACAAGACCCTGTGTCGGGGGCGGGGAAGAGGCAATTTCTCATATATTAAACAACAGAGGGAAGAAAGGATGGGAGATTTCAGAAAGTTTGATTAACTCACATAGGTTGGCAAGCCTCTTTTCTTCCTGTGAAAGAAATTTACAGTTGTCCCCTAAAAATCAACTCTCCCAAAGAACAAATAAGAAAAGTAAATAAAATTGTTGAGTCAGATATGTAATATGTGTAATATGTATCTGTGGAATTGCATTTTACTCCAACTTATTCTCTTTCTTGTTCCCTCGAGTAGTTTTTTTCTCGTTGAAGTGGATGCAGCCAGAAACAAAAAGGCCCCGTTTGGGCTTTCTTGTTTTAAAAAATCTTTTTTTCAAAGCGTTTGTTTTCTTAGACTTGGAAGGTGTTGAAAGGTGCCAGATGGATAGCTCTGGAGATTGTGAGTCCTGTGTTTATCTGCAGAGGAGGTTAGGTGTGGATAGGATATCCTGGGCATCCCGTGCAGCCCAACTTAGGAACTCTTGCCCTCCTGGACAAAAGTTAACATTCAGTTGGGAAGTTGGGAGTACACCCTCAAATAAGAGCAAATACTGGCCGGGCTCAGTGGCTCACGGCTGTAATCCCAACACTTTGGGAAGCCGAGGCTGGTGGATCACTTGAGCCCAGGAGTTCGAGACCAGCCTGGGCAACATGGAGAAACCTCATCTCTATAGAAATACAAAAATTAGCTGTGCAGTAGTGGTTTGAACCTGTATTTCTAGCTACTCTGGAGGCTGAGGCAGAAGGATTGCTTGAGCCTAGGAGCCAGAGGTTGCAGTGAGCTGAGGTTGTGCCACTGCACTTCAGCCTGGGTGACAGAGCAAAACCCTTTCTTAAAAAGAAAAAAAAAAAAAGCAGCCAGGCGCGGTGGCTCACGCCTGTAAGCTCAACACTTTAGGAGGCCAAGGCAGGTGGATTACAAGGTCAGGAGTTCGAGACCAGCCTGGCCAATATGGGGAAACCCTGTCTCTACTAAAAATACAAAAATTACCTGGGTGTGGTGGCACATGCCTGTAGTCCCAGCTGCTTGGGAGTCTGAGACAGGAGGATCGCTTGAACCCGGGAGGCGGAGGTTGCAGTGAGCCGAGATCATGCCATTGCACTGCACTCGCTGCAGCCTGGGTGACAGAGTGAGATTTCATCTAAAAAACAAAAACAAACAAAAAAAACCCCAAAAAACAAAACAAAACAAAAGCAGACACCACAAGTCAGCAGTATATTCCTTTTTTGCTGCCATTGTTGTTGATATCATAGGCTATAAGACTTTCCCATTCAATTATTTATAAGGTAGGATGTTAAGGAGGATTTTTTGGGAGGCAAAACAGTACACAACTGCAGGATGAAGGAGAAGATGAGAATAGGTGATAACATTGTTTTTGTTTTGTGATATGTCTTTGTTTTATGTTGTCTTGTTTTTGCACGAGTTGCATCCAGAGCATCTCATATGACTTCTAGATGATAACTCATACAGTCTTCACAAATTCACAAATTCAGCTGCTTTTAAACTGGCCAATTGTTGGAGCAAGGCAGGGGATGGGTACCAATATTTAACAGCCCATTCAGAAGACCTCAATTTTTCACCTATTTTTTCCTCCTTTACCATTGGTTTATAATTCTTGATGTGTCTGGATTCCAACAGAGACATGCCTATTTAGTATATATTTAGTATATAAGCCATTTTAAAACAAGCTTTAATATATTTTTTATATGTGTGTATTTACACATATATTAAACTTACATAAATAAAATGGTTTCTATGTTACTATTTTCATGTCATTAAAAAATGACCCAGATGGAATTTTGCCAAATTGGCCTAAAGAAGATGGTATCTCAGAGATATAGGTTAGATAAGAGCTGGAATTTTAAAATTTACAAATAGTTAATAATTTTCTGCAATGGTGTCGGAGAGGTTGGAATCTACCAATGTTTTTTAAATTATGAAGGTAGCATTATTTAGTTAACATGTAATTAAAATTCACAATGATGGCCAGCTAGGATTCACACCTGTAATCCCAGGACTTTGAGAGGCCAAGACAGGTGGATCACTTGTGGTCAGGAGTTCCAGACCAGCCTGTCCATCATGGTGAAACCCCATCTATACCAAAAATATTAATGCCAAAAATTAGCCATGCATGGTGGTGTGCGCCTGTAGTCCCAGCTACTCAGAAGGCTGAGGCAGGAGAATTGCTTGAACCTGGGAGGTAGAGGTTGCAGTGAGCTGAGAGCCACTGCACTCCAGCCTGGCAACAGAGCAACACTCCGTCTCAAAAAAAAAAAAAAAAAAAAAAAGAATGGGAACTTTTACTAGAACTCTCTCACCTAGAACTTCTACCAAAATAGCATCAGTGAAATTTAAATCTCAATGAAAAGGAAAAATGCTAGATTGAACATGTCTAAAGAGTTTCTGTATTGGGAGGTCTAAGGAAATCAGATGGAATGCAGCAAAGGAATAAAGATATGAAAAATATGAAAGAATAATTAAGACAATATAAATAGAATTAGAAAATCAATGTGTAAGCTTCAGAAGGAGAAAAAGAGAAAATGAGGAAAAGATAATTTTTAATTTTTGTGGGTACAGAGTAAGTGTATATATTTATGGGGTACATGAGATGTTTTGATACAGGCATGCAATGCATAATAATCACATCATGTAAAATGGGGTATCCATTCCCTCAAGCATTTATCATTTGAGTTACAAATAATCCAATTATACTCTGTATTTTACTTTATTTTGTTATTTTTGAGACGAAGTATCGCTCTGTTGCCCAAGCTGGAGTGCAATGGCACAATCTCTGCTTACTGCATCCTCTGCCTCCCGGCTTCAAGCGATTCTCCTCCCTCAGCCTCCCGAGTAGCTGGGATTACAGGCATGCATACCACACCCAGCTAATTTTTGTATTTTTAGTAGTGACAAGGTTTCACCATGTTGGCCAGGCTCGTCTTGAACTACTGACCTCAGGTGATTCCCCTGCCTCGGCCTCCCAAAGTGCTGGGATTACAGGCATGAGCCACTGCTCCCGGCCTATACTCTTTATTTTAAAATGTACAATTAAATTATTATTGACTGTAGACACCCTATTGTGCTATCAAATTCTTTCTTTCTTTCTTTCTTTTCTTTCTCTCTCTCTCTCTCTTTCTTTCTTTCTTTTTTTTTTTTTCATTGACCAGCCCCCTCACACTTCCACTACACTTCCCAGCCTCTGGTAATCCTCCTTCTGCTCTCTATCTCCATGAGTTCAATTGTTTTGATTTTTAGATCCCACAAATAAGTGAGAACATGCAATGTTAGTATTTTTGTGCCTGGCTTATTTCACTTAGCATAGTGACCTCCGGTTCCATCCATGTTGTTGCAAATGATAGGATCTCATTCTTTTTTTTTTCATCTCTGAATAGCACTCCATTGTGTATATGTACCATATTTTCTTTATCCATTCATCTGTTGATGGACACTTAGGGTGCTTCCAAATTATGGCTATTGTTAATAGTGCTGCAACAAACATGGGAGTGCACGTATCTCTTTGATATACTGATTTCCTTTTTTTGGAGTATATACCCAGCAGTGGGATTACTGGATCATATGGTAGCTTTGTTTTAGTTTTTTGAGGAACCTTCAAACCGTTCTCCACAGTGGTTGTATTAATTAACATTCCCACCAACAATGTATGGGAGTTCCCTTTTCTCTATAGCCTCACACCATTTGTTATTGCCTGTTTTTTGGATATAAGCCATCTTAAATGGGGTGAGATGATATCTCATTGTAGCTTTGATTTGCATTTCTCTGATGATCAGTGATGTTGAGTACTTTTTCATATGTTTCTTACGTTTCCCATTTGTATGTCTTCTTTTGAGAAATGTCTGTTCAAATCTTTTGTCCATTTTTAATCAGATTATTAGACTTTTTCCTGTAAAGTTGTTTGCATCTCTTATATATTCTGGTTATTAATCGCTTGTCACATGAGTAGTTTGCAAATATTTTCTCCCATTCTATGGGTTGTCTCTTCAGTTAGTTAATCATTCCCTTTGCTGTGCAGAAGGTTTTTAACTTGAAGTGATCCCATTTATACATTTTTGCTTTAGTTGCCTGTGCTTATGGGGTATTATTCAAGAAATTTTGGCCCAGACCAATGTCCTGGAGAGTTTCCCCAATGTGTTTTGATAGTAGTTTCATAGTTTGAGGTCTTAGATTTGAGTCTTTAATCCATTTTAATTTGATTTTTATGTATAGTGAGAGATAAAGATCTTGTTTCATTCTTCTGCATATGGATATTAAGTTTTCCCAGCATCATGTGTTGAACAGATTGTCTTTTTTCCCAGTGTATGTTTTTGAAACCTTGTCAAAAATAAGTTCACTGTAGGTGTGTGGATTTATATCTGGATTCTCCATTCTGTTCTGTTGGTCCATGTGTTTGTTTTTATGCCAGTACCATGCTGTTTTGGTTACTATAGCTCTGTAAAATAATTTGAAGTCAGGTAATGTGATTCCTCCAGTTTTGTCCTTTTTGCTTAGAATAGCTTTGGATATTTTGCTTTTGTTGTGCTTCCATATAAATATTTGAATTGTTTTTTCTATTTCTGTGAAGAATGTCATTGGTATTTTGATAGGGATTTAATTGAATCTGTAGATTGCTTTGGGTAGTATGGACATTTTAACAATATTCATTCTTCCAATCCATGAATATGGAATATCTTTTCACTTTCTGGTGTCCTCTCAATTTCTCTCATCAGTGTTTTATAATTTTCATTATAGAGATCTTTCACTTTTTTGGTTAATTCCTAGGTATTTAATTTTATCTGTGGCTATTGTAAATGGGACCACTTTTTTTGTTGGTTTTATCACATTCACTGTTGGCATATAGAAATGCCATTTTTTGTATGTTTTATGTTTATGCCATGTTTTTTGTATGTTGATTTTGCATCCTGCAACTTTACTGAATTTATCAGTTCTAATAGTTTGTTTTTTTTTTTCTAGATGGACTCTTGCTCTATCCATCTGCTGCACTCTTGCTGGAGTGCGGTGGCATGATCTTGGCTCACTGCAGCCTCCGCATCCTGGGTTCAAGTGATTTTTCTGCCTCAGCCTCCTGAGTAGCTGGGACTACAGGCCTGTGCCACCACATCCAGCTAATTTTGTATTTTTAGTAGAGACGGGCTTCACCATGTTGGCCAGGCTGGTCTCCAACTCCTGATCTCAAAATCCTGACCTCAAGTGATCCACTTGCTTTGGGCTCCCAAATATCGGGATTACAGGTGTGATCCACCAGGCCTGGTCTTTTTTTTTTTTTTTTTTTTTTGAGACAGAGACTTACTCTGTCACCCAGGCTGGAGTGCAATGGCGCAATCTTGGCTCACTGCAACCTCTGCCTCCCAGGTTCAAGTGATTCTATTGCCTCAGCCTGGGATTACAGGTGCACACCACCACACCTGGTTAATTTTTGTATTTTTAGTAGAGACGGAGTTTCACCATGTTGGCCAGCCTGATCTTAAACTCCTGACCTCAGGTGATCCACCCACCTTGGCCTCCCAAATTGCTGGGATTACAGGCATGAGACACGGTGCCCAGCCAATCAGTTCTAATAGTTTTTTTTACGGAATCTTTAGGTTTTTCTAAATATAAGATTATATTGTCTGCAAACAAGGATAATTTGACTTCTTCCTTTCCAATTTGGATGCCCTTTCTTTCTTTTTTCGGATTGCTCTGGCTAGGACTTCCAGTGCTATGTTGAATAATAGTGGCGAAAGTGGGCATCCTTGTCATGTTCCAGAGGAAAGGCTTTCAGTTTTTCCCCATTCAGAATGATATACTAGCTGTGGGTCTGTAATATATGGCTTTAATTAAGTTGAGGTATGTTCCTTCCATATGCAGTTTTTTTGACGGTTTTTATCATGAAGGGATGTTGAATTTTATCAAATGCTTTTCCAGCATCTTTTTGTCTTTCATTCTGTTGATATGATATAGCACATTGATTTGCATATGTTGAACCATCCTTGCATCCCAGGGATAAATCCCACTTGGACATGATAAGTTATCTTTTTAATGTATTGTTGAATTCAGTTTGCTAGTATTTTGTTGGGGATTTTTGCATCAATATTTATCAGAAAATTTGGCCTGTAGTTTTCTTTTTTTATGTGTCTTTTTCTGGTTTTGGTATTAGGGTAATACTGACTTCATAGAATGAGTTCAGAAGTATTCCCTCCTCCTCCATTTTTTAGAGTAGTTTGAGTAGGATTGGTGTTAGTTCTTCAAATGTTTGGTAGAATTCAGCAGTGAAGCCATTGGGTCATGGGCTTTTCTTTACTTGAAGACTTTGAAATTATGGCTTCAATCTCATTACTTGCTATTGGTGTGTCCAGGTTTTGGATTTCTTCATGATTCAACCTTGATAGGTTGTATGTATCTAGGAATTTGTCAGTTTCTTCTAGTTTTCCAATGTATTGGCATATAGTTGCTCATAGTAGCCACTAATGATATTTGAATTTCTGCTGTATCAGTTGAAATGTCTCCTTTTTCATCCCTGATTTTATTTACTTGGATCTTCTCCTTTTTGTTCTTAGTCTGCTAAAGGTTTGTTAGTTTTGTTTAACTTTTCGAAGAACCAACTTATAGTTTCATTGATCTTTTGTATTGTTTTCTCCATTTTGATTTTTTTTATTTCTGCTCTAATCTTTATTATGTCATTTTTTCTACTAATGATTTTGGGTTTGGCTTGTTCTTGCTCTTCCAATTTTTAAAGATGCATTGTTAAGTTGTTTATTTGAAGTTTTTCTTTCTTTTTTTTATGTAGGCACTTACAACTACAAACTTCCCTCTTAGTATTGCTTTTGCTGTATCCCATAGGTTTTGGTATATTGTGTTTCCATTATCATTTGTTTTAAGAAAAATTTCGATTTCCTTTTTAATTTCTTTATTGACCCACTGGTCATTCAGGAGCATATTGTTTAACTTCCGTGTGTTTGTATCATTTCCAAAGTTTCTCTTCTTATTGATTTCTACTTTTATTTAATTGTGGTCAGAGAAGATGCTTGATATTATTTCAGTTTTTTTGGAATGTCTTAAGACTTGTTTTGTGACCTAATATGTGGTCTATCTGTGAGAATGATGCATGTGCTGAGGAAAATAATGTGTATTCTGCAGCTGTTGGATGAAATGTTCTGTAAATATCTATTAGGTTCATTTGGTCTATAGTGCAGATTAAGTCCAATGTTTCTTTGCTGATTGTCTGTCTGAAAGACCTGTCCAATCCTGAAAATAGGGTGCTGAGGTCTCTAGCTATTGTTGCATTGAATCCTCTCTCCCTCTTTAGCTCTAACAATATTTGCTCTATATATCTGGGTGGTCCTGTGTTGGGTGCACATATATTTAAAATTGTTATATCTTGTTGCTGAATTGACCACTTTATCATTATATGGTGACCTTCTTTGTCTGTTCTTATAGTTTTTGTCTTGAAATCTATTTTGTCTTATATAAGAGAAAATATTCCTGCTCTTTTTTGGCTTTCATCAGCATGGAATATTGTTTTCCATTCACTTATTTCCAGTCTGTGTGTATCTTTATAGATGAAGTGTGTTTCTTGCAGGCAACAGATCATTGGGTCTTCTTTTTTATCCATTCAGCCACTCTATGTCTTTTTTCTTTTTTTTTTTTTTTTTTGAGATGGAGTCTCACTCTGTCGCCCAATCTCCTCCTCCTGGGTTCAAGCAATTCTCCTGACTCAGCCTCCTGAGTAGCTGGGACTACAGGCACGTGCCACCACACCTGACTAATTTTTGTATTTTTGGTAGAGACAGGGTTTTACTATGTTGGCCAGGCTGTTCTCAAACTCCTGACCTCAGGTGATCCGCCCACCTTGGCATCCCAAAGTGCTGTGATTACAGGCATGAGCTACTGCACCCGGCTCACTCTATGTATTTTGATTGGAGAGTTTAGTCCATTTACATTAAGTGTTATTATTAATAAGTAAAAACATGCTCATGACATTTTGTTATTTGTCTTCTGGTTGTTTTGTGGTCTTTCCTTCCTTCTTTCTTTCCTTCTTGTCTTCCTCTTAGTGAAGGTGATTTTCTCTGGTGATATGAATTGGTTTTTTACTTTTTGTTTTTTGTGTATCCATTATGTGTTTACTGGTTTGTGGTTACCATGAGGCTTGCAAAAAATATAACCCATTATTTTAAGCTGATAACAAAACTGTTTGCATAAATAAGAAAAGAAGCAAAAAGAAAATTAATAAGGACTATGCCTTAACTTCATCCTCCAGCCTTTTAACTTTTTGTTGTTTCTATTTATAATTTATTGTATTGACTATGTCTTGAAAAGTTGTGGTAGTTATTATTTTTTGTTGGTTCATCATTTTGTTTTTCTATTGAAGATAAGAGTAATTTACATACCACAGTTACAGTGTTATAATATTCCAGGTTTTTCTGTGTACTTACTATTATCAGTGAGTTTTGTACATTCACATAATTTCTTGTTGCTCATTAACATCCTTTTCTTTTTGATTGAAGCACTCCTTTTAGCATTTCTTGTAGGATATGTCTAGTGTTGATGAAATCCCTCAGTTTTTGTTTGTCTGGGAAAGTCTTTATTTCTCCATCATGTTTGAAGGATGTTTTCACCAGATATGCTATTCTGAGACAAAAGTTTTTTCCTTCAGCACTTTAAATATGTCTTGCCACTCTCACCTGGCCTGTAAGGTTTCCACTGCAAAATCTGCTGCTAGATGTATTGGAGCTCCATTGTGTGTTATTTGTTTCTTTTCTCTTACTGCTTTTAGGATACTTTCTTTGTCCTTTACTTTTGGGAGTTTGGTTATTAAATTTCTTGAGGTAGTCTTCTTTGGGTTAAATCTGCTTTGTGTGTATAACCTTCTTATACTTGGATATTGATATCATTCTCTAAGTTTGGGAAATTCTCTGTTATTATGCCTTTGAATAAACTTTCTACTCCTATCTCTTTCTTTATGTTCACTTTAAGGCCAATAACTATTAGATTTGCCCTTTCGAGGTTATTTTCTAGATCCTGTAGGTGTGCTTCATTGTTTTTAATTCTTTTTCTTCTGTCTCCTCCTCTGACTGTGTATTGTTAAATAGCCTGCCTTCAAGCTCACTAATTCTTTCTTCTACTTGATCAATTCTTCTATTAAAAGACTGATGTTGAGGCCGGGCACGGTGGCTCACGCCTGTAATCCCAGTACTTTGGGAGGCCGAGGCGGGTGCATCACCTGAGGTCAAGAGTTCAAGACCAGCCTGGCTAACATGGTGAAACCCCAGCTCTACTAAAAATACAAAAATTAGCTGGGCATGGTGCAGGCACCTATAATCCCAGCTACTAGGGAGGCTGAGGCAGGAGAATCGCTGCGGAGATTGTACCACTGCACTCCAACCTGATCCACAGAGTGAGACTCCATTTCAGAAAAAAAAAGAAAAGAAAAGAAAAAAAAAGACTGATGCATTGTGCACAGTGGCTCACACCTGTAATCCCAGCACGTTGGGAGGCTGAGGCTGGCAGATCACCTAAGGTCAGGAGTTCAAGTTCAGCCTGGATAACATGATCAAACCCTGTCTCTACTAAAAATACAAAAATTACCCAAGTATGGTGGCGCTCATCTGTAGTCCCAGCTACTTGGGAGGGTGAGGCAAAATAATTGCTTGAACCCGGGAGGCAGAGGTTTCAGTGAGCCAAGATCACACCAGTGCACTCCAGCCTGGGTGACAGAGCGAGAGTCTGTCTGAAAAAAATGAAAAAGCAACAAAATTGATGCATTCTTCAGTATGCCAATTTCATTTTTCAGCTCCAGAATTCCTGCTTCATTCTTTTAAATTATCTCCATCTCTTTATTAAGTGTATCTGATGAAATTCTGAATTTCTTCTGTGTTATCTTGAATTTCTTTGCATTTCCTCAACACAGCTATTTTGAATTATCTGTCTAAAGGGTCATATAGCTCTGTTTCTCCAGGATTGCTCCCTGGTGCCTTATTTAGTTGATGTGAGGTCATGTTTTCCTGGATGGTGTTGATATTCTTCAGTGTCTGGGCTTTGAAGAGTTAGATATTTATTGTAATCTTCTCAGTCTGGGCTTGTTTGTACCCACCCTTCTTGGGAAGGCTTTCCAGATATCTGAAAGGACTTGGGTGTTGTGATTTAAGCTGTATCTGCTTTAGGGGGCACCCCAAGCCCAGTACTGCTGTGGCTCTTGCAGTTTCATAAAGGTACCACCTTGATGGTCTTAGACAAGATCCCGGAGAATTTTCTGGATTACCAGGCAGAGGCTCTTGTTCTCTTCTCTTATTTTCTCCTAAAAAAATGGAGCCTTTCTGTTCTGAACACCCTGGAGCTGGGGTGGTGTGACACATGCACCCCTGTGGCCACCACCACAAGGACTGCACTGGGTCAGACCTGAAGCCAGCACAGCATTGGGTCTTGCCCAAGGCCTGCTCTAACCACTCCCTAGGGATGGCCCATATTTACTGAAGGCCCTGAGGCTCTATAGTCAGTAGGTGGCAAAGCCAGCTAGGCCTATGTCCTTCCCACAAGGTGGCAAGTTTCCATGGGCCCCAATCATGTCCAGAGGAGCTATCTGGGAGCAAGGGTAGAGTTTAAAACCTTAGAAGTCTACCTGATGTTCTATTGTACTGTGGCTGAGTTTGCACTCAAACCACAAGATGCAGTCCTTCCCACTTTTCCTTCTCCTTTCCAAAGGCAGAGGAGCCTCATCCTGTGGTCACCACCACAGGCCCATGGGAGTTATTGCCAGACTACCACTGATGTTCCTTTAAAGCCCAAGGTCTCGTATGTCAGCCTGTGGTGAATGCTTCCTGGCCTGTGACTCACTATTTAGGGCAGTGGACTTCCCTCTGACACAACGCAGGTCCAGAAATGCCACCCAAAAGCCCTCTTGGTGCTCTACCCTGTGTGGCCAAGCTGGTACCTAAGGTACAAGACAAAGTCCCCTTTGTTTTTCCCTCCACTTTTCTCAAGTCTCCTCTTACGGGAAGGAGACTCATCCCATAGCCAGCATATCTGGAAATGTGCTGAGTCTCATCTGAAGCCACCAAATCTCAGAGTCTTACCCAAGCCCTTGACATAGTATCTGGGTATCACTGCTGGTTGTTCAGGGCCCAAAGGCTCTTCAGTTAGCAGATGATGAATCCTGCCAAGACTGGGTCCTTCCCTTCAAGGCAGTAGGTTCCTTTCTAATGTGTCTAGACATGTCATCTGGGAACTAGGGCCTGGAAAGAGGGACCCATGACTCTGACCGGTTCCCTATCCTTCCATGGCTGAGCTGGTATCCAAGATGCAAGAAAAAGTCCTCCAAACTCTTCTGGCTGCTCCCATCAAGTGGAGGGAGAGTCCCTTTTGGAGCTACAATCTGTGCAGCCTGGAAGTAGGGGAGGGGTGAGGCCAGCACTCCCTTAACTCCCCCACCTGCTGTCTCAGTAGATTGCATGCCCTCGCAATCCACTGTCTCTGGGACCAGTTCAGCATTAGGACTCACCTAGGCATTGCAGTCCTTGTGGCTTAGCCTGCCTTTCAAGTTTATTTTGGACCCCAGAGTACCTTAGCACACAGTGGTGAGGTTTGTGGGAACTCAATCTCGGATCACTGAAGTATGGTTTCTGCTGAACGCATATCGCTTTCACACCATCATGAAGTAGAAAAAGCATAAGTTGAACCGTTGTAAATTAGGGACCATCTGTATTTTAAAAAATGACCATTAGACTGACAGACCTCTCATTACCAACAATAAGGGTTAGGAGATAATGAAATAATAGTTTCAGAATGGGGAGGGAAAGGACACTTCAGCTTAGAATTCTATAATCAAATAAGCTATATTCAAGACTGAGGGCAAAAAGACATTGTCATATAAGTTTGCATATATGACTCTCAGTGAAAGAACTCTAAGTGACAGAAACGCTAAATAATGCATTTCAGTAAGAAGAAAAATAAATCCAGAAGAAAAAAGTAGCATGAAAGAAACAAATGAATTTGTAACCATTTGGTAACTCTAAATAAGGATTTGCTATGCTGCTACTACTACTACTACCACTACTAATGGCTAGTGTTAATAGAAGTTAGAAACAAAGAGGAATGAAAAGAATAGAAAACATTAACATGGAAGAAAGGAGGGGAGAAATTTGAGTTAGTGTTCTAAGTTCCTTGAAGAAAGATAATAGAAAAAATGTTTAATTTTTGACTTATTTATTTTTTGTAACAGCCTTATTGAGGTATTATTAATCAACAATAAACCAAACATATTTAAATCATGCAATGTGATAAGAATGACATATGTATACACTCGTGAAATCATCACCATAATCAAGTAAATGATCATACCTACCATCCCTAAAAGTGTCCTCACGACCTTTGGAATTCTTGCCTCCCAAATTTTCCCACCTCCCCAAACCATCACTGATCTGCTTTCTGTTCCTATAGATTGGTTTGTATTCTTTAGAATTTTATATAAATGGAATAATACAGTACCTACACTTTTTTTGTCTGGCTTTTCTCATTCCACATAGTTTTTTTTGTTTTGTTTTGAGACAAGGTATCACTCTGTTGCCAGGCTGGAGTGAGTGCAGTGGCATATTCACAGCTCACTACAGCCTCGGCCCCCTGGGCTCAATTGATCCTTCCATCTCAGTCTCCTGAGTAGCTGGGACTACATGTGCATGCCATTATACCCGGCTAATTTTTGTACTTTTTGTAGAAATGGGGTTTTGCCATGCTGCCCAGGCTGGTCTCAAATTCGGGGGCACAAGCGATCTACTCCCCTCAGCCTTCCAAAGTGTTTCAATTATAATTGTTAGCCACTGTGCCCAGCCCTGCATAGTTAAGATTCCACCATGTTGAGTATATCAGTGGTACATACCTTTTTATTACTAAAATTCCACTGTTTATATATACACCACAATTCACATATCTCTTCATTTGTTGATAACACTTGAGTTGTTTTAGTTTTTGGTCAAGTTAAGCTTCTGTGAATATCATGTAAATGTCTTTGTATGGCCACGTGCAACAGTGTTGGGAGCTGAGGTCTAATGTGAGGTAATTAGGCCATGAGGGTGGAGTGAATGGATTAATGTTGTTATATGAAAATGAGTTCCTTATGGAAGTTCAGCCCCCTTTTGCTCTCTGTTGCCCTCTCTGTCCTTTCACCATGGCATGATGCAAAAAAAAGTTCTCATCAGATGCTGGTGCCTTAATCTTGAACTTCCAAGACACCAGAACTGTAAGGAATATATCTCATTGTAGGTTTTTAATTTTTTAAAGACAGGATCTTGCTCTGTCACCCAGACTGGAATACAGTGGTAGAATCACAGCTCCTTGCAAGCTTGAAATCCTGGGCTAGGGCCATCCTCCTGCCTTGGCCTCCCAAAGTGCTAGCTTACAGGCATGAGCCAGGGTGCCTGGCCTCATTGTAGTTTTAATTTGCATTGTCCTAATGATGAATGATGTGGAGCATCTTTTCATGTGTTTATTAGCCATGGATATATTTCCCTGGGCGAAGCATCTGTTCAAGTCTTTTTTCCGTTGTACTCTTACTTAGTTTTGAGAGTTCTTTATGCATTCTGGGAACAAGTCCTTTATCAAACATATAATTTGTAAATACTTTTTCTTAGTCTGCAGTGGATCTTTTCATTCTATTAACCATGTCTTTAGCATAGCAGATGTTTTTAGTTGGATGAAGTCCAATTTATCATTTTTTTTCTTGCTGGCATACCTAAGACATCTTTGCCTAACCCAAGGTAACAAAGATTTTTTCCTATATTTTTTTCTGAAGTTGTATAGTTTTGGAATTTGCACTTATTTCTACAATTGCTTTGAGTTGTGTTGTAAATGGTGTGGGTATAGATAAACGTTCATTTGTTGCATGTGGATATCCAATTTCTGTACAACTATTGTTACAATCATTTGCTGAAAAGACTATCCTTTCTCCACTGAAATGCCATTGCACCTTTGTCAAAACCCATTGTCCATATATCTGTGGTCTCACCTCTGGACTCACCATTCTATTCTATTGATCACTCTATCTTTATATCAATAGCATACTCTCTTAATTAGTGTGGCTTTATAATAAGTCTTGAAATCAGGTAGAATTTGTCCTCCCATTTTGTCCTTTTTTTTTTTTTTTGAGATGGAGTCTTACTTTATCTCCCAGGCTGGAGTGCAGTGGCGCGATTTCGGCTCACTGCAACCTCTACCTCCCGGGTTCAAGCGATTCTCCTGCCTCAGCCTCCCGAGTAGCTGGGACTACAGGCGCGTGTCACCACGTCTGGCTATTTTTTTGTATTTTTAGTAGAGACTGAGTTTCACCGTGTTAGCCAGGATGGTCTCCATCTCCTGACCTTGTGATCTGCCTGCCTCGGCCCCCCAAAGTGCTGGGATTATAGGCGTGAGCCACCAAGCCTGGCCTTGTATTTTTTTTTTCCAAGTTGTTTTTCCTATTCTAGGTCCTTGCAATTCCACATGAATTTTAGAATTATCTTATCGATTTCTACAAAAAAAAGTCTTATGGAATTTCATTTTGGAATACAAGAAATCTATAGATCTATTTGGAGGGAATTGATGTCTTAAAAATAATAAGTTTTCTGAGTTTGGACACCATATATTGTAATTTTCAGTGTACAGGTTTTGCATATCTTTTGCCAGATTTATACCTAAGTATTTCATATTTTTGATGCTACCATAAATGGTATTTTTAATTTCAATTTTTTTAAGTTTATTTCTACTATAGAGTAACACATTTGAATTTTGTATATCAATCTTCTATCCTGAAACCTTGTTAAATTCATATATTAGTTCTAGTAACTTTAATAGATTCCGTTAGGTTTTCTACATAAAAGATCATGCCATCTGTTAATAAAGACAGTTGGCTTCTTCATTCCAGACCAGATACTTTTTTTTCCCTTTCTTTCTTTTCCTTTTTTTCTTGTAGATGGAGTCTTGCTCTTGTTGCCCAGTCTGGAGTGCAGTGGTGCCATCTTGGCTCACTGCAACCTCTGCCTCCTGGGTTCAAGCGATTCTCCTGCCTCAGCCTCCCGAGTAGCTGGGATTACAGGTGCCTGCCACCACACCCAGCTTATTTTTTGTATTTTGGGTAGAGATGGGGTTTCACCATGTTGGCCAGGCTGGCCAGGCTGGTCTCGAACTCCTGAACTCAGGTGGTCCACCCATCTCAGCCTCCCAAAGTGCTGGGATTACAGGCATGAGCCACTGCACCTGGCACTTTTTTTTTCCTTTTTTTTTTTTTTTTTTTTTTTTTTACAGAGTCTTGCTCTGTCACCCAGGCTGGAGTGTAGTGGCATGACCTCGGCTCACTGCAACCTCCACCTCTCCAGGTTCAAGCAATTCTTCTGCCTCAGCCTCCCAAGTAGCTGGGACTACAGGCATGCATCACCATGCCTGACTAATTTTTGTATTTTAGTAGAGATGGGGTTTCATCATGTTAGCCAGGCTGGTCTCGAACTCTTGACCTCAGGTAATCTGCCCGCCTTGGCCTCACAAAGTGCTGGGATTACAGGCGTAAGCCACCACGACTGGCCTTTTTGTTTTTTCAATACAGACAGGGTTTCTCCATGTTTCCTAGGCTGGTCTTGAACTCCTGAGCTCAGGCAATCCAGCTAATTTTTGTATTTTTAGTAGAGACGGTGTTTCACCATGTTAGCCAGGCTAGTCTCCAACTCCTGACCTCAGGCAATTCACCCACCTCAGCCTCCCAAAGTGCTAGGATTACAGGCGTGAGTCACCATGCCTGGCCTTTTTCTTTTCTTCAATAGAGACGGTTTCACCATGTTTCCTAGGCTTGTCTTGAACTCCTGAGCTCAGGCAATCCACCCGCCTTGGCCTCCCAAAGTGCTGGGATCGCAAGCATGAGCCACCATACCTGGGCCAAACCTGATGCATTTTATTTTGTTTTCTCAACTTACTGTAATGGCCAGAACCTTTAGGACAATGTTGAATAAAAAGGGTGAGATTGGATATTCCTGCCTTATGCCTGATTTTAGGAAGAAAGAATTTAGTCTTTGTATTTCTTGGAGTTCTCCAGAGAAACAGAAACACACACACACACACACACACACACACACACACACACATACACACACAGTTGTTGGTTTTATTTTTTCCTTTTGAGACAGTCTCGCTTTGTTGCCCAGGCTGGAGTTCAGTGGCATGATCTCAGCTCACTGCAACCTCCACCTCCCCGGTTCAAGTGATCCTTGTTCAGCCTCCTGAGTAGCTGGGACTACAGGCAGGCACCACCATGCCCGGCTAATTTTTGTATTTTAGTAGAGATGGGATTTCACCATGTTGGTCAGGCTGGTCTCCAACTCTTGACCTCAAGTGATCCACCTGCCTCAGCCTCTCAAAGTGCTGGGATAACATGCGTGAGCCAGTGTTCAGCCTATATACACTGTGACCCTTGAACAGTGTGGGTTTGAATTGCATGTATCCATTTCTACACATATTTTCTTCCACCTCTGCCATCTGTAAGATAGCAATTCCAACCCCTTCTCTTCCTCCTCTTCCTCAGCCTACTCCACATGAAGACAAGGGTAAAGACCTTTATGATGATCACTTCCCCTTAATAAATAGTATTTTCTCTTCGTTATAATTCTTAATAACATTTTCTTTTCTCTAGCTTACTTTATTGTAAAAATACAATATATAATACATATACAAAATATGTGTCAATGAACTATATTATCAATAAGATTTTTGTCAATAGTAGGCTATTAGTAGTTAAGTTTTGGAGGTATCAAAAGTTATACGTGGATTTTCAGCTACACTGGGGGGATGGTCAGCACCCCAAACCCTGAATTGTTCAAGGGTCTACTATATATATATTTGGCTCACATGATTATGGAGACTGGCAGGTTCAAAATCTGCAGGGTGGCCAGGTACGGTGGCTCATGCCTGTAATCCCAACACTTTGGGAGGCCGAGGCGGGTGGATCGCCTGAGGTCAGGAGTGCAAGACCAACCTGGCCAACATGGTGAAACCCTGTCTCAACTAAAAATACTAAAATTAGTTGGGCATGGTGGCACATGCCTGTAGTCCCAGCTACTTGGGAGGTTGAGGCAGGATGATCAATTGAACCTGGGAGGTGGAGGTTGCAGTGAGCCGAGATCGCGCCACTGCACTCCAGCCTGTGCGACGGAGTGAGACCCTGTCTCAAAAAAACAAAAACAAAATCTGCAGAGTGGGCTGGCAGGCTGGAGATGAGCCCATTGTGATTCAAATCCAAGGGCTGTCTGCTGGCAGAATTTCTTCTTACATGGAAAGATCAATCTTTGTTTTACTAAGGCCTTCAACTGATTGGATATGGCCCACTTACCTTACGGAGAAAAATCTGCTTTACTGAATGTCCACTGAATTAAATGTTCATGCCATCCACAAAAACACTCACAGAAACCCCCAGAATAATGTTTGACCAAATATCTACTTGTCCCAGCCAAGTTAACACATAAAATTAACCATCACAGCCTTTCATTGTTAAGTATGATATAAGTAGGGTTTTTTGTAGATAGCTTTTGTCAAGTTGAGCAAGTTCCCTTCTATTCCTAGTCAGTTGAGGGCTCGTATCAGGAATGGATGTTGAATTTGTCAAATACTTATTCTCCGTCTAGTGATATAATTATATGGCTTTCCTTTTTTAGTCTGTTATATTGTGAATTATATTATTTGATTTTTTTAAATGCTAAAACAACCTTGCCTTCCTAGAATGAACCCCGCTTGGTCAGGATGTATTATTTTTGTTATATATTATTGGCTTATATTTGCTAAAATTTTGAATTTTATGTTGGCTATAGTTTTCTTTCTTGTAATGTCTTTAATCAGTTTTGGTATCAGGGTAATATTGACCTATGAGTTGGGAAATATTCATCCATCTTCAATTTTCTGGAAGTGTTTGTTTAGGTAGCATTGGTACCCTTTCTACCATAAGTGGGTGGTAAAATTCCCAATATAGCTGTCTGCCCCTATTGTTTTCTTTGTGGGAGGATTTTATTTTATTTTTTCAGTAGAGGTGGGGTATTACCATGTTGCCCAGGCTGCTCTCCAATTCCTGGACTCAAACAATCCACTCGCCTTGACCTCCCAATGTGCTGGGCTTATAGGCATGAGCCACTGCACCTGGCCCTTTGTGGGAAGATTTTTAACTATAGATTCCATTACTTTAATAGATATATGGCAATTCAGGTTATCTGTTTCTTCTTGAATCAGCTTTGGTAGATTGTGTCTTTTAAGGAATGAACATATCCATTTCATTCACATTGTAGAATTTATTGACATATAGTTGTTCAAAACATTCCCTGATTATCCTTTCAGGATGTGTGGAATTTGTAGTTAACTTTGTCATTCATGATGCTGGTTATTTGTGTCTTTTTTCTTTTTTTCCTGGTAAATCTGAATAGATGTTGATAACATTGGTATTGGTATAATATTCTTAAGGGACTAGTTTTTGGTGTCATCAATTTTCCTATTGTTTTTCTGTTTTCCATTTCATTGATTTTTGCTCTAATCTTCATTATTCTTTCTGCTTCGTTTGGTTTTCACTTGTTTCTTTTTTTCTAGTTTCTTAAGTTAGACATTGAGAACATTGATTTTAAATCTTTGTTCTTTTCTTTCTTTTTATTTATTTATTTATTTATTTATTTATTTATTTATTTATTTATTTATTTTAAAGAAAGGCAGGACCTGTCACCCAGGCTGGAGTGCAGCAGTGCAATTAACTCACTGCAGCCTCAAGATCCTGGGCTCAAGCAATCATTCCGTATCAGCCTCCCAAGTAGCTGGGACTATAGGTACACATCATCACAGTCAGTTCATTTTACAATTTTTTTTTTACAGACAAGGACTTGCTGTGATACCCAGGCTGGTCTTGAACTCCTGGCCTCAAGCGATCCTCTTAATTTGTTCTCCCAAAGTGCTGGGATTACAGGCATGGCACCTTGCCTGTTCTTTCCTAACATAGGGATTTAGTGTTCTAAATTCCTAACTGCCATTTTAGCTGCATCCCACAAATTTTAATATGTTGTGTTTTCACTTACATTTGATTCAAAATACATTATAATTTCCCCTTAATTTTTAAAAATTGGTCCATGGTTCTTGGAAGTACATTATTTGGTTCCTGAATTTTAGTTATTTAGTTTTCAGATTTTCCATTGATCTTTCTGTTCTTGATTTCTAATTTAATTCCATTGTGGTAAAGGAATAGACTTTGTAATAGAGAGGGTCGTTGAAATTGCTGACTATAATTGTGGATCTATTTCTCCTTGGAGATCATGTATTTTTGTTGTTGTTGTTGTTTTGAGATGGCATCTCACTCTGTTGTCCAGGCTGGAGTGCAGTGGCATCATCTCAGCTCACTGAACTTCCACCTTCCGGGTTCAAGTGATTCTCCTGCCTCAGCCTACCAAGTAGCTGGGATTACAGGCACGCACCACCGTGCCTGGCTAATTTTTGTATTTTTAGTAGAGATGGGGTTTCACCATGCTGGCCAGGCGGGTCTTAAACACCTGACCTCAAGTGATCCACCTGCCTCGGCCTCCCAAAGTGCTGGGATTACAGGCATGAGCCACCATGCCCGGCCGGAGTTCATGTATTTCGAAACGCTGTTATTGAGTGTTATGTTCTTCTGATGAATTCACCTCTTTATTATTAAATGACTAGCTTTGGGTTTTTTCCTCACATGCATGTACTGATCTGTACTCAAATGAATACTGGAATGGCCACCTCTGAAGATCTCTGGAGATTGCTCTTCTTGCAGCTCTCTCTTTTTTGGTACTCTGTCCTGAGAACACTAGCTCCTTGGGTTCACTGAACAAGCAGCTGTGCCTCGCCAGTCAAGGATGCCCCCAGGCTCAGTCTGGGTTCCCCTTCTTTGCACTGTGCCCTAGGAACTTTCTCCAGGCAGTAAGCTGGGGTAGTCCTAGGGCTTTCTATGTTCATTTCTCATCTCTCAGGGATCACTATTCTTCATTGCCTGATGGTTAATGTCTTGAGGGTTGTTGTTTCGTATATATTTGTCCAGTGTTTTTTATTAGTTTCATGTGTGAGTATAAATGTGGTCCTTATATTCCATCTTGATCAAAAGCAGAAGTCACATTATGCTTTTATATATAAGAATAGATGGGCCAGGCATGGTGGCTCTTGCCTTTAATCCCAAAACTTTGGGAGGCCAAGGATGGAGGATCACTTGAGGCCAGAAGTTCAAGACCAGCCTGTACAACATGGTGAAGCCCCATCTCTGGAAAAAATAAAATAATTAGCTGGGTGTAGCAGCATGTGCCTGTAGTTCCAGTTACCCAGGAGGCTGATGTGGGAGGATCACTGGAGCCCGGGAGGCCAAGGCTGCAGTGAGCCATAATCTCACCACTGCACTGCAGCCTGGGTGACAGAGTGAGACCCTGTCTAAAAACAAAAACAAAAACAAAAATACATGATAATTTCAGAGAAAAATTTTAAGGCAATATAGAATACTGATTTGTGAATCAAAATACCTAATTTCCAAATCTCTCACTTGTATAAACTAGAAAAAAATTACTTTGTTGGGTCTATGCTTCCTTACTGTTGTATTGATAGGATAAAATAACATAAAGGCATTTAGTAAAATATGAAGTCATATACAAATGTAAAGTATTATTCAAAGGTACAAAATATGTGGGGAAGAAGTTAGAAGATAATTGTTGTTTACCCATTGTTTACCCACATCTATTGCCTCCTTGCTATTAGACTCTTGATTTTATCCAGGTGAGGAATATGTCAAGCCACAGGTTACACTTGGCTCTGCCCGCTCTTCTTGCAGCTAGGAATGGGCATATTACTCAGCTGCGGAAAATGAGGAATAATTGGCAGTCTGCCAGTGGTTTGATGTACCACTAGCAAGCCCCTGCTTTCCTGATAAAAGGAACAGGCTTAACTGAGTGTATAGGAGAGGAGATGTACCTGTCAGCCATAACTTAAACACATTCTGAAAATGACCCTGTGGCTTAAGAAGAACGTGTGTTTGGAGTTCTGAGCTAAGGGATCTGGAAGCGACCTATCTCATTCATTCCTTATATCTGTGGAACATCTGGGCCCCCATGCTGTGTAGGGGATGGAGGCCCTTTGTTTTGAGTCAGATGGAGGTTGTCAGGTGGAGGTTGCTACAGGGAAGGTGCTAACTGAAATTCTATATAAACTTCATGCTTGTTACAAGCAGTTGTGTTTCTCCTGTCCAGCCCACCACCACTGGATTACCCTGTGTGCAAGTCCCCCCAATAAGCCCCATATATATATCTCATTCTCTGGCTCTGGGTCATTCTCTGGGTCTCTTCTTCGGCCTCTTGAACATGGTGCCCTTCCTACTGAAGTCAAATAGGGGTCTGGCCATGACACTGACATTGCCCCTTCCCCCCTGCTTTCTGCCTGGAATACAGGCAGACTTGATTCATAGCACCCTGACTGATTCATAGCACCCTGACTGTTATTTTATAAGTACATGGGAAAGGACCAGGCCATCCTACAGATACTGGCTGTAGCCTTACTGAATTGCCAAAAAAAATTTGGCAGCTACCTTTCTCCATATTTCTTGTCATATGAGAAAAATATATTATTTAAGACATTATTAGTTGGGTGGTGAAAGCATTCCTAATTGATTCAGGAGGAGGAGGGGAACTGGAGAGTTAAGTTACATCTTGGTAAGTTAACTGTTTAAAGAAGGCTGTATAAAGCAAAAGGGAAAAAACTCATGTTTAAAATTTGTTTACAAATCAAGAGCAGTGCCTGGCACATAGTAAGTGCTCAATAAATATTCTTCAAATAAATGTAGGTGAATATGTCAATCTTGCAGAACTGTTGTAGATGTAAATTGACAAATAGCAATCCCTCTAAAATCCCAGCTAGTTCTACTTCACAATTTTGATTCAGGACTATCAATAGTTGTATTTTTCACAGAGCACTGACCTCATTTGTACATAATTACACACACAAGGAGAATCTTAGGGTTACTACTCTGTAGCCAAGTTCAGTTAGCCTTTCTAAGACACTAAGTGAACTTACCTGCAGAGCTGTTCCTTACATTTAGAACCTGAGGAGATACCAATAAAACTTAGCTCCAATCCCTCAAACAGCTGATCTTGTAGAAGTATTTGTCCTGAATAATGGAAAAGCTTCTTTGAAAGCAATCACACCATTGTAGAGGAATCCCAGACCAAGCCATCCCTGGCATAGCTTGGAAATGCACATAGAAGATAAATGTTCTAACATTTCAGTGTCCCTGGAAGCTAAGTACAGTTTTAATAGACATTTTTCTTTTTTTCTTTCTTTTTAAGATAGGACCTTGATTTTGCTCTGTTGCCCAGGCTGGAGTAGAGTGGCACACCTATGGCTCACTGCAGCCTCAACCACCCAGGCTCAAGCAATCCTTCCACCTCAGCCTCCCTAGCAGCAGCTAGGAAGACAGGTGGATGTCACACACCAAAAATTTAAAAAAATTTTTGCATATTTTTAAACATTTTAAGCCATTAGGTTTTAAAGGTAGTTTTGTTACATCACATAGATAATAGGTAAAAATATCACTTTATAGTACTTACGATTTGCAAAATATAGTATCTTCTGAGTCAGGGATCAGCAAACATTTTCTGTAAAGGGCCTGATAGTAAAAACTTCAGGCTTTGAGGGCCATATGGTCTATGTCATATCAACTCAACTCCATCCTTGCAGTGCAAAAGCAGCTATAGATAGTAGGTAAATAAATGGTTTTACTGTGTTCCGATAAAACTATTTATAAGAGTAGGCAGATGAATGGATTTGGTTTACAGGCATAGTTTTCTGAATTCTGTTCTAAGTTGACAGTCTAGAAGAAGGTATATAATTCTCATCTCATAGTATGCATCCAATTATTAATAATTAGCTTCTTTGTTGTCTTCAGAAAATTCTGTATGGGAAGAAATCTTGCAGGCTTTGTTATAAAGAATATCAAACTGGCACAGTGGCTCACACCTGTAAACCCAACACTTTGGGAGGCCAAGGCAGGAGGATAGCTGGCAGCCAGGAATTTGAGACCAGCCTGGGCAACAGTGAGATCCCATCTCTCTTTCCCATGATTCTTCCCTTAGGGTAGGCGTTCTGCATGCATGGTGCTCTTCTTACCCTGGGGAATTGAGCACACACAGTGTGTTTAGGAAGTTGTATGCATGCCCATACAACTGGCTTTCTTTTTCTTTTCTTTTTTTTTCCAGTGGAGTGTACCTGGAAGATCATACTTCGCCATTTTTGTCTCTTAATAATTTTGCATTTTTCTTAGAGATGGAGTTTCTCCATGTTGCCAGGCTGGTCTTAAACTCCTGGGCTCAAGCAATACTCCTGCCTTGGCCTCCCAAACTGCTGGGCTTACAGGTGTGAGCCACTATGCCCGGCCCAGACATTTTCTTTTTTGCCAATATTTTGCACATGAGCTGTAACAAATCATATATAATAATAATAATAAATGGAATATACATTTTTAAATGATTGCTTGATTTTAATTCTGTGGGGAGGAAGAGTGCTACAATTAAGGTAATAGAAATGTCTTTTCTTTCCTTTCCCTCCATGCCGTCTCCCCGCAAAGAATTTCCTAAGATTTTGATGGATTCTTATAGAAATTGTACAAGCCTATGGAGTGTTTATTTCTCCTCTTAATAATCACAAATAACAACCAAATATTAGAGATTCCAAACATTGAAATGGCAGGAAAGTTCTTTTGGTTCATAGATTTGCACACTTTTTCCTTGGCTTCCCTCGAAGTGTGAGCTTATGAGAGAGACTAGATGTGATAAGACGTAAGGGGAGAAAAAGGTCTTGGTTACTGGCAGAAATATAGCCGCAGGGAGACATAAATGTAATCAAAAAGGCTTTCTCAACTGCAGAAAAGAATTCCAGCCTTTTTTATCCAGATGGGCAACCCTCTGGGTGGGCTGATTTTGTGAGTCAATCAGATCCAAAGTATATGTCTAGAGATTACAAGGAAATAAATACATTTGTGGGTCAGAAATGTTTCACCTGGTCCGAACTGCTTTCTTTCTCTCTCATTTTCATTAGTTTGGAGTGTGTGTGTATCTAAACCGCCCTGCTTTTCTCTCAGATCAGTAACACATTTGCTATTAACTTTGATACAACACTGCTTTAGAAATACAGGTTACAGTTATTCAGAATTTTAAGTTGAATTTATTTATACTGTCTCCATTCTTTAAAGACTAGAAGTGGTTTAATAGAACATACATGATGTATTTGTGTGTATTTGTGTCATATGCTTTTGGAAAAAGTCACTTGTCAATTCCACAAATAGTTCTTGGGCGTCTACTATGTTTAAAGTATCTTGAAGTTTATAAAGATGAATGAAATGTCCTTGATTGAATCTTGGTGTACTACCTTGTCCAGAAACACTTGCTATTTACTAAAAGGATAACAACCTTACCTGCATATCAAAATCACCTGGGGAGCTTGTTGAAAATACACCGGCCCAGGCTTCGGCTCTCAGCTTAGGGAGATTCTGATAATACGCAGAGCCCAAGGTGTGTGTAGTTTTAACAAAAAGCTTCCCAAGCGAATCTGATACACATCTAGGATTAAGAAACACTGCTTTAAACTAAGAAAGGACTAACTGCAGAAGTTCAGCCACAAGTCAACCAGATGTATGCCCTTAACATTCACATGAGCAGTTGGCTAAAGTCTCTTATAAGGCTATTTCTATTTCCGAGGTTTCAGAACGGGTAGTTATAGTCTGAAATACACCCCAGAGGACAGAGTCAGGTCCAATCTTTTCTGTAAGACACCTTGCTCAAGACTGCTGTGAAGGAATAAGAGAGCTGCAGCCAAAGATCATCCCAAAGTCTCCCAGAACACTCTATCATTATATCCATCTCACATGAAATATGGGTGTGTACATTTTTTCCTTCACTAGATTGGCAAGTATTCCAGCGCAGGGCAAATCTCTTTTTTCTCCCACCAAGGAACACAATATCCCATACATAATAGGTGTTTGACAGGTTTTTTTTTTAAATTGAATTGAATCCTTACCTAGCTCCTAGGGTCTGACTATATATACCCATAAATTATACATCTGTTTATAAAACATTTCAATCACACCAAAGAACATATATATGGAAGAAAGAACGATAAACAAGCACCCATGGACCCACCCCCCCGTTTATGAAACAGAACTTTGCCAGTGCTTTCGAAGTTCCTTACTGAACTAGATCTTTTAAAAACAGCAACGATTTTCTGAATTTTAATCAGAAGGCATGCATTCCTTCATTCATTGATTCGATTCCGTCATGGTCAGACCCGCCTACCAAGTGTCAACATGATATACACGATGTAAGTATTCCACTGTTGGGGTGAGGAGGGTCAAAAGTGACAATATGCTATCTCCAGAGACTACGGATCGCCTTTGCTGCAAATGGTCCCAACCCGGCCTGGCGCTCTAGAGCAGGCGTGGTTTCTGCGCGCGGACACTTTGGAGAGAAACTACGCGTCCCGGCAGTCCGCGGGGCGAGTGGGCGGAGCCGGGCCGGGGGCGGGGGCCGGGCGCCGGGCGAGAGGTGGCATTGTGTAGGGGAGCGCGGAGCTGCATTTGTCTGCTCCAGGTGCTAGCCAGGCAGGCGCAGCCGTGGCCGGCTAGGGCTGGAAGTGTCAGCGGCGGCCGCGGGCCCGGCAGAAGGCCGAGTAGGAGGGACCACGCGCCGGGGGCCGCGATCTCTGGCAGGGGGCGGTGTGCCAGCGGAGCACCATGCACATAGGCGCCCAGCGCCCCAACTACCCCTCCCGAGGAAAAGAGGCCGGGGCCGCGCTGGGGCGGCGGAGAGCATGAGGGAGGCCGGGGGGCGGCTCGGCTTGGAGCGCTGCTAGGGAGCGGTGCGCGCCGCACACCCGCCTGGGCGCGGCGGAGGGCGGGGAGCCGGGCAGGTCGCGCCTGCGGGCGGCAGCCGACCGCCGGGAGCTGTTCTGATTTCCGACGCGCACGCTAGGGGCCCGGAGCAGCCCCCGGCCCCGGCGCGCCGCCGACATGGGCAACGCAGGGAGCATGGATTCGCAGCAGACCGATTTCAGGGCGCACAACGTGCCTTTGAAGCTGCCGATGCCAGAGCCAGGTGAACTGGAGGAGCGATTTGCCATCGTGCTGGTAAGTGCGCGGCGGCGGTCGGGCGCGGGGACCCGGGGCCCCGGGCCGGGCGGCGCAGCTGACCCCCGCCCCTCCCCTTCACCCCGTGCCGGGAGCGAGCCTCCATTCCCGAGGGGGAGGCTCCCGCTTTCCCCTTTGTGGCCCCCCAGCACTCCTCTTCACCCCCCTGGCAGTCCCCCGCGCTCAGTCTCTCGGGGTCCCGGGATGGGGATGGGGGCTCAGGGCCGGCTGCCCAACCAGCCTCGAACCCATTGTCTGGCTGGAGAGGCACCTCACGGCGCGTGTGCCCGGGAGGTGCGGCGTGGGCGTGAAGAGAAGGTGGCGCGGGCTGGGAGGAGGAGGTGGCGAGCCGCTTAGGCTTTTTTTTTAAAAAAAACAAAACAAAACAAAACAAAACAAAACACCCTGAGCCCCTGCGGACCATCCCTCGGGCGGCCAGCCCGGGACCTGCGAAGTCCCCGGCAGATGGGGCGCATGTGGCCGGCCGCGGGCGCCGCGCCGGGCGGTGAGCGGAGGCGAACTTGGAGGGCTCACGTCGCGGCTTGGCCAAGGGGAGCTTCCCCGAAAGGGAAAGCGGAGACCCACAGCAGTGCGGCGCCCCGGCCCTTGGCGAGGAGCAGGGGCATCTGAAACCCAGGCCGGGGAGAACCTCAGCGCGTTCCCTCTAGACTTAAATCTTAAACCACAAAAATGTGGAGTTTTGCGGGGACGTGTTGCGAGCTGTCCTGACTGCACGGGCGACCCCTCCCCTCCTCTTGCACGCCCAGCCAGGTCCCCCGCTCCCTCCTGCATTCCGCTTCTCCCAGCTTTCCAGCTCCTCAAATCCAGGACTCTGAAAACTCCCCTCTTTCTCCCTTTCCTGCTGGGACAGTGTCTGGGCCCCTCCCAGCCGAGGCTTGTGCTGTGAGCTGCAGAGGGTGTGGCGGCTTGCCCCAGCCAGGATCTGGACTGCTGTTGGTCCCCCAGACTACCAGTTTTAGTGTCCCAGCCTCTTCTAAGGGATGTTGGGAGGGACACACACAGGCGAGATTGGGCTCATTCCTACTCCTGACACTTGGACACTTCTCTTTTCCTAGTTGGTTACCTCTAAACTCCACAAGACTAGGCAGCAAGGGAAACTCGTGATCCGGGCAGCCAACGATTGTGCCTGCCTGCGGGTTTTCTTTTCTTCTTTTGTTTTCATGAAAACTTAGAACTTTGGCAGAGGACTCGAGTTCTAGATCAAAAATCGGTTTTCTGAGGTGTGCTCAGCTACAGGACGTTCAAATTGCCTGCCTTCAGGCCTTGAAAAAGGAATGGTTTGGTATGGGAAGTGATGTTCTGGATGGCAGGTTAGCTGTGTGCTCTTTGGGAGAACTGAGCTCTCTCTCCCGCCACCTGGAAACTCTGGTGTGGCCGTCGGGGAGACAGATGAGGTTGCTTGTGTTGCTTTGCATCTCCTGTGATCTCCCACAGCTGCTCCCACCGTTGTGCAAGATGGGACACTGAAATGAAACGGCCTAGGCATAACTCTCAAGGCGGCCTGGGTGCATACTTGACCTGCTTTTCCAGAGACAAACGTTTTTCTTCAAAACCCTCTTCCTACTAGACATATGGTTCTTACCTCCTGGCTCTGGCTTTTTTTCCTCCTGGCTCTGGCTTTTTTGTTTTTCCATCCATGCTGTGGTGCTCTGTGTGTGTGTGTGTGTGTGTGTGTGTGTGTGTCTGAATACTTGTGGTGGAGGAGCCAGTGACACAGGGAAACCAGTGCAGCAGCCATAATAATAACAATAATGCAATTAAGTTCTGCTTGACTAGGATAGCATTTTTTTTTGCTTGAGCTTTCATTTACCCTGCTGATTAATAACACATGGTGTGAATTAATCTTTAGAAAAATAATGTCCCATCATTAACATGGTGGATTTGTGTTCTTGTTAAGGCTAGCAGTTGCAAATATAGTATTTAGACAATTATGATTGTACATCCCAAGCTTCTTGGGGCAGGGTTGTTGTGGCTACTTTTACACTACTGTGTGTCGCAGTTACTGGGTGCAATTCCTTTTAAAATTGTTTACAATATTCTAAGCCTCTCAATCAAGAAACAAAAACAATACCAGGCTGACCTTTTATTGAGTAGAGACAAAGCTTTTGGGGGACCAGGTCAGCTTGGGAACCCTCTTCCTAGGGACGCATTTGGACCATTGATGCGTTCCTTGTCCCAGGTCAGCTCCACTTGCTCTTTGACAATCTGTGAGAGGAGTTGAAACCTTCCAGATCATCTCCGTGGGCCAATAGAAGTGCGCAGTGTTGGTGATTTCTCTTGTTTTTTTTTTTTTTCTGGAGTTGTGTGTGTGATAATCTCAACTTTGCTTTTCTTCATGAGTTGCTTAAGAAATCAGTTCAA